>NC_000017.11:24128687-24439910 GCF_000001405.40 Homo sapiens | reverse complement strand
ATCCTCAGAGAGGTCCAAATATCCACTTGTAGATTCTACAAAAAGTGTGTCTCAAACCTGCTCCATCCAAAGGAATGTTCAGCTCTGTGAGTTCAACTCAATCATCACAAAGTATTTTCTGAGAATGCTTCTGTCTAGATTTTATGCGAAGATGTACCCGTTTCGAACGAAGGCCACAGAGTGGTCCAAATATCCACTTGCAGATCCTACAAAAAGAGTGTTTCAAACCTGAACTCTCAAAGGAAGGTTCAACTCTGGGATTTGAATGCAAACATCACCAAGAAGTTTCTGAGAATGCTTCTGTTTAGTTTTTATGTGAAGATATTCCCGTTGCCAAAGACATCTTCGGAGAGGTCCACATATCCGCTTGCAGATTCCACAAAAAGAGAGTTTCAACACTGCTCTATCCATAGGAGGGTTCAACTCTGTGAGTTGAATGCAATCATCCCAGAGAAGTTTCTGAGAAGGCTTCTCTCCAGTTTTTATGTGACCATAATTCGTTTTCCACCACAGGCCTGAAAGCGCTCCAAATGTCCACTTGCAGACACTACGAAAAGCATGTTTCAGAACTACTCTATGAGAAGCAATGTGAAACTCTGGGAGTTGAACACAAACATCACAGAGAAGTTTCTGAGAATGCTTCTGTTTAGCTTTTCTGTGAAGATTCTCCCGTTTCCAACGAAATCTTCAAAGAGGTCCAAATATCCACTTGCAGATTCCACAGAAAGAGTGATTGGAAACTGCTCTTTGAAAAGGAACCTTCAACTCTGTGACTTGAATGCAATCATCACAAAGAAGTTTCTGACAATGCTTCTATCTAGCTTTTACGGGAAGATAATTCCTTTTCCACCACAGGCCTCAAAGCCCTCCAAATGTCCACTTGCAGATTCTGGAAAAAGAGTGTTTCAAAGCTTCTCTCTCGAAAGGAAAGTTCAACTCTGTGAGTTGAATGCAAGCATCACAAAGAAGTTTCTGAGGATGCTACTGTCTAGCTTTTATATGAAGCTATTTCCTTTACTACCATAGGCCTCAAAGCGGTCCATATCTCCACTTGCAGATTCTACACAAAGAGAGTTTCCAAACTGCTCTGTCAAAGGGAATGTTCAACTCTGTGACTTGAATGCAATCATCACAAAGTAGTTTCTGAGAATGCTTCTGTTTAGTTCTGTGCGGTTTATCCCGTTTCCAACGAAATCCTCAGAGAGGCCCACATATCCACTTGCACATTCTACAAATAGTGTGTTTCGAAACTGCTCCATCCAAAGGAATGTTCAGCTCTGTGAGTTAAACTCAGTCGTCACCAAGAGTTTTCTGTGAATGCTTCTGTTTTAGTTCTGTGCGGGTTATCCCGTTTCCAACGAAATCCTCAGAGAGGTCCAAATATCTACTTGCAGTTTCTACAGAAAGACCGTTTGAAACCTGAACTATCAAAGAAAGGTTCAACACTGTGAGTTGAATGCAAACATCACGAAGAAGGTTCTGAGAATGCTTCCGTTTAGTTAGGTGCAGTTATCCCGTTTCCAACGAAATCCTCAGAGAGGACGAAATATCCACTTGCAGTTTCTACAAAAAGAGTGTTTCAATGCTGAACTATCAAAGAAAGGTTCAGCACTGTGAGTTGAATGCAAACATCACGAAGAAGGTTCTGAGAATGCTTCTGTCTTCTTTCTATAGGAAGTTATTTCCTTTACTACGGTAGGCCTCAAAGAAGTGCAATTATCCCCTTGCAGTTTCTACAAAAAGAGTGTTTCAAACCTGAACTATCAAAGAAAGGTTCCACACTGTGAGTTGAATGCAGACATCATGAAGAAGGTTCTGAGAATGCCTCTGTTTAGTCAGCTGAAATTATCCCGTTTCCAACGAATTCCTCAGAGAGGTCCAAATATGCACTTGCAGATTCTGCAGAAAGTGTGTTTCTAAACTGCTACATCGCAAGGAATGTTCAGCTCTGTGAGTTCCACTCAATCATCCCAAAGAATTTTCTGAGAAAGCTTCTGTCTAGATGTCATGTGAAGATATACCCGTTTCGAACGAAGGACACAGAGTGGTCCAAATATCCACTTGTAGATCCTGCAAAAAGAGTGTTTCAAACGTGAACTTTGAAAGGAAAGTTCAACTCTGGGATTTGAATGCAAACATCACAAAGAAGATTCTGAGACTGCTTCTGTATAGTTTTTATGTGAAGATGATTCCGTTTCCAACGAAATCTTCAAAGAGGTCTACATGTCCCCTTGCAGATGCCACAGAAAGAGAGTTTCAAAACTGCGCTCTCAAAAGGAGTGTTCAACTCCGTGAGTTGAATGCAGTCATCACAGAGAAGCTTACTGAGAATGCTTTCTCTCTAGTATTTAGGTGAAGATATTTCCTTTTCCACCACAAACCACAAAGCCCTCCAAACGTCCACTTGCAGATTCTAGAAAAAGAGTGTTTCATAGCTGCTCTTTCCAAAGGAAAGTTCAACTCTGGGAGTTGAATACAAACATCACCAAAAAGTTCCTGAGAATGCATCTGTCTAGTTTTTCTATGAAGCTATTCCCTTTACTACCATAGGCCTCAAAGCGCTCCAAATCTCCACTTGCACATTCCACAACAAGAGTGTTTCCAAACTGCTCTATCAATAGGAATGTTCAACTCTGTGAGGTGAATGCAATCATCACAAAGCAGTTTCTGAGAATGCTTCCGTTTAGTTAGGTGCAGTTATCCCGTTTCCAACGAAATCCTCAGAGAGGTCCAAATATCCACTTGTAGATTCTACAAAAAGTGTGTCTCAAACCTGCTCCATCCAAAGGAATGGTCAGCTCTGTGATTTAAACTCAATCATCACAAAGTATTTTCTGAGAATGCTTCTGTCTAGATTTTATGCGAAGATATACCAGTTTCGAACGAAGGCCACAGAGTGGTCCAAATAGCCACTTGCAGATCCTACAGAAAGAGTGTTTCAAACCTGAACTATCAAAGGAAGGTTCAACTCTGGGATTTGAATGCAAACATCACCAAGAAGTTTCTGAGAATGCTTCTGTTTAGTTTTTATGTGAAGATATTCCCGTTTCCAAAGACATCTTCGGAGAGGTCCACATATCCACTTGCAGATTCCACAAAAAGAGAGTTTCAACACTGCTCTATCCATAGGAGGGTTCAACTCTGTGAGTTGAATGCAATCATCACAGAGAAGTTTCTGAGAAGGCTTCTCTCCAGTTTTTATGTGACCATAATTCGTTTTCCACCACAGGCCTGAAAGCGCTCCAAATGTCCACTTGCAGACACTACGAAAAGCATGTTTCAGAACTACTCTATGAAAAGCAACGTGAAACTCTGGGAGTTGAACACAAACATCACAGAGAAGTTTCTGAGAATGCTTCTGTTTTAGTTCTGTGCGTTTTATCCCGTTTCCAACGAAATCCTCAGAGAGGCCCAAATATCCACTTGCAGATTCCACAGAAAGAGTGATTGGAAACTGCTGTTTGAAAAGGAACCTTCAACTCTGTGAGTTGAATGCAATCATCACAAAGAAGTTTCTGACAATGCTTCTGTTTTAGTTCTGTGCGGTTTATCCCGTTTCCAACGAAATCCTCAGAGAGGACCAAACATCCACTTGCAGTTTCTACAAAAAGAGTGTTTCAAAGCTGCACTATCAAAGAAAGGTTCAGCACTGTGAGTTGAATGCAAACATCACGAAGAGGGCTCTGAGAATTCTTCTGTTTAGTTCTGTGCGGTTTATCCCGTTTCCAACGAAATCCTCAGAGAGGACCAAATATCCACTTGCAGTTTCTACAAGAAGAGTGTTTCAAAGCTGAACTATCAAAGAAAGGTTCAGCACTGTGAGTTGAATGCAAACATCACGAAGAGGGTTCTGAGAATGCTTCTGTCTTCTTTCTATAGGAAGTTATTTCCTTTACTACGGTAGGCCTCAAAGAAGTGCAATTATCCCCTTGCAGTTTCTACAAAAAGAGTGTTTCAAACCTGAACTATCAAAGAAAGGTTCCACACTGTGAGTTGAATGCAGACATCACGAAGAAGGTTCTGAGAATGCTTCTGTTTAGTCAGCTGAAATTATCCCGTTTCCAACGAATTCCTCAGAGAGGTCCAAATATGCACTTGCAGATTCTGCAGAAAGTGTGTTTCTAAACTGCTACATCGCAAGGAATGTTCAGCTCTGTGAGTTCCACTCAATCATCCCAAAGAATTTTCTGAGAAAGCTTCTGTCTAGATGTCGTGTGAAGATATACCCGTTTCGAACGAAGGACACAGAGTGGTCCAAATATCCACTTGTAGATCCTGCAAAAAGAGTGTTTCAAACGTGAACTTTGAAAGGAAAGTTCAACTCTGGGATTTGAATGCAAACATCACAAAGAAGATTCTGAGACTGCTTCTGTATAGTTTTTATGTGAAGATGATTCCGTTTCCAACGAAATCTTCAAAGAGGTCTACATGTCCCCTTGCAGATGCCACAGAAAGAGAGTTTCAAAACTGCGCTCTCAAAAGGAGTGTTCAACTCCGTGAGTTGAATGCAGTCATCACAGAGAAGCTTCTGAGAATGCTTCTATCTAGTATTTAGGTGAAGATATTTCCTTTTCCACCACAAACCACAAAGCCCTCCAAACGTCCACTTGCAGATTCTAGAAAAAGAGTGTTTCATAGCTGCTCTTTCCAAAGGAAAGTTCAACTCTGGGAGTTGAATACAAACATCACCAAAAGGTTCCTGAGAATGCATCTGTCTAGTTTTTCTATGAAGCTATTCCCTTTACTACCACAGGCCTCAAAGCGCTCCAAATCTCCACTTGCACATTCCACAACAAGAGTGTTTCCAAACTGCTCTATCAATAGGAATGTTCAACTCTGTGAGGTGAATGCAATCATCACAAAGCAGTTTCTGAGAATGCTTCCGTTTAGTTAGGTGCAGTTATCCCGTTTCCAACGAAATCCTCAGAGAGGTCCAAATATCCACTTGTAGATTCTACAAAAAGTGTGTCTCAAACCTGCTCCATCCAAAGGAATGGTCAGCTCTGTGATTTAAACTCAATCATCACAAAGTATTTTCTGAGAATGCTTCTGTCTAGATTTTATGCGAAGATATACCCGTTTCGAACGAAGGCCACAGAGTGGTCCAAATAGCCACTTGCAGATCCTACAGAAAGAGTGTTTCAAACCTGAACTATCAAAGGAAGGTTCAACTCTGGGATTTGAATGCAAACATCACCAAGAAGTTTCTGAGAATGCTTCTGTTTAGTTTTTATGTGAAGATATTCCCGTTTCCAAAGACATCTTCGGAGAGGTCCACATATCCACTTGCAGATTCCACAAAAAGAGAGTTTCAACACTGCTCTATCCATAGGAGGGTTCAACTCTGTGAGTTGAATGCAATCATCACAGAGAAGTTTCTGAGAAGGCTTCTCTCCAGTTTTTATGTGACCATAATTCGTTTTCCACCACAGGCCTGAAAGCGCTCCAAATGTCCACTTGCAGACACTACGAAAAGCATGTTTCAGAACTACTCTATGAAAAGCAACGTGAAACTCTGGGAGTTGAACACAAACATCACAGAGAAGTTTCTGAGAATGCTTCTGTTTTAGTTCTGTGCGTTTTATCCCGTTTCCAACGAAATCCTCAGAGAGGCCCAAATATCCACTTGCAGATTCCACAGAAAGAGTGATTGGAAACTGCTGTTTGAAAAGGAACCTTCAACTCTGTGAGTTGAATGCAATCATCACAAAGAAGTTTCTGACAATGCTTCTGTTTTAGTTCTGTGCGGTTTATCCCGTTTCCAACGAAATCCTCAGAGAGGACCAAACATCCACTTGCAGTTTCTACAAAAAGAGTGTTTCAAAGCTGCACTATCAAAGAAAGGTTCAGCACTGTGAGTTGAATGCAAACATCACGAAGAGGGCTCTGAGAATTCTTCTGTTTAGTTCTGTGCGGTTTATCCCGTTTCCAACGAAATCCTCAGAGAGGACCAAATATCCACTTGCAGTTTCTACAAGAAGAGTGTTTCAAAGCTGAACTATCAAAGAAAGGTTCAGCACTGTGAGTTGAATGCAAACATCACGAAGAGGGTTCTGAGAATGCTTCTGTCTTCTTTCTATAGGAAGTTATTTCCTTTACTACGGTAGGCCTCAAAGAAGTGCAATTATCCCCTTGCAGTTTCTACAAAAAGAGTGTTTCAAACCTGAACTATCAAAGAAAGGTTCCACACTGTGAGTTGAATGCAGACATCACGAAGAAGGTTCTGAGAATGCTTCTGTTTAGTCAGCTGAAATTATCCCGTTTCCAACGAATTCCTCAGAGAGGTCCAAATATGCACTTGCAGATTCTGCAGAAAGTGTGTTTCTAAACTGCTACATCGCAAGGAATGTTCAGCTCTGTGAGTTCCACTCAATCATCCCAAAGAATTTTCTGAGAAAGCTTCTGTCTAGATGTCGTGTGAAGATATACCCGTTTCGAACGAAGGACACAGAGTGGTCCAAATATCCACTTGTAGATCCTGCAAAAAGAGTGTTTCAAACGTGAACTTTGAAAGGAAAGTTCAACTCTGGGATTTGAATGCAAACATCACAAAGAAGATTCTGAGACTGCTTCTGTATAGTTTTTATGTGAAGATGATTCCGTTTCCAACGAAATCTTCAAAGAGGTCTACATGTCCCCTTGCAGATGCCACAGAAAGAGAGTTTCAAAACTGCGCTCTCAAAAGGAGTGTTCAACTCCGTGAGTTGAATGCAGTCATCACAGAGAAGCTTCTGAGAATGCTTCTATCTAGTATTTAGGTGAAGATATTTCCTTTTCCACCACAAACCACAAAGCCCTCCAAACGTCCACTTGCAGATTCTAGAAAAAGAGTGTTTCATAGCTGCTCTTTCCAAAGGAAAGTTCAACTCTGGGAGTTGAATACAAACATCACCAAAAAGTTCCTGAGAATGCATCTGTCTAGTTTTTCTATGAAGCTATTCCCTTTACTACCACAGGCCTCAAAGCGCTCCAAATCTCCACTTGCACATTCCACAACAAGAGTGTTTCCAAACTGCTCTATCAATAGGAATGTTCAACTCTGTGAGGTGAATGCAATCATCACAAAGCAGTTTCTGAGAATGCTTCCGTTTAGTTAGGTGCAGTTATCCCGTTTCCAACGAAATCCTCAGAGAGGTCCAAATATCCACTTGTAGATTCTACAAAAAGTGTGTCTCAAACCTGCTCCATCCAAAGGAATGGTCAGCTCTGTGATTTAAACTCAATCATCACAAAGTATTTTCTGAGAATGCTTCTGTCTAGATTTTATGCGAAGATATACCCGTTTCGAACGAAGGCCACAGAGTGGTCCAAATAGCCACTTGCAGATCCTACAGAAAGAGTGTTTCAAACCTGAACTATCAAAGGAAGGTTCAACTCTGGGATTTGAATGCAAACATCACCAAGAAGTTTCTGAGAATGCTTCTGTTTAGTTTTTATGTGAAGATATTCCCGTTTCCAAAGACATCTTCGGAGAGGTCCACATATCCACTTGCAGGTTCCACAAAAAGAGAGTTTCAACACTGCTCTATCCATAGGAGGGTTCAACTCTGTGAGTTGAATGCAATCATCACAGAGAAGTTTCTGAGAAGGCTTCTCTCCAGTTTTTATGTGACCATAATTCGTTTTCCACCACAGGCCTGAAAGCGCTCCAAATGTCCACTTGCAGACACTACGAAAAGCATGTTTCAGAACTACTCTATGAAAAGCAACGTGAAACTCTGGGAGTTGAACACAAACATCACAGAGAAGTTTCTGAGAATGCTTCTGTTTTAGTTCTGTGCGTTTTATCCCGTTTCCAACGAAATCCTCAGAGAGGCCCAAATATCCACTTGCAGATTCCACAGAAAGAGTGATTGGAAACTGCTGTTTGAAAAGGAACCTTCAACTCTGTGAGTTGAATGCAATCATCACAAAGAAGTTTCTGACAATGCTTCTGTTTTAGTTCTGTGCGGTTTATCCCGTTTCCAACGAAATCCTCAGAGAGGACCAAACATCCACTTGCAGTTTCTACAAAAAGAGTGTTTCAAAGCTGCACTATCAAAGAAAGGTTCAGCACTGTGAGTTGAATGCAAACATCACGAAGAGGGCTCTGAGAATTCTTCTGTTTAGTTCTGTGCGGTTTATCCCGTTTCCAACGAAATCCTCAGAGAGGACCAAATATCCACTTGCAGTTTCTACAAGAAGAGTGTTTCAAAGCTGAACTATCAAAGAAAGGTTCAGCACTGTGAGTTGAATGCAAACATCACGAAGAGGGTTCTGAGAATGCTTCTGTCTTCTTTCTATAGGAAGTTATTTCCTTTACTACGGTAGGCCTCAAAGAAGTGCAATTATCCCCTTGCAGTTTCTACAAAAAGAGTGTTTCAAACCTGAACTATCAAAGAAAGGTTCCACACTGTGAGTTGAATGCAGACATCACGAAGAAGGTTCTGAGAATGCTTCTGTTTAGTCAGCTGAAATTATCCCGTTTCCAACGAATTCCTCAGAGAGGTCCAAATATGCACTTGCAGATTCTGCAGAAAGTGTGTTTCTAAACTGCTACATCGCAAGGAATGTTCAGCTCTGTGAGTTCCACTCAATCATCCCAAAGAATTTTCTGAGAAAGCTTCTGTCTAGATGTCGTGTGAAGATATACCCGTTTCGAACGAAGGACACAGAGTGGTCCAAATATCCACTTGTAGATCCTGCAAAAAGAGTGTTTCAAACGTGAACTTTGAAAGGAAAGTTCAACTCTGGGATTTGAATGCAAACATCACAAAGAAGATTCTGAGACTGCTTCTGTATAGTTTTTATGTGAAGATGATTCCGTTTCCAATGAAATCTTCAAAGAGGTCTACATGTCCCCTTGCAGATGCCACAGAAAGAGAGTTTCAAAACTGCGCTCTCAAAAGGAGTGTTCAACTCCGTGAGTTGAATGCAGTCATCACAGAGAAGCTTCTGAGAATGCTTCTCTCTAGTATTTAGGTGAAGATATTTCCTTTTCCACCACAAACCACAAAGCCCTCCAAACGTCCACTTGCAGATTCTAGAAAAAGAGTGTTTCATAGCTGCTCTTTCCAAAGGAAAGTTCAACTCTGGGAGTTGAATACAAACATCACCAAAAAGTTCCTGAGAATGCATCTGTCTAATTTTTCTATGAAGCTATTCCCTTTACTACCATAGGCCTCAAAGCGCTCCAAATCTCCACTTGCACATTCCACAAGAAGAGTGTTTCCAAACTGCTCTATCAATAGGAATGTTCAACTCTGTGAGGTGAATGCAATCATCACAAAGCAGTTTCTGAGAATGCTTCCGTTTAGTTAGGTGCAGTTATCCCGTTTCCAACGAAATCCTCAGAGAGGTCCAAATATCCACTTGTAGATTCTACAAAAAGTGTGTCTCAAACCTGCTCCATCCAAAGGAATGTTCAGCTCTGTGAGTTCAACTCAATCATCACAAAGTATTTTCTGAGAATGCTTCTGTCTAGATTTTATGTGAAGATATACCCGTTTCGAACGAAGGCCACAGAGTGGTCCAAATAGCCACTTGCAGATCCTACAAAAAGAGTGTTTCAAACCTGAACTATCAAAGGAAGGTTCAACTCTGGGATTTGAATGCAAACATCACCAAGAAGTTTCTGAGAATGCTTCTGTTTAGTTTTTATGTGAAGATATTCCCGTTTCCAAAGACATCTTCGGAGAGGTCCACATATCCACTTGCAGATTCCACAAAAAGAGAGTTTCAACACTGCTCTATCCATAGGAGGGTTCAACTCTGTGAGTTGAATGCAATCATCACAGAGAAGTTTCTGAGAAGGCTTCTCTCCAGTTTTTATGTGACCATAATTCGTTTTCCACCACAGGCCTGAAAGCGCTCCAAATGTCCACTTGCAGACACTACGAAAAGCATGTTTCAGAACTACTCTATGAAAAGCAACGTGAAACTCTGGGAGTTGAACACAAACATCACAGAGAAGTTTCTGAGAATGCTTCTGTTTTAGTTCTGTGCGTTTTATCCCGTTTCCAACGAAATCCTCAGAGAGGCCCAAATATCCACTTGCAGATTCCACAGAAAGAGTGATTGGAAACTGCTGTTTGAAAAGGAACCTTCAACTCTGTGAGTTGAATGCAATCATCACAAAGAAGTTTCTGACAATGCTTCTGTTTTAGTTCTGTGCGGTTTATCCCGTTTCCAACGAAATCCTCAGAGAGGACCAAACATCCACTTGCAGTTTCTACAAAAAGAGTGTTTCAAAGCTGCACTATCAAAGAAAGGTTCAGCACTGTGAGTTGAATGCAAACATCACGAAGAGGGCTCTGAGAATTCTTCTGTTTAGTTCTGTGCGGTTTATCCCGTTTCCAACGAAATCCTCAGAGAGGACCAAATATCCACTTGCAGTTTCTACAAGAAGAGTGTTTCAAAGCTGAACTATCAAAGAAAGGTTCAGCACTGTGAGTTGAATGCAAACATCACGAAGAGGGTTCTGAGAATGCTTCTGTCTTCTTTCTATAGGAAGTTATTTCCTTTACTACGGTAGGCCTCAAAGAAGTGCAATTATCCCCTTGCAGTTTCTACAAAAAGAGTGTTTCAAACCTGAACTATCAAAGAAAGGTTCCACACTGTGAGTTGAATGCAGACATCACGAAGAAGGTTCTGAGAATGCTTCTGTTTAGTCAGCTGAAATTATCCCGTTTCCAACGAATTCCTCAGAGAGGTCCAAATATGCACTTGCAGATTCTGCAGAAAGTGTGTTTCTAAACTGCTACATCGCAAGGAATGTTCAGCTCTGTGAGTTCCACTCAATCATCCCAAAGAATTTTCTGAGAAAGCTTCTGTCTAGATGTCGTGTGAAGATATACCCGTTTCGAACGAAGGACACAGAGTGGTCCAAATATCCACTTGTAGATCCTGCAAAAAGAGTGTTTCAAACGTGAACTTTGAAAGGAAAGTTCAACTCTGGGATTTGAATGCAAACATCACAAAGAAGATTCTGAGACTGCTTCTGTATAGTTTTTATGTGAAGATGATTCCGTTTCCAACGAAATCTTCAAAGAGGTCTACATGTCCCCTTGCAGATGCCACAGAAAGAGAGTTTCAAAACTGCGCTCTCAAAAGGAGTGTTCAACTCCGTGAGTTGAATGCAGTCATCACAGAGAAGCTTACTGAGAATGACTCTGTCTAGTATTTAGGTGAAGATATTTCCTTTTCCACCACAAACCACAAAGCCCTCCAAACGTCCACTTGCAGATTCTAGAAAAAGAGTGTTTCATAGCTGCTCTTTCCAAAGGAAAGTTCAACTCTGGGAGTTGAATACAAACATCACCAAAAAGTTCCTGAGAATGCATCTGTCTAGTTTTTCTATGAAGCTATTCCCTTTACTACCATAGACCTCAAAGCGCTCCAAATCTCCACTTGCACATTCCACAACAAGAGTGTTTCCAAACTGCTCTATCAATAGGAATGTTCAACTCTGTGAGGTGAATGCAATCATCACAAAGCAGTTTCTGAGAATGCTTCCGTTTAGTTAGGTGCAGTTATCCCGTTTCCAACGAAATCCTCAGAGAGGTCCAAATATCCACTTGTAGATTCTACAAAAAGTGTGTCTCAAACCTGCTCCATCCAAAGGAATGGTCAGCTCTGTGATTTAAACTCAATCATCACAAAGTATTTTCTGAGAATGCTTCTGTCTAGATTTTATGCGAAGATATACCCGTTTCGAACGAAGGCCACAGAGTGGTCCAAATAGCCACTTGCAGATCCTACAGAAAGAGTGTTTCAAACCTGAACTATCAAAGGAAGGTTCCACTCTGGGATTTGAATGCAAACATCACCAAGAAGTTTCTGAGAATGCTTCTGTTTAGTTTTTATGTGAAGATATTCCCGTTTCCAAAGACATCTTCGGAGAGGTCCACATATCCACTTGCAGATTCCACAAAAAGAGAGTTTCAACACTGCTCTATCCATAGGAGGGTTCAACTCTGTGAGTTGAATGCAATCATCACAGAGAAGTTTCTGAGAAGGCTTCTCTCCAGTTTTTATGTGACCATAATTCGTTTTCCACCACAGGCCTGAAAGCGCTCCAAATGTCCACTTGCAGACACTACGAAAAGCATGTTTCAGAACTACTCTATGAAAAGCAACGTGAAACTCTGGGAGTTGAACACAAACATCACAGAGAAGTTTCTGAGAATGCTTCTGTTTAGCTTTTCTGTGAAGATTCTCCCGTTTCCAACGAAATCTTCAAAGAGGTCGAAATATCCACTTGCAGGTTCCACAGAAAGAGTGATTGGAAACTGCTGTTTGAAAAGGAACCTTCAACTCTGTGAGTTGAATGCAATCATCACAAAGAAGTTTCTGACAATGCTTCTATCTAGCTTTTACAGGAAGATAATTCCTTTTCCACCACAGGCCTCAAAGCTCCCCAAATGTCCACTTGCACATTCTGGAAAAAGAGTGTTTCAAAGCTTCTCTCTCGAAAGGAAAGTTCAACTCTGTGAGTTGAATGCAAGCATCACAAAGAAGTTTCTGAGAATGCTACTGTCTAGCTTTTATATGAAGCTATTTCCTTTACTACCATAGGCCTCAAAGCGGTCCATATCTCCACTTGCAGATTCTACACAAAGAGAGTTTCCAAACTGCTCTGTCAAAGGGAATGTTCAACTCTGTGACTTGAATGCAATCATCACAAAGTAGTTTCTGAGAATGCTTCTGTTTAGTTCTGTGCGGTTTATCCCGTTTCCAACGAAATCCTCAGTAGAGGCCTAAATATCCACTTGCACATTCTACAAATAGTGTGTTTCGAAACTGCTCCATCCAAAGGAATGTTCAGCTCTGTGAGTTAAACTCAGTCGTCACCAAGAGTTTTCTGTGAATGCTTCTGTTTTAGTTCTGTGCGGGTTATCCCGTTTCCAACGAAATCCTCAGAGAGGTCCAAATATCTACTTGCAGTTTCTACAGAAAGACCGTTTCAAACCTGAACTATCAAAGAAAGGTTCAACACTGTGAGTTGAATGCAAACATCACGAAGAAGTTCTGAGAATGCTTCTGTTTAGTTCTGTGCGGTTTATCCCGTTTCCAACGAAATCCTCAGAGAGGACCAAATATCCACTTGCAGTTTCTACAAGAAGAGTGTTTCAAAGCTGAACTATCAAAGAAAGGTTCAGCACTGTGTGTTGAATGCAAACATCACGAAGAGGGTTCTGAGAATGCTTCTGTCTTCTTTCTATAGGAAGTTATTTCCTTTACTACGGTAGGCCTCAAAGAAGTGCAATTATCCCCTTGCAGTTTCTACAAAAAGAGTGTTTCAAACCTGAACTATCAAAGAAAGGTTCCACACTGTGAGTTGAATGCAGACATCACGAAGAAGGTTCTGAGAATGCTTCTGTTTAGTCAGCTGAAGTTATCCCGTTTCCAACGAATTCCTCAGAGAGGTCCACATATGCACTTGCAGATTCTGCAGAAAGGGTGTTTCTAAACTGCTACATCGCAAGGAGTGTTCAGCTCTGTTTGCTCAACTCAATCATCCCAAAGAATTTTCTGAGAAAGCTTCTGTCTAGATGTCGTGTGAAGATATACCCGTTTCGAACGAAGGACACAGAGTGGTCCAAATATCCACTTGTAGATCCTGCAAAAAGAGTGTTTCAAACGTGAACTTTGAAAGGAAAGTTCAACTCTGGGATTTGAATGCAAACATCACAAAGAAGATTCTGAGACTGCTTCTGTATAGTTTTTATGTGAAGATGATTCCGTTTCCAACGAAATCTTCAAAGAGGTCTACATGTCCCCTTGCAGATGCCACAGAAAGAGAGTTTCAAAACTGCGCTCTCAAAAGGAGTGTTCAACTCCGTGAGTTGAATGCAGTCATCACAGAGAAGCTTCTGAGAATGCTTCTATCTAGTATTTAGGTGAAGATATTTCCTTTTCCACCACAAACCACAAAGCCCTCCAAACGTCCACTTGCAGATTCTAGAAAAAGAGTGTTTCATAGCTGCTCTTTCCAAAGGAAAGTTCAACTCTGGGAGTTGAATACAAACATCACCAAAAAGTTCCTGAGAATGCATCTGTCTAGTTTTTCTATGAAGCTATTCCCTTTACTACCATAGGCCTCAAAGCGCGCCAAATCTCCACTTGCACATTCCACAACAAGAGTGTTTCCAAACTGCTCTATCAATAGGAATGTTCAACTCTGTGAGGTGAATGCAATCATCACAAAGCAGTTTCTGAGAATGCTTCCGTTTAGTTAGGTGCAGTTATCCCGTTTCCAACGAAATCCTCAGAGAGGTCCAAATATCCACTTTTAGATTCTACAAAAAGTGTGTCTCAAACCTGCTCCATCCAAAGGAATGTTCAGCTCTGTGAGTTAAACTCAATCATCACAAAGTATTTTCTGAGAATGCTTCTCTCTAGATTTTATGTGAAGATGTACCCGTTTCGAACGAAGGCCACAGAGTGGTCCAAATATCCACTTGCAGATTCTGCAACAAGAGTGTTTACGAACTGCTCTATCAATAGGAATGTTCAACTCTGTGAGGTGAATGCAATCATCACAAAGCAGTTTCTGAGAATGCTTCTGTGTAGTTTTTATGTGAAGATATTCCCGTTTCCAAAGACATCTTCGGAGGGGTCCACATATCCACTTGCAGATTCCACAAAAAGAGAGTTTCAACACTGCTCTATCCATAGGAGGTTTCAACTCTGTGAGTTGAATGCAATCATCACAGAGAAGTTTCTCAGAAGGCTTCTCTCCAGTTTTTATGTGACCATAATTCGTTTTCCACCACAGGCCTGAAAGCACTCCAAATGTCCACTTGCAGACACTATGAAAAGCATGTTTCAGAACTACTCTATGAGAAGCCATGTGAAACTCTGGGAGTTGAACACAAACATCACAGAGAAGTTTCTGAGAATGCTTCTGTTTAGCTTTTCTGTGAAGATTATCCCGTTTCCAAGGAAATATGCAAAGAGGTCCAAATATCCACTTGCAGATTCCACAGAAAGAGTGTTTGGAAACTGCTGTTTGTAAAGGAACCTTCAACTCTGTGAGTTGAATGCAATCATCACGAAGATGTTTCTGACAATGCTTCTATCTAGCTTTTACGGGAAGATAATTCCTTTTCCACCACAGGCCTCAAAGCCCTCCAAATGTCCACTTGCAGATTCTGGAAAAAGAGTGTTTCAAAGCTTCTCTCTCGAAAGGAAAGTTCAACTCTGTGAGTTGAATGCAAGCATCACAAAGAAGTTTCTGAGAATGCTACTGTCTAGCTTTTATATGAAGCTATTTCCTTTACTACCATAGGCCTCAAAGCGGTCCATATCTCCACTTGCAGATTCTACACAAAGAGAGTTTCCAAACTGCTCTGTCAAAGGGAATGTTCAACTACTGTGACTTGAATGCAATCATCACAAAGTAGTTTCTGAGAATGCTTCTGTTTAGTTCTGGGCGGTTTATCCCGTTTCCAACGAAATCCTCAGAGAGGCCCACATATCCACTTGCACATTCTACAAATAGTGTGTTTCGAAACTGCTCCATCCAAAGGAATGTTCAGCTCTGTGAGTTAAACTCAGTCGTCACCAAGAGTTTTCTGTGAAAGCTTCTGTTTTAGTTCTGTGCGGTTTATCCGGTTTCTAACGAAATCCTCAGAGAGGTCCAAATATCTACTTGCAGTTTCTACAGAAAGACCGTTTCAAACCTGAACTATCAAAGAAAGGTTCAACACTGTGAGTTGAATGCAAACATCACGAAGAAGGTTCTGAGAATGCTTCTGTTTAGTTCTGTGCGGTTTATCCCGTTTCCAACGAAATCCTCAGAGAGGACCAAATATCCACTTGCAGTTTCTACAAAAAGAGTGTTTCAAAGCTGAACTATCAAAGAAAGGTTCAGCACCGTGGGTTGAATGCAAACATCACGAAGAGGGTTCTGAGAATGCTTCTGTCTTCTTTTTGTAGGAAGTTATCTCCTTTACTACGGTAGGCCTCAAAGAAGTGCAATGATCCCCTTGCAGTTTCTACAAAAAGAGTGTTTCAAACCTGAACTATCAAAGAAAGGTTCCACACTGTGAGTTGAACGCAGACATCACGAAGAAGGTTCTGAGAATGCTTCTGTTTAGTCAGCTGAAATTATCCCGTTTCCAACGAATTCCTCAGAGAGTTCCACATATGCACTTGCAGATTCTGCAGAAAGTGTGTTTCTAAACTGCTACATCGCAAGGAGTGTTCAGCTCTGTTTGCTCAACTCAATCATCCCAAAGAATTTTCTGAGAAAGCTTCTGTCTAGATGTCATGTGAAGATATACCCGTTTCGAACGAAGGACACAGAGTGGTCCAAATATCCACTTGTAGATCCTGCAAAAAGAGTGTTTCAAACGTGAACTTTGAAAGGAAAGTTCAACTCTGGGATTTGAATGCAAACATCACAAAGAAGATTCTGAGACTGCTTCTGTATAGTTTTTATGTGAAGATGATTCCGTTTCCAACGAAATCTTCAAAGAGGTCTACATGTCCCCTTGCAGATGCCACAGAAAGAGAGTTTCAAAACTGCGCTCTCAAAAGGAGTGTTCAACTCCGTGAGTTGAATGCAGTCATCACAGAGAAGCTTCGGAGGATGCTTCTATCTAGTATTTAGGTGAAGATATTTCCTTTTCCACCACAAACCACAAAGCCCTCCAAACGTCCACTTGCAGATTCTAGAAAAAGAGTGTTTCATAGCTGCTCTTTCCAAAGGAAAGTTCAACTCTGGGAGTTGAATACAAACATCACCAAAAAGTTCCTGAGAATGCATCTGTCTAGTTTTTCTATGAAGCTATTCCCTTTACTACCATAGGCCTCAAAGCGCTCCAAATCTCCACTTGCACATTCCACAACAAGAGTGTTTCCAAACTGCTCTATCAATAGGAATGTTCAACTCTGTGAGGTGAATGCAATCATCACAAAGCAGTTTCTGAGAATGCTTCCGTTTAGTTAGGTGCAGTTATCCCGTTTCCAACGAAATCCTCAGAGAGGTCCAAATATCCACTTGTAGATTCTACAAAAAGTGTGTCTCAAACCTGCTCCATCCAAAGGAATGGTCAGCTCTGTGATTTAAACTCAATCATCACAAAGTATTTTCTGAGAATGCTTCTGTCTAGATTTTATGCGAAGATATACCCGTTTCGAACGAAGGCCACAGAGTGGTCCAAATAGCCACTTGCAGATCCTACAGAAAGAGTGTTTCAAACCTGAACTATCAAAGGAAGGTTCAACTCTGGGATTTGAATGCAAACATCACCAAGAAGTTTCTGAGAATGCTTCTGTTTAGTTTTTATGTGAAGATATTCCCGTTTCCAAAGACATCTTCGGAGAGGTCCACATATCCACTTGCAGATTCCACAAAAAGAGAGTTTCAACACTGCTCTATCCATAGGAGGGTTCAACTCTGTGAGTTGAATGCAATCATCACAGAGAAGTTTCTGAGAAGGCTTCTCTCCAGTTTTTATGTGACCATAATTCGTTTTCCACCACAGGCCTGAAAGCGCTCCAAATGTCCACTTGCAGACACTACGAAAAGCATGTTTCAGAACTACTCTATGAAAAGCAACGTGAAACTCTGGGAGTTGAACACAAACATCACAGAGAAGTTTCTGAGAATGCTTCTGTTTAGCTTTTCTGTGAAGATTCTCCCGTTTCCAACGAAATCTTCAAAGAGGTCGAAATATCCACTTGCAGATTCCACAGAAAGAGTGATTGGAAACTGCTGTTTGAAAAGGAACCTTCAACTCTGTGAGTTGAATGCAATCATCACAAAGAAGTTTCTGACAATGCTTCTATCTAGCTTTTACGGGAAGATAATTCCTTTTCCACCACAGGCCTCAAAGCTCCCCAAATGTCCACTTGCACATTCTGGAAAAAGAGTGTTTCAAAGCTTCTCTCTCGAAAGGAAAGTTCAACTCTGTGAGTTGAATGCAAGCATCACAAAGAAGTTTCTGAGAATGCTACTGTCTAGCTTTTATATGAAGCTATTTCCTTTACTACCATAGGCCTCAAAGCGGTCCATATCTCCACTTGCAGATTCTACACAAAGAGAGTTTCCAAACTGCTCTGTCAAAGGGAATGTTCAACTCTGTGACTTGAATGCAATCATCACAAAGTAGTTTCTGAGAATGCTTCTGTTTTAGTTCTGTGCGGTTTATCCCGTTTCCAACGAAATCCTCAGAGAGGCCCACATATCCACTTGCAGATTCTACAAATAGTGTGTTTTGAAACTGCTCCATCCAAAGGAATGTTCAGCTCTGTGAGTTAAACTCAGTCGTCACCAAGAGTTTTCTGTGAATGCTTCTGTTTTAGTTCTGTGCGGTTTATCCCGTTTCCAACGAAATCCTCAGAGAGGACCAAATATCCACTTGCAGTTTCTACAAAAAGAGTGTTTCAAAGCTGCACTATCAAAGAAAGGTTCAGCACTGTGAGTTGAATGCAAACATCACGAAGAGGGTTCTGAGAATGCTTCTGTTTTAGTTCTGTGCGGTTTATCCCGTTTCCAACGAAATCCTCAGAGAGGTCCAAATATCTACTTGCATTTTCTACAGAAAGACCGTTTCAAACCTGAACTATCAAGGAAAGGTTCAACACTGTGAGTTGAATGCAAACATCACGAAGAAGGTTCTGAGAATGCTTCTGTTTAGTTCTGTGCGGTTTATCCCGTTTCGAAGGAAATCCTCAGAGAGGACCAAATATCCACTTGCAGTTTCTACAAGAAGAGTGTTTCAAAGCTGAAGTATCAAAGAAAGGTTCAGCACTGTGAGTTGAATGCAAACATCACGAAGAGGGTTCTGAGAATGCTTCTGTCTTCTTTCTATAGGAAGTTATTTCCTTTACTACGGTAGGCCTCAAAGAAGTGCAATTATCCCCTTGCAGTTTCTACAAAAAGAGTGTTTCAAACCTGAACTATCAAAGAAAGGTTCCACACTGTGAGTTGAATGCAGACATCACGAAGAAGGTTCTGAGAATGCTTCTGTTTAGTCAGCTGAAATTATCCCGTTTCCAACGAATTCCTCAGAGAGGTCCAAATATGCACTTGCAGATTCTGCAGAAAGTGTGTTTCTAAACTGCTACATCGCAAGGAATGTTCAGCTCTGTGAGTTCCACTCAATCATCCCAAAGAATTTTCTGAGAAAGCTTCTGTCTAGATGTCATGTGAAGATATACCCGTTTCGAACGGAGGACACAGAGTGGTCCAAATATCCACTTGTAGATCCTGCAAAAATAGTGTTTCAAACGTGAACTTTGAAAGGAAAGTTCAACTCTGGGATTTGAATGCAAACATCACAAAGAAGATTCTGAGACTGCTTCTGTATAGTTTTTATGTGAAGATGATTCCGTTTCCAACGAAATCTTCAAAGAGGTCCACATGTCCCCTTGCGGATGCCACAGAAAGAGAGTTTCAAAACTGCGCTCTCAAAAGGAGTGTTCAACTCCGTGAGTTGAATGCAGTCATCACAGAGAAGCTTCTGAGAATGCTTCTATCTAGTATTTAGGTGAAGATATTTCCTTTTCCACCACAAACCACAAAGCCCTCCAAACGTCCACTTGCAGATTCTAGAAAAAGAGTGTTTCATAGCTGCTCTTTCCAAAGGAAAGTTCAACTCTGGGAGTTGAATACAAACATCACCAAAAAGTTCCTGAGAATGCATCTGCCTTGTTTTTCTATGAAGCTATTCCCTTTACTACCATAGGCCTCAAAGCGCTCCAAATCTCCACTTGCACATTCCACAACAAGAGTGTTTCCAAACTGCTCTATCAATAGGAATGTTCAACTCTGTGAGGTGAATGCAATCATCACAAAGCAGTTTCTGAGAATGCTTCCGTTTAGTTAGGTGCAGTTATCCCGTTTCCAACGAAATCCTCAGAGAGGTCGAAATATCCACTTGTAGATTCTACAAAAAGTGTGTCTCAAACCTGCTCCATCCAAAGGAATGTTCAGCTCTGTGAGTTAAACTCAATCATCACAAAGTATTTTCTGAGAATGCTTCTGTCTAGATTTTATGCGAAGATGTACCCGTTTCGAACGAAGGCCACAGTGTGGTCCAAATATCCACTTGCAGATCCTACAAAAAGAGTGTTTCAAACCTGAACTATCAAAGGAAGGTTCAACTCTGGGATTTGAATGCAAACATCACCAAGAAGTTTCTGAGAATGCTTCTGTTTAGTTTTTATGTGAAGATATTCCCGTTTCCAAAGACATCTTCGGAGAGGTCCACATATCCACTTGCAGATTCCACAAAAAGAGAGTTTCAACACTGCTCTATCCATAGGAGGGTTCAACTCTGTGAGTTGAATGCAATCATCACAGAGAAGTTTCTGAGAAGGCTTCTCTCCAGTTTTTATGTGACCATAATTCGTTTTCCACCACAGGCCTGAAAGCGCTCCAAATGTCCACTTGTAGACACTACGAAAAGCATGTTTCAGAACTACTCTATGAAAAGCAATGTGAAACTCTGGGAGTTGAACACAAACATCACAGAGAAGTTTCTGAGAATGCTTCTGTTTAGCTTTCCTGTGAAGATTCTCCCGTTTCCAACGAAATCTTCAAAATAGGTCCAAATATCCACTTGCAGATTCCACACAAAGAGTGATTGGAAACTGCTCTTTGAAAAGGAACCTTCAACTCTGTGAGTTGAATGCAATCATCACAAAGAAGTTTCTGACAATGCTTCTATCTAGCTTTTACGGGAAGATAATTCCTTTTCCACCACAGGCCTCAAAGCCCTCCAAATGTCCACTTGCAGATTCTGGAAAAAGAGTGTTTCAAAGCTTCTCTCTCGAAAGGAAAGTTCAACTCTGTGAGTTGAATGCAAGCATCACAAAGAAGTTTCTGAGAATGCTACTGTCTAGCTTTTATATGAAGCTATTTCCTTTACTACCATAGTCCTCAAAGCGGTCCATATCTCCACTTGCAGATTCTACACAAAGAGAGTTTCCAAACTGCTCTGTCAAAGGGAATGTTCAGCTCTGTGACTTGAATGCAATCATCACAAAGTAGTTTCTGAGAATGCTTCTGTTTAGTTCTGTGCGGTTTATCCCTTTTCCAACGAAATCCTCAGAGAGGCCCAAATATCCACTTGCACATTCTACAAATAGTGTGTTTCGAAACGGCTCCATCCAAAGGAATGTTCAGCTCTGTGAGTTGAACTCAGTCGTCACCAAGAGTTTTCTGTGAATGCTTCTGTTTAGTTCTGTGCGGTTTATCCCGTTTCCAACGAAATCCTCAGAGAGGACCAAATATCCACTTGCAGTTTCTACAAAAAGAGTGTTTCAAAGCTGAACTATCAAAGAAAGGTTCAACACTGTGAGTTGAATGCAAACATCACAAAGAAGGTTCTGAGAATGCTTCTGTCTTCTTTCTATAGGAAGTTATTTCCTTTACTACGGTAGGCCTCAAAGAAGTGCAATTATCCCCTTGCAGTTTCTACAAAAAGAGTGTTTCAAACCTGAACTATCAAGGAAAGGTTCCACACTGTGAGTTGAAGGCAGATATCACGAAGAAGGTTCTGAGAATGCTTCTGTTTAGTCAGCTGAAATTATCCCGTTTCCAACGAATTCCTCAGAGAGGTCCAAATATGCACTTGCAGATTCTGCAGAAAGTGTGTTTCTAAACTGCTACATCGCAAGGAATGTTCAGCTCTGTGAGTTCAACTCAATCATCCCAAAGAATTTTCTGAGAAAGCTTCTGTCTAGATGTCATGTGAAGATATACCCGTTTCGAACGAAGGACACAGAGTTGTCCAAATATCCACTTGTAGATCCTGCAAAAAGAGTGTTTCAAACGCGAACTTTGAAAGGAAAGCTCAACTCTGGGATTTGAATGCAAACATCACAAAGAAGATTCTGAGACTGCTTCTGTATAGTTTTTATGTGAAGATGATTCCGTTTCCAACGAAATCTTCAAAGAGGTCTACATGTCCCCTTGCAGATGCCACAGAAAGAGAGTTTCAAAACGGCGCTCTCAAAAGGAGTGTTCAACTCCGTGAGTTGAATGCAGCCATCACAGAGAAGCTTCTGAGAATGCTTCTATCTAGTATTTAGGTGAAGATATTTCCTTTTCCACCACAAACCACAAAGCCCTCCAAACGTCCACTTGCAGATTCTAGAAAAAGAGTGTTTCGTAGCTGCTCTTTCCAAAGGAAAGTTCAACTCTGGGAGTTGAATACAAACATCACCAAAAAGTTCCTGAGAATGCATCTGTCTAGATTTTATGTGAAGATGTACCCGTTTCGAACGAAGGCCACAGAGTGGTCCAAATATCCACTTGCAGATTCTGCAACAAGAGTGTTTACGAACTGCTCTATCAATAGGAACGTTCAACTCTGTGAGGTGAATGCAATCATCACAAAGCAGTTTCTGAGAATGCTTCTGTTTAGTTTTTATGTGAAGATATTCCCGTTTCCAAAGACATCTTCGGAGAGGTCCACATATCCGCTTGCAGATTCCACAAAAAGAGAGTTTCAACACTGCTCTATCCATAGGAGGGTTCAACTCTGTGAGTTGAATGCAATCATCACAGAGAAGTTTCTGAGAAGGCTTCTCTCCAGTTTTTATGTGACCATAATTCGTTTTCCACCACAGGCCTGAAAGCGCTCCAAATGTCCACTTGCAGACACTACGAAAAGCATGTTTCAGAACTACTCTATGAGAAGCAATGTGAAACTCTGTGAGTTGCACACAAACATCACAGAGAAGTTTCTGAGAATGCTTTTGTTTTAGTTCTGTGCGTTTTATCCCGTTTCCAACGAAATCCTCAGAGAGGCCCAAATATCCACTTGCAGATTCCACAGAAAGAGTGATTGGAAACTGCTGTTTGAAAAGGAACCTTCAACTCTGTGAGTTGAATGCAATCATCACAAAGAAGTTTCTGACAATGCTTCTGTTTTAGTTCTGTGCGGTTTATCCCGTTTCCAACGAAATCCTCAGAGAGGACCAAATATCCACTTGCAGTTTCTACAAAAAGAGTGTTTCAAAGCTGCACTATCAAAGAAAGGTTCAGCACTGTGAGTTGAATGCAAACATCACGAAGAGGGCTCTGAGAATTCTTCTGTTTAGTTCTGTGCGGTTTATCCCGTTTCCAACGAAATCCTCAGAGAGGACCAAATATCCACTTGCAGTTTCTACAAGAAGAGTGTTTCAAAGCTGAACTATCAAAGAAAGGTTCAGCACTGTGAGTTGAATGCAAACATCACGAAGAGGGTTCTGAGAATGCTTCTGTCTTCTTTCTATAGGAAGTTATTTCCTTTACTACGGTAGGCCTCAAAGAAGTGCCATTATCCCCTTGCAGTTTCTGCAAAAAGAGTGTTTCAAACCTGAACTATCAAAGAAAGGTTCCCCACTGTGAGCTGAATGCAGACATCACGAAGAAGGTTCTGAGAATGCTTCTGTTTAGTCAGCTGAAATTATCCCGTTTCCAACGAATTCCTCAGAGAGGTCCAAATATGCACTTGCAGATTCTGCAGAAAGTGTGTTTCTAAACTGCTACATCGCAAGGAATGTTCAGCTCTGTGAGTTCCACTCAATCATCCCAAAGGATTTTCTGAGAAAGCTTCTGTCTAGATGTCATGTGAAGATATACCCGTTTCGAACGAAGGACACAGAGTGGTCCAAATATCCACTTGTAGATCCTGCAAAAAGAGTGTTTCAAACGTGAACTTTGAAAGGGAAGTTCAACTCTGGGATTTGAATGCAAACATCACAAAGAAGATTCTGAGACTGCTTCTGTATAGTTTTTATGTGAAGATGATTCCGTTTCCAACGAAATCTTCAAAGAGGTCTACATGTCCCCTTGCAGATGCCACAGAAAGAGAGTTTCAAAACTGCGCTCTCAAAAGGAGTGTTCAACTCCGTGAGTTGAATGCAGTCATCACAGAGAAGCTTCTGAGAATGCTTCTATCTAGTATTTAGGTGAAGATATTTCCTTTTCCACCACAAACCACAAAGCCCTCCAAACGTCCACTTGCAGATTCTAGAAAAAGAGTGTTTCATAGCTGCTCTTTCCAAAGGAAAGTTCAACTCTGGGAGTTGAATACAAACATCACCAAAAAGTTCCTGAGAATGCATCTGTCTAGTTTTTCTATGAAGCTATTCCCTTTACTACCATAGGCCTCAAAGCGCTCCAAATCTCCACTTGCACATTCCACAACAAGAGTGTTTCCAAACTGCTCTATCAATAGGAATGTTCAACTCTGTGAGGTGAATGCAATCATCACAAAGCAGTTTCTGAGAATGCTTCCGTTTAGTTAGGTGCAGTTATCCCGTTTCCAACGAAATCCTCAGAGAGGTCCAAATATCCACTTGTAGATTCTACAAAAAGTGTGTCTCAAACCTGCTCCATCCAAAGGAATGTTCAGCTCTGTGATTTAAACTCAATCATCACAAAGTATTTTCTGAGAATGCTTCTGTCTAGATTTTATGCGAAGATATACCCGTTTCGAACGAAGGCCACAGAGTGGTCCAAATAGCCACTTGCAGATCCTACAAAAAGAGTGTTTCAAACCTGAACTATCAAAGGAAGGTTCAACTCTGGGATTTGAATGCAAACATCACCAAGAAGTTTCTGAGAATGCTTCTGTTTAGTTTTTATGTGAAGATATTCCCGTTTCCAAAGACATCTTCGGAGAGGTCCACATATCCACTTGCAGATTCCACAAAAAGAGAGTTTCAACACTGCTCTATCCATAGGAGGGTTCAACTCTGTGAGTTGAATGCAATCATCACAGAGAAGTTTCTGAGAAGGCTTCTCTCCAGTTTTTATGTGACCATAATTCGTTTTCCACCACAGGCCTGAAAGCGCTCCAAATGTCCACTTGCAGACACTACGAAAAGCATGTTTCAGAACTACTCTATGAAAAGCAACGTGAAACTCTGGGAGTTGAACACAAACATCACAGAGAAGTTTCTGAGAATGCTTCTGTTTTAGTTCTGTGCGTTTTATCCCGTTTCCAACGAAATCCTCAGAGAGGCCCAAATATCCACTTGCAGATTCCACAGAAAGAGTGATTGGAAACTGCTGTTTGAAAAGGAACCTTCAACTCTGTGAGTTGAATGCAATCATCACAAAGAAGTTTCTGACAATGCTTCTGTTTTAGTTCTGTGCGGTTTATCCCGTTTCCAACGAAATCCTCAGAGAGGACCAAACATCCACTTGCAGTTTCTACAAAAAGAGTGTTTCAAAGCTGCACTATCAAAGAAAGGTTCAGCACTGTGAGTTGAATGCAAACATCACGAAGAGGGCTCTGAGAATTCTTCTGTTTAGTTCTGTGCGGTTTATCCCGTTTCCAACGAAATCCTCAGAGAGGACCAAATATCCACTTGCAGTTTCTACAAGAAGAGTGTTTCAAAGCTGAACTATCAAAGAAAGGTTCAGCACTGTGAGTTGAATGCAAACATCACGAAGAGGGTTCTGAGAATGCTTCTGTCTTCTTTCTATAGGAAGTTATTTCCTTTACTACGGTAGGCCTCAAAGAAGTGCAATTATCCCCTTGCAGTTTCTACAAAAAGAGTGTTTCAAACCTGAACTATCAAAGAAAGGTTCCACACTGTGAGTTGAATGCAGACATCACGAAGAAGGTTCTGAGAATGCTTCTGTTTAGTCAGCTGAAATTATCCCGTTTCCAACGAATTCCTCAGAGAGGTCCAAATATGCACTTGCAGATTCTGCAGAAAGTGTGTTTCTAAACTGCTACATCGCAAGGAATGTTCAGCTCTGTGAGTTCAACTCAATCATCCCAAAGAATTTTCTGAGAAAGCTTCTGTCTAGATGTCGTGTGAAGATATACCCGTTTCGAACGAAGGACACAGAGTGGTCCAAATATCCACTTGTAGATCCTGCAAAAAGAGTGTTTCAAACGTGAACTTTGAAAGGAAAGTTCAACTGTGGGATTTGAATGCTAACATCACAAAGAAGATTCTGAGACTGCTTCTGTATAGTTTTTATGTGAAGATGATTCCGTTTCCAACGAAATCTTCAAAGAGGTCTACATGTCCCCTTGCAGATGCCACAGAAAGAGAGTTTCAAAACTGCGCTCTCAAAAGGAGTGTTCAACTCCGTGAGTTGAATGCAGTCATCACAGAGAAGCTTCTGAGAATGCTTCTATCTAGTATTTAGGTGAAGATATTTCCTTTTCCACCACAAACCACAAAGCCCTCCAAACGTCCACTTGCAGATTCTAGAAAAAGAGTGTTTCATAGCTGCTCTTTCCAAAGGAAAGTTCAACTCTGGGAGTTGAATACAAACATCACCAAAAAGTTCCTGAGAATGCATCTGTCTAGTTTTTCTATGAAGCTATTCCCTTTACTACCATAGGCCCCAAAGCGCTCCAAATCTCCACTTGCACATTCCACAAGAAGAGTGTTTCCAAACTGCTCTATCAATACGAATGTTCAACTCTGTGAGGTGAATGCAATCATCACAAAGCAGTTTCTGAGAATGCTTCCGTTTAGTTAGGTGCAGTTATCCCGTTTCCAACGAAATCCTCAGAGAGGTGCAAATATCCACTTGTAGATTCTACAAAAAGTGTGTCTCAAACCTGCTCCATCCAAAGGAATGTTCAGCTCTGTGATTTAAACTCAATCATCACAAAGTATTTTCTGAGAATGCTTCTGTCTAGATTTTATGCGAAGATATACCCGTTTCGAACGAAGGCCACAGAGTGGTCCAAATAGCCACTTGCAGATCCTACAAAAAGAGTGTTTCAAACCTGAACTATCAAAGGAAGGTTCAACTCTGGGATTTGAATGCAAACATCACCAAGAAGTTTCTGAGAATGCTTCTGTTTAGTTTTTATGTGAAGATATTCCCGTTTCCAAAGACATCTTCGGAGAGGTCCACATATCCACTTGCAGATTCCACAAAAAGAGAGTTTCAACACTGCTCTATCCATAGGAGGGTTCAACTCTGTGAGTTGAATGCAATCATCACAGAGAAGTTTCTGAGAAGGCTTCTCTCCAGTTTTTATGTGACCATAATTCGTTTTCCACCACAGGCCTGAAAGCGCTCCAAATGTCCACTTGCAGACACTACGAAAAGCATGTTTCAGAACTACTCTATGAAAAGCAACGTGAAACTCTGGGAGTTGAACACAAACATCACAGAGAAGTTTCTGAGAATGCTTCTGTTTCAGTTCTGTGCGTTTTATCCCGTTTCCAACGAAATCCTCAGAGAGGCCCAAATATCCACTTGCAGATTCCACAAAAAGAGTGATTGGAAAGTGCTGTTTGAAAAGGAACCTTCAACTCTGTGAGTTGAATGCAATCATCACAAAGAAGTTTCTGACAATGCTTCTGTTTTAGTTCTGTGCGGTTTATCCCGTTTCCAACGAAATCCTCAGAGAGGACCAAACATCCACTTGCAGTTTCTACAAAAAGAGTGTTTCAAAGCTGCACTATCAAAGAAAGGTTCAGCACTGTGAGTTGAATGCAAACATCACGAAGAGGGCTCTGAGAATGCTTCTGTTTAGTTCTGTGCGGTTTATCCCGTTTCCAACGATATCCTCAGAGAGGACCAAATATCCACTTGCAGTTTCTACAAGAAGAGTGTTTCAAAGCTGAACTATCAAAGAAAGGTTCAGCACTGTGAGTTGAATGCAAACATCACGAAGAGGGTTCTGAGAATGCTTCTGTCTTCTTTCTATAGGAAGTTATTTCCTTTACTACGGTAGGCCTCAAAGAAGTGCAATTATCCCCTTGCAGTTTCTACAAAAAGAGTGTTTCAAACCTGAACTATCAAAGAAAGGTTCCACACTGTGAGTTGAATGCAGACATCACGAAGAAGGTTCTGAGAATGCTTCTGTTTAGTCAGCTGAAATTATCCCGTTTCCAACGAATTCCTCAGAGAGGTCCAAATATGCACTTGCAGATTCTGCAGAAAGTGTGTTTCTAAACTGCTACATCGCAAGGAATGTTCAGCACTGTGAGTTCCACTCAATCATCCCAAAGAATTTTCCTGAGAAAGCTTCTGTCTAGATGTCGTGTGAAGATATACCCGTTTCGAACGAAGGACACAGAGTGGTCCAAATATCCACTTGTAGATCCTGCAAAAAGAGTGTTTCAAACGTGAACTTTGAAAGGAAAGTTCAACTCTGGGATTTGAATGCAAACATCACAAAGAAGATTCTGAGACTGCTTCTGTATAGTTTTTATGTGAAGATGATTCCGTTTCCAACGAAATCTTCAAAGAGGTCTACATGTCCCCTTGCAGATGCCACAGAAAGAGAGTTTCAAAACTGCGCTCTCAAAAGGAGTGTTCAACTCCGTGAGTTGAATGCAGTCATCACAGAGAAGCTTCTGAGAATGCTTCTATCTAGTATTTAGGTGAAGATATTTCCTTTTCCACCACAAACCACAAAGCCCTCCAAACGTCCACTTGCAGATTCTAGAAAAAGAGTGTTTCATAGCTGCTCTTTCCAAAGGAAAGTTCAACTCTGGGAGTTGAATACAAACATCACCAAAAAGTTCCTGAGAATGCATCTGTCTAGTTTTTCTATGAAGCTATTCCCTTTACTACCACAGGCCTCAAAGCGCTCCAAATCTCCACTTGCACATTCCACAACAAGAGTGTTTCCAAACTGCTCTATCAATAGGAATGTTCAACTCTGTGAGGTGAATGCAATCATCACAAAGCAGTTTCTGAGAATGCTTCCGTTTAGTTAGGTGCAGTTATCCCGTTTCCAACGAAATCCTCAGAGAGGTCCAAATATCCACTTGTAGATTCTACAAAAAGTGTGTCTCAAACCTGCTCCATCCAAAGGAATGGTCAGCTCTGTGATTTAAACTCAATCATCACAAAGTATTTTCTGAGAATGCTTCTGTCTAGATTTTATGCGAAGATATACCCGTTTCGAACGAAGGCCACAGAGTGGTCCAAATAGCCACTTGCAGATCCTACAGAAAGAGTGTTTCAAACCTGAACTATCAAAGGAAGGTTCAACTCTGGGATTTGAATGCAAACATCACCAAGAAGTTTCTGAGAATGCTTCTGTTTAGTTTTTATGTGAAGATATTCCCGTTTCCAAAGGACATCTTCGGAGAGGTCCACATATCCACTTGCAGGTTCCACAAAAAGAGAGTTTCAACACTGCTCTATCCATAGGAGGGTTCAACTCTGTGAGTTGAATGCAATCATCACAGAGAAGTTTCTGAGAAGGCTTCTCTCCAGTTTTTATGTGACCATAATTCGTTTTCCACCACAGGCCTGAAAGCGCTCCAAATGTCCACTTGTAGACACTACGAAAAGCATGTTTCAGAACTACTCTATGAAAAGCAATGTGAAACTCTGGGAGTTGAACACAAACATCACAGAGAAGTTTCTGAGAATGCTTCTGTTTAGCTTTCCTGTGAAGATTCTCCCGTTTCCAACGAAATCTTCAAAATAGGTCCAAATATCCACTTGCAGATTCCACAGAAAGAGTGATTGGAAACTGCTCTTTGAAAAGGAACCTTCAACTCTGTGAGTTGAATGCAATCATCACAAAGAAGTTTCTGACAATGCTTCTATCTAGCTTTTACGGGAAGATAATTCCTTTTCCACCACAGGCCTCAAAGCCCTCCAAATGTCCACTTGCAGATTCTGGAAAAAGAGTGTTTCAAAGCTTCTCTCTCGAAAGGAAAGTTCAACTCTGTGAGTTGAATGCAAGCATCACAAAGAAGTTTCTGAGAATGCTACTGTCTAGCTTTTATATGAAGCTATTTCCTTTACTACCATAGGCCTCAAAGCGGTCCATATCTCCACTTGCAGATTCTACACAAAGAGAGTTTCCAAACTGCTCTGTCAAAGGGAATGTTCAACTCTGTGACTTGAATGCAATCATCACAAAGTAGTTTCTGAGAATGCTTCTGTTTAGTTCTGTGCGGTTTATCCCGTTTCCAACGAAATCCTCAGAGAGGCCTAAATATCCACTTGCACATTCTACAAATAGTGTGTTTCGAAACTGCTCCATCCAAAGGAATGTTCAGCTCTGTGAGTTAAACTCAGTCGTCACCAAGAGTTTTCTGTGAATGCTTCTGTTTTAGTTCTGTGTGGGTTATCCCGTTTCCAACGAAATCCTCAGAGAGGTCCAAATATCTACTTGCAGTTTCTACAGAAAGACCGTTTCAAACCTGAACTATCAAAGAAAGGTTCAACACTGTGAGTTGAATGCAAACATCACGAAGAAGGTTCTGAGAATGCTTCTGTTTAGTTCTGTGCAGTTTATCCCGTTTCCAACGAAATCCTCAGAGAGGACCAAATATCCACTTGCAGTTTCTACAAAAAGAGTGTTTCAAAGCTGAACTATCAAAGAAAGGTTCAGCACTGTGAGTTGAATGCAAACATCAGGAAGAGGGTTCTGAGAATGCTTCTGTCTTCTTTTTATAGGAAGTTATTTCCTTTACTACGGTAGGCCTCAAAGAAGTGCAATTATCCCCTTGCAGTTTCTACAAAAAGAGTGTTTCAAACCTGAACTATCAAAGAAAGGTTCCACACTGTGAGTTGAATGCAGACATCACGAAGAAGGTTACTGAGAATGCTTCGGTTTAGTCAGCTGAAATTATCACGTTTCCAACGAATTCCTCAGAGAGATCCAAATATGCACTTGCAGATTCTGCAGAAAGTGTGTTTCTAAACTGCTACATCGCAAGGAATGTTCAGCTCTGTGAGTTCAACTCAATCATCCCAAAGAATTTTCTGAGAAAGCTTCTGTCTAGATACCATGTGAAGATATACCCGTTTTGAACGAAGGACACAGAGTGGTCCAAATATCCACTTGTAGATCCTGCAAAAAGAGTGTTTCAAACGTGAACTTTGAAAGGAAAGTTCAACTCTGGGATTTGAATGCAAACATCACAAAGAAGATTCTGAGACTGTTTCTGTATAGTTTTTATGTGAAGATGATTCCGTTTCCAACGAAATCTTCAAAGAGGTCTACATGTCCCCTTGCAGATGCCACAGAAAGAGTTTCAAAACTGCGCTCTCAAAAGGAGTGTTCAACTCCGTGAGTTGAATGCAGTCATCACAGAGAAGCTTCTGAGAATGCTTCTGTCTAGTATTTAGGTGAAGATATTTCCTTTTCCACCACAAACCACAAAGCCCTCCAAACGTCCACTTGCAGATTCTAGAAAAAGAGTGTTTCATAGCTGCTCTTTCCAAAGGAAAGTTCAACTCTGGGAGTTGAATACAAACATCACCAAAAAGTTCCTGAGAATGCATCTGTCTAGTTTTTCTATGAAGCTATTCCCTTTACTACCATAGGCCTCAAAGCGCTCCAAAACTCCACTTGCACATTCCACAACAAGAGTGTTTCCAAACTGCTCTATCAATAGGAATGTTCAACTCTGTGAGGTGAATACAATCATCACAAAGCAGTTTCTGAGAATGCTTCCGTTTAGTTAGGTGCAGTTATCCCGTTTCCAACGAAATCCTCAGAGAGGTCCAAATATCCACTTGTAGATTCTACAAAAAGTGTGTCTCAAACCTGCTCCATCCAAAGGAATGTTCAGCTCTGTGATTTAAACTCAATCATCACAAAGTATTTTCTGAGAATGCTTCTGTCTAGATTTTATGCGAAGATATACCCGTTTCGAACGAAGGCCACAGAGTGGTCCAAATAGCCACTTGCAGATCCTACAAAAAGAGTGTTTCAAACCTGAACTATCAAAGGAAGGTTCAACTCTGGGATTTGAATGCAAACATCACCAAGAAGTTTCTGAGAATGCTTCTGTTTAGTTTTTATGTGAAGATATTCCCGTTTCCAAAGACATCTTCGGAGAGGTCCACATATCCACTTGCAGATTCCACAAAAAGAGAGTTTCAACACTGCTCTATCCATAGGAGGGTTCAACTCTGTGAGTTGAATGCAATCATCACAGAGAAGTTTCTGAGAAGGCTTCTCTCCAGTTTTTATGTGACCATAATTCGTTTTCCACCACAGGCCTGAAAGCGCTCCAAATGTCCACTTGCAGACACTACGAAAAGCATGTTTCAGAACTACTCTATGAAAAGCAACGTGAAACTCTGGGGAGTTGAACACAAACATCACAGAGAAGTTTCTGAGAATGCTTCTGTTTTAGTTCTGTGCGTTTTATCCCGTTTCCAACGAAATCCTCAGAGAGGCCCAAATATCCACTTGCAGATTCCACAGAAAGAGTGATTGGAAACTGCTGTTTGAAAAGGAACCTTCAACTCTGTGAGTTGAATGCAATCATCACAAAGAAGTTTCTGACAATGCTTCTGTTTAGTTCTGTGCGGTTTATACCGTTTCCAACGAAATCCTCAGAGAGGACCAAATATCCACTTGCAGTTTCTACAAAAAGAGTGTTTCAAAGCTGAACTATCAAAGAAAGGTTCAGCACCGTGAGTTGAATGCAAACATCACGAAGAGGGTTCTGAGAATGCTTCTGTCTTCTTTTTATAGGAAGTTATCTCCTTTACTACGGTAGGCCTCAAAGAAGTGCAATGATCCCCTTGCAGTCTCTACAAAAAGAGTGTTTCAAACCTGAACTATCAAAGAAAGGTTCCACACTGTGAGTTGAATGCAGACATCACGAAGAAGGTTCTGAGAATGCTTCTGTTTAGTCAGCTGAAATTATCCCGTTTCCAACGAATTCCTCAGAGAGGTCCAAATATGCACTTGCAGATTCTGCAGAAAGTGTGTTTCTAAACTGCTCCATCGCAAGGAATGTTCAGCTCTGTGAGTTCCACTCAATCATCCCAAAGAATTTTGCTGAGAAAGCTTCTGTCTAGATGTCGTGTGAAGATATACCCGTTTCGAACGAAGGACACAGAGTGGTCCAAATATCCACTTGTAGATCCTGCAAAAAGAGTGTTTCAAACGTGAACTTTGAAAGGAAAGTTCAACTCTGGGATTTGAATGCAAACATCACAAAGAAGATTCTGAGACTGCTTCTGTATAGTTTTTATGTGAAGATGATTCCGTTTCCAACGAAATCTTCAAAGAGGTCTACATGTCCCCTTGCAGATGCCACAGAAAGAGAGTTTCAAAACTGCGCTCTCAAAAGGAGTGTTCAACTCCGTGAGTTGAATGCAGTCATCACAGAGAAGCTTCTGAGAATGCTTCTATCTAGTATTTAGGTGAAGATATTTCCTTTTCCACCACAAACCACAAAGCCCTCCAAACGTCCACTTGCAGATTCTAGAAAAAGAGTGTTTCATAGCTGCTCTTTCCAAAGGAAAGTTCAACTCTGGGAGTTGAATACAAACATCACCAAAAAGTTCCTGAGAATGCATCTGTCTAGTTTTTCTATGAAGCTATTCCCTTTACTACCATAGGCCCCAAAGCGCTCCAAATCTCCACTTGCACATTCCACAAGAAGAGTGTTTCCAAACTGCTCTATCAATACGAATGTTCAACTCTGTGAGGTGAATGCAATCATCACAAAGCAGTTTCTGAGAATGCTTCCGTTTAGTTAGGTGCAGTTATCCCGTTTCCAACGAAATCCTCAGAGAGGTCCAAATATCCACTTGTAGATTCTACAAAAAGTGTGTCTCAAACCTGCTCCATCCAAAGGAATGGTCAGCTCTGTGATTTAAACTCAATCATCACAAAGTATTTTCTGAGAATGCTTCTGTCTAGATTTTATGCGAAGATATACCCGTTTCGAACGAAGGCCACAGAGTGGTCCAAATAGCCACTTGCAGATCCTACAGAAACAGTGTTTCAAACCTGAACTATCAAAGGAAGGTTCAACTCTGGGATTTGAATGCAAACATCACCAAGAAGTTTCTGAGAATGCTTCTGTTTAGTTTTTATGTGAAGATATTCCCGTTTCCAAAGACATCTTCGGAGAGGTCCACATATCCACTTGCAGATTCCACAAAAAGAGAGTTTCAACACTGCTCTATCCATAGGAGGGTTCAACTCTGTGAGTTGAATGCAATCATCACAGAGAAGTTTCTGAGAAGGCTTCTCTCCAGTTTTTATGTGACCATAATTCGTTTTCCACCACAGGCCTGAAAGCGCTCCAAATGTCCACTTGCAGACACTACGAAAAGCATGTTTCAGAACTACTCTATGAAAAGCAACGTGAAACTCTGGGAGTTGAACACAAACATCACAGAGAAGTTTCTGAGAATGCTTCTGTTTTAGTTCTGTGCGTTTTATCCCGTTTCCAACGAAATCCTCAGAGAGGCCCAAATATCCACTTGCAGATTCCACAGAAAGAGTGATTGGAAACTGCTGTTTGAAAAGGAACCTTCAACTCTGTGAGTTGAATGCAATCATCACAAAGAAGTTTCTGACAATGCTTCTGTTTTAGTTCTGTGCGGTTTATCCCGTTTCCAACGAAATCCTCAGAGAGGACCAAACATCCACTTGCAGTTTCTACAAAAAGAGTGTTTCAAAGCTGCACTATCAAAGAAAGGTTCAGCACTGTGAGTTGAATGCAAACATCACGAAGAGGGCTCTGAGAATTCTTCTGTTTAGTTCTGTGCGGTTTATCCCGTTTCCAACGAAATCCTCAGAGAGGACCAAATATCCACTTGCAGTTTCTACAAGAAGAGTGTTTCAAAGCTGAACTATCAAAGAAAGGTTCAGCACTGTGAGTTGAATGCAAACATCACGAAGAGGGTTCTGAGAATGCTTCTGTCTTCTTTCTATAGGAAGTTATTTCCTTTACTACGGTAGGCCTCAAAGAAGTGCAATTATCCCCTTGCAGTTTCTACAAAAAGAGTGTTTCAAACCTGAACTATCAAAGAAAGGTTCCACACTGTGAGTTGAATGCAGACATCACGAAGAAGGTTCTGAGAATGCTTCTGTTTAGTCAGCTGAAATTATCCCGTTTCCAACGAATTCCTCAGAGAGGTCCAAATATGCACTTGCAGATTCTGCAGAAAGTGTGTTTCTAAACTGCTACATCGCAAGGAATGTTCAGCTCTGTGAGTTCCACTCAATCATCCCAAAGAATTTTCTGAGAAAGCTTCTGTCTAGATGTCGTGTGAAGATATACCCGTTTCGAACGAAGGACACAGAGTGGTCCAAATATCCACTTGTAGATCCTGCAAAAAGAGTGTTTCAAACGTGAACTTTGAAAGGAAAGTTCAACTCTGGGATTTGAATGCAAACATCACAAAGAAGATTCTGAGACTGCTTCTGTATAGTTTTTATGTGAAGATGATTCCGTTTCCAACGAAATCTTCAAAGAGGTCTACATGTCCCCTTGCAGATGCCACAGAAAGAGAGTTTCAAAACTGCGCTCTCAAAAGGAGTGTTCAACTCCGTGAGTTGAATGCAGTCATCACAGAGAAGCTTCTGAGAATGCTTCTATCTAGTATTTAGGTGAAGATATTTCCTTTTCCACCACAAACCACAAAGCCCTCCAAACGTCCACTTGCAGATTCTAGAAAAAGAGTGTTTCATAGCTGCTCTTTCCAAAGGAAAGTTCAACTCTGGGAGTTGAATACAAACATCACCAAAAGGTTCCTGAGAATGCATCTGTCTAGTTTTTCTATGAAGCTATTCCCTTTACTACCATAGGCCTCAAAGCGCTCCAAATCTCCACTTGCACATTCCACAACAAGAGTGTTTCCAAACTGCTCTATCAATAGGAATGTTCAACTCTGTGAGGTGAATGCAATCATCACAAAGCAGTTTCTGAGAATGCTTCCGTTTAGTTAGGTGCAGTTATCCCGTTTCCAACGAAATCCTCAGAGAGGTCCAAATATCCACTTGTAGATTCTACAAAAAGTGTGTCTCAAACCTGCTCCATCCAAAGGAATGGTCAGCTCTGTGATTTAAACTCAATCATCACAAAGTATTTTCTGAGAATGCTTCTGTCTAGATTTTATGCGAAGATATACCCGTTTCGAACGAAGGCCACAGAGTGGTCCAAATAGCCACTTGCAGATCCTACAGAAAGAGTGTTTCAAACCTGAACTATCAAAGGAAGGTTCAACTCTGGGATTTGAATGCAAACATCACCAAGAAGTTTCTGAGAATGCTTCTGTTTAGTTTTTATGTGAAGATATTCCCGTTTCCAAAGACATCTTCGGAGAGGTCCACATATCCACTTGCAGATTCCACAAAAAGAGAGTTTCAACACTGCTCTATCCATAGGAGGGTTCAACTCTGTGAGTTGAATGCAATCATCACAGAGAAGTTTCTGAGAAGGCTTCTCTCCAGTTTTTATGTGACCATAATTCGTTTTCCACCACAGGCCTGAAAGCGCTCCAAATGTCCACTTGCAGACACTACGAAAAGCATGTTTCAGAACTACTCTATGAAAAGCAACGTGAAACTCTGGGAGTTGAACACAAACATCACAGAGAAGTTTTCTGAGAATGCTTCTGTTTTAGTTCTGTGCGTTTTATCCCGTTTCCAACGAAATCCTCAGAGAGGCCCAAATATCCACTTGCAGATTCCACAGAAAGAGTGATTGGAAACTGCTGTTTGAAAAGGAACCTTCAACTCTGTGAGTTGAATGCAATCATCACAAAGAAGTTTCTGACAATGCTTCTGTTTTAGTTCTGTGCGGTTTATCCCGTTTCCAACGAAATCCTCAGAGAGGACCAAACATCCACTTGCAGTTTCTACAAAAAGAGTGTTTCAAAGCTGCACTATCAAAGAAAGGTTCAGCACTGTGAGTTGAATGCAAACATCACGAAGAGGGCTCTGAGAATTCTTCTGTTTAGTTCTGTGCGGTTTATCCCGTTTCCAACGAAATCCTCAGAGAGGACCAAATATCCACTTGCAGTTTCTACAAGAAGAGTGTTTCAAAGCTGAACTATCAAAGAAAGGTTCAGCACTGTGAGTTGAATGCAAACATCACGAAGAGGGTTCTGAGAATGCTTCTGTCTTCTTTCTATAGGAAGTTATTTCCTTTACTACGGTAGGCCTCAAAGAAGTGCAATTATCCCCTTGCAGTTTCTACAAAAAGAGTGTTTCAAACCTGAACTATCAAAGAAAGGTTCCACACTGTGAGTTGAATGCAGACATCACGAAGAAGGTTCTGAGAATGCTTCTGTTTAGTCAGCTGAAATTATCCCGTTTCCAACGAATTCCTCAGAGAGGTCCAAATATGCACTTGCAGATTCTGCAGAAAGTGTGTTTCTAAACTGCTACATCGCAAGGAATGTTCAGCTCTGTGAGTTCCACTCAATCATCCCAAAGAATTTTCTGAGAAAGCTTCTGTCTAGATGTCGTGTGAAGATATACCCGTTTCGAAAGAAGGACACAGAGTGGTCCAAATATCCACTTGTAGATCCTGCAAAAAGAGTGTTTCAAACGTGAACTTTGAAAGGAAAGTTCAACTCTGGGATTTGAATGCAAACATCACAAAGAAGATTCTGAGACTGCTTCTGTACAGTTTTTATGTGAAGATGATTCCGTTTCCAACGAAATCTTCAAAGAGGTCCACATGTCCCCTTGCGGATGCCACAGAAAGAGAGTTTCAAAACTGCGCTCTCAAAAGGAGTGTTCAACTCCGTGAGTTGAATGCAGTCATCACAGAGAAGCTTCTGAGAATGCTTCTATCTAGTATTTAGGTGAAGATATTTCCTTTTCCACCACAAACCACAAAGCCCTCCAAACGTCCACTTGCAGATTCTAGAAAAAGAGTGTTTCATAGCTGCTCTTTCCAAAGGAAAGTTCAACTCTGGGAGTTGAATACAAACATCACCAAAAAGTTCCTGAGAATGCATCTGTCTAGTTTTTCTATGAAGCTATTCCCTTTACTACCACAGGCCTCAAAGCGCTCCAAATCTCCACTTGCACATTCCACAACAAGAGTGTTTCCAAACTGCTCTATCAATAGGAATGTTCAACTCTGTGAGGTGAATGCAATCATCACAAAGCAGTTTCTGAGAATGCTTCCGTTTAGTTAGGTGCAGTTATCCCGTTTCCAACGAAATCCTCAGAGAGGTCCAAATATCCACTTGTAGATTCTACAAAAAGTGTGTCTCAAACCTGCTCCATCCAAAGGAATGGTCAGCTCTGTGATTTAAACTCAATCATCACAAAGTATTTTCTGAGAATGCTTCTGTCTAGATTTTATGCGAAGATATACCCGTTTCGAACGAAGGCCACAGAGTGGTCCAAATAGCCACTTGCAGATCCTACAGAAAGAGTGTTTCAAACCTGAACTATCAAAGGAAGGTTCAACTCTGGGATTTGAATGCAAACATCACCAAGAAGTTTCTGAGAATGCTTCTGTTTAGTTTTTATGTGAAGATATTCCCGTTTCCAAAGACATCTTCGGAGAGGTCCACATATCCACTTGCAGATTCCACAAAAAGAGAGTTTCAACACTGCTCTATCCATAGGAGGGTTCAACTCTGTGAGTTGAATGCAATCATCACAGAGAAGTTTCTGAGAAGGCTTCTCTCCAGTTTTTATGTGACCATAATTCGTTTTCCACCACAGGCCTGAAAGCGCTCCAAATGTCCACTTGCAGACACTACGAAAAGCATGTTTCAGAACTACTCTATGAAAAGCAACGTGAAACTCTGGGAGTTGAACACAAACATCACAGAGAAGTTTCTGAGAATGCTTCTGTTTTAGTTCTGTGCGTTTTATCCCGTTTCCAACGAAATCCTCAGAGAGGCCCAAATATCCACTTGCAGATTCCACAGAAAGAGTGATTGGAAACTGCTGTTTGAAAAGGAACCTTCAACTCTGTGAGTTGAATGCAATCATCACAAAGAAGTTTCTGACAATGCTTCTGTTTTAGTTCTGTGCGGTTTATCCCGTTTCCAACGAAATCCTCAGAGAGGACCAAACATCCACTTGCAGTTTCTACAAAAAGAGTGTTTCAAAGCTGCACTATCAAAGAAAGGTTCAGCACTGTGAGTTGAATGCAAACATCACGAAGAGGGCTCTGAGAATTCTTCTGTTTAGTTCTGTGCGGTTTATCCCGTTTCCAACGAAATCCTCAGAGAGGACCAAATATCCACTTGCAGTTTCTACAAGAAGAGTGTTTCAAAGCTGAACTATCAAAGAAAGGTTCAGCACTGTGAGTTGAATGCAAACATCACGAAGAGGGTTCTGAGAATGCTTCTGTCTTCTTTCTATAGGAAGTTATTTCCTTTACTACGGTAGGCCTCAAAGAAGTGCAATTATCCCCTTGCAGTTTCTACAAAAAGAGTGTTTCAAACCTGAACTATCAAAGAAAGGTTCCACACTGTGAGTTGAATGCAGACATCACGAAGAAGGTTCTGAGAATGCTTCTGTTTAGTCAGCTGTAATTATCCCGTTTCCAAAGAATTCCTCAGAGAGGTCCAAATATGCACTTGCAGATTCTGCAGAAAGTGTGTTTCTAAACTGCTACATCGCAAGGAATGTTCAGCTCTGTGAGTTCCACTCAATCATCCCAAAGAATTTTCTGAGAAAGCTTCTGTGTAGATGTCATGTGAAGATATACCCGTTTCGAACGAAGGACACAGAGTGGTCCAAATATCCACTTGTAGATCCTGCAAAAAGAGTGTTTCAAACGTGAACTTTGAAAGGAAAGTTCAACTCTGGGATTTGAATGCAAACATCACAAAGAAGATTCTGAGACTGCTTCTGTATAGTTTTGATGTGAAGATGATTCCGTTTCCAACGAAATCTTCAAAGAGGTCCACATGTCCCCTTGCGGATGCCACAGAAAGAGAGTTTCAAAACTGCGCTCTCAAAAGGAGTGTTCAACTCCATGAGTTGAATGCAGTCATCACAGAGAAGCTTCTGAGAATGCTTCTATCTAGTATTTAGGTGAAGATATTTCCTTTCCACCACAAACCACAAAGCCCTCCAAACGTCCACTTGCAGATTCTAGAAAAAGAGTGTTTCATAGCTGCTCTTTCCAAAGGAAAGTTCAACTCTGGGAGTTGAATACAAACATCACCAAAAAGTTCCTGAGAATGCATCTGTCTAGTTTTTCTATGAAGCTATTCCCTTTACTACCATAAGCCTCAAAGCGCTCCAAATCTCCACTTGCACATTCCACAACAAGAGTGTTTCCAAACTGCTCTATCAATAGGAATGTTCAACCCTGTGAGGTGAATGCAATCATCACAAAGCAGTTTCTGAGAATGCTTCCGTTTAGTTAGGTGCAGTTATCCCGTTTCCAACGAAATCCTCAGAGAGGTCCAAATATCCACTTGTAGATTCTACAAAAAGTGTGTCTCAAACCTGCTCCATCCAAAGGAATGTTCAGCTCTGTGAGTTCAACTCAATCATCACAAAGTATTTTCTGAGAATGCTTCTGTCTAGATTTTATGCGAAGATGTACCCGTTTCGAACGAAGGCCACAGAGTGGTCCAAATATCCACTTGCAGATCCTACAAAAAGAGTGTTTCAAACCTGAACTCTCAAAGGAAGTTTCAACTCTGGGATTTGAATGCAAACATCACCAAGAAGTTTCTGAGAATGCTTCTGTTTAGTTTTTATGTGAAGATATTCCCGTTTCCAAAGACATCTTCGGAGAGGTCCACATATCCGCTTGCAGATTCCACAAAAAGAGAGTTTCAACACTGCTCTATCCATAGGAGGGTTCAACTCTGTGAATCGAATGCAATCATCACAGAGAAGTTTCTGAGAAGGCTTCTCTCCAGTTTTTATGTGACCATAATTCGTTTTCCACCACAGGCCTGAAAGCGCTCCAAATGTCCACTTGCAGACACTACGAAAAGCATGTTTCAGAACTACTCTATGAGAAGCAATGTGAAACTCTGGGAGTTGAACACAAACATCACAGAGAAGTTTCTGAGAATGCTTCTGTTTAGATTTTCTGTGAAGATTCTCCCGTTTCCAACGAAATCTTCAAAGAGGTCCAAATATCCACTTGCAGATTCCACAGAAAGAGTGATTGGAAACTGCTCTTTGAAAAGGAATCTTCAACTCTGTGACTTGAATGCAATCATCACAAAGAAGTTTCTGACAATGCTTCTATCTAGCTTTTACGGGAAGATAATTCCTTTTCCACCACAGGCCTCAAAGCCCTCCAAATGTCCACTTGCAGATTCTGGAAAAAGAGTGTTTCAAAGCTTCTCTCTCGAAAGGAAAGTTCAACTCTGTGAGTTGAATGCAAGCATCACAAAGAAGTTTCTGAGAATGCTACTGTCTAGCTTTTATATGAAGCTATTTCCTTTACTACCATAGGCCTCAAAGCGGTCCATATCTCCACTTGCAGATTCTACACAAAGAGAGTTTCCAAACTGCTCTGTCAAAGGGAATGTTCAACTCTGTGACTTGAATGCAATCACCACAAAGTAGTTTCTGAGAATGCTTCTGTTTAGTTCTGTGCGGTTTATCCCGTTTCCAACGAAATCCTCAGAGAGGCCCAAATATCCACTTGCACATTCTACAAATAGTGTGTTTCGAAACTGCTCCATCCAAAGGAATGTTCAGCTCTGTGAGTTAAACTCAGTCGTCACCAAGAGTTTTCTGTGAATGCTTCTGTTTTAGTTCTGTGCGGGTTATCCCGTTTCCAACGAAATCCTCAGAGAGGTCCAAATATCTACTTGCAGTTTCTACAGAAAGACCGTTTCAAACCTGAACTATCAAAGAAAGGTTCAACACTGTGAGTTGAATGCAAACATCACGAAGAAGGTTCTGAGAATGCTTCTGTTTAGTTCTGTGCGGTTTATCCCGTTTCCAACGAAATCCTCAGAGAGGACCAAATATCCAGTTGCAGTTTCTACAAAAAGAGTGTTTCAAAGCTGAACTATCAAAGAAAGGTTCAGCACTGTGTGTTGAATGCAAACATCACGAAGAGGGTTCTGAGAATGCTTCTGTCTTCTTTCTATAGGAAGTTATTTCCTTTACTACGGTAGGCCTCAAAGAAGTGCAATTATCCCCTTGCAGTTTCTACAAAAAGAGTGTTTCAAACCTGAACTATCAAAGAAAGGTTCCACACTGTGAGTTGAATGCAGACATCACGAAGAAGGTTCTGAGAATGCTTCTGTTTAGTCAGCTGAAATTATCCCGTTTCCAACGAATTCCTCGGAGAGGTCCAAATATGCACTTGCAGATTCTGCAGAAAGTGTGTTTCTAAACTGCTACATCGCAAGGAATGTTCAGCTCTGTGAGTTCCACTCAATCATCCCAAAGAATTTTCTGAGAAAGCTTCTGTCTAGATGCCATGTGAAGATATACCCGTTTCGAACGAAGGACACAGAGTGGTCCAAATATCCACTTGTAGATCCTGCAAAAAGAGTGTTTCAAACGTGAACTTTGAAAGGAAAGTTCAACTCTGGGATTTGAATGCAAACATCACAAAGAAGATTCTGAGACTGCTTCTGTATAGTTTTTATGCGAAGATGATTCCGTTTCCAACGAAATCTTCAAAGAGGTCTACATGTCCCCTTGCAGATGCCACAGAAAGAGAGTTTCAAAACTGCGCTCTCAAAAGGAGTGTTCAACTCCGTGAGTTGAATGCAGTCATCACAGAGAAGCTTCTGAGAATGCTTCTATCTAGTATTTAGGTGAAGATATTTCCTTTTCCACCACAAACCACAAAGCCCTCCAAACGTCCACTTGCAGATTCTAGAAAAAGAGTGTTTCATAGCTGCTCTTTCCAAAGGAAAGTTCAACTCTGGGAGTTGAATACAAACATCACCAAAAAGTTCCTGAGAATGCATCTGTCAATTTTTTCTATGAAGCTATTCCCTTTACTACCATAGGCCTCAAAGCGCTCCAAATCTCCACTTGCACATTCCACAACAAGAGTGTTCCCAAACTGCTCTATCAATAGGAATGTTCAACTCTGTGAGGTGAATGCAATCATCACAAAGCAGTTTCTGAGAATGCTTCCGTTTAGTTAGGTGCAGTTATCCCGTTTCCAACGAAATCCTCAGAGAGGTCCAAATATCCACTTGTAGATTCTACAAAAAGTGTGTCTCAAACCTGCTCCATCCAAAGGAATGGTCAGCTCTGTGATTTAAACTCAATCATCACAAAGTATTTTCTGAGAATGCTTCTGTCTAGATTTTATGCGAAGATATACCCGTTTCGAACGAAGGCCACAGAGTGGTCCAAATAGCCACTTGCAGATCCTACAAAAAGAGTGTTTCAAACCTGAACTATCAAAGGAAGGTTCAACTCTGGGATTTGAATGCAAACATCACCAAGAAGTTTCTGAGAATGCTTCTGTTTAGTTTTTATGTGAAGATATTCCCGTTTCCAAAGACATCTTCGGAGAGGTCCACATATCCACTTGCAGATTCCACAAAAAGAGAGTTTCAACACTGCTCTATCCATAGGAGGGTTCAACTCTGTGAGTTGAATGCAATCATCACAGAGAAGTTTCTGAGAAGGCTTCTCTCCAGTTTTTATGTGACCATAATTCGTTTTCCACCACAGGCCTGAAAGCGCTCCAAATGTCCACTTGCAGACCCTACGAAAAGCATGTTTCAGAACTACTCTATGAAAAGCAATGTGAAACTCTGGGAGTTGAACACAAACATCACAGAGAAGTTTCTGAGAATGCTTCTGTTTTAGTTCTGTGCGTTTTATCCCGTTTCCAACGAAATCCTCAGAGAGGCCCAAATATCCACTTGCAGATTCCACAGAAAGAGTGATTGGAAACTGCTGTTTGAAAAGGAACCTTCAACTCTGTGAGTTGAATGCAATCATCACAAAGAAGTTTCCTGACAATGCTTCTGTTTTAGTTCTGTGCGGTTTATCCCGTTTCCAACGAAATCCTCAGAGAGGACCAAACATCCACTTGCAGTTTCTACAAAAAGAGTGTTTCAAAGCTGCACTATCAAAGAAAGGTTCAGCACTGTGAGTTGAATGCAAACATCACGAAGAGGGCTCTGAGAATTCTTCTGTTTAGTTCTGTGCGGTTTATCCCGTTTCCAACGAAATCCTCAGAGAGGACCAAATATCCACTTGCAGTTTCTACAAGAAGAGTGTTTCAAAGCTGAACTATCAAAGAAAGGTTCAGCACTGTGAGTTGAATGCAAACATCACGAAGAGGGTTCTGAGAATGCTTCTGTCTTCTTTCTATAGGAAGTTATTTCCTTTACTACGGTAGGCCTCAAAGAAGTGCAATTATCCCCTTGCAGTTTCTACAAAAAGAGTGTTTCAAACCTGAACTATCAAAGAAAGGTTCCACACTGTGAGTTGAATGCAGACATCACGAAGAAGGGTGTCTGAGAATGCTTCTGTTTAGTCAGCTGAAATTATCCCGTTTCCAACGAATTCCTCAGAGAGGTCCAAATATGCACTTGCAGATTCTGCAGAAAGTGTGTTTCTAAACTGCTACATCGCAAGGAATGTTCAGCTCTGTGAGTTCCACTCAATCATCCCAAAGAATTTTCTGAGAAAGCTTCTGTCTAGATGTCATGTGAAGATATACCCGTTTCGAACGAAGGACACAGAGTGGTCCAAATATCCACTTGTAGATCCTGCAAAAAGAGTGTTTCAAACGTGAACTTTGAAAGGAAAGTTCAACTCTGGGATTTGAATGCAAACATCACAAAGAAGATTCTGAGACTGCTTCTGTATAGTTTTTATGTGAAGATGATTCCGTTTCCAACGAAATCTTCAAAGAGGTCTACATGTCCCCTTGCAGATGCCACAGAAAGAGAGTTTCAAAACTGCGCTCTCAAAAGGAGTGTTCAACTCCGTGAGTTGAATGCAGTCATCACAGAGAAGCTTCTGAGAATGCTTCTATCTAGTATTTAGGTGAAGATATTTCCTTTTCCACCACAAACCACAAAGCCCTCCAAACGTCCACTTGCAGATTCTAGAAAAAGAGTGTTTCATAGCTGCTCTTTCCAAAGGAAAGTTCAACTCTGGGAGTTGAATACAAACATCACCAAAAAGTTCCTGAGAATGCATCTGTCTAGTTTCTCTATGAAGCTATTCCCTTTACTACCATAGGCCTCAAAGCGCTCCAAATCTCCACTTGCACATTCCACAACAAGAGTGTTTCCAAACTGCTCTATCAATAGTAATGTTCAACTCTGTGAGGTGAATGCAATCATCACAAAGCAGTTTCTGAGAATGCTTCCGTTTAGTTAGGTGCAGTTATCCCGTTTCCAACGAAATCCTCAGAGAGGTCGAAATATCCACTTGTAGATTCTACAAAAAGTGTGTCTCAAACCTGCTCCATCCAAAGGACTGTTCAGCTCTGTGATTTAAACTCAATCATCACAAAGTATTTTCTGAGAATGCTTCTGTCTAGATTTTATGCGAAGATATACCCGTTTCGAACGAAGGCCACAGAGTGGTCCAAATAGCCACTTGCAGATCCTACAGAAAGAGTGTTTCAAACCTGAACTATCAAAGGAAGGTTCAACTCTGGGATTTGAATGCAAACATCACCAAGAAGTTTCTGAGAATGCTTCTGTTTAGTTTTTATGTGAAGATATTCCCGTTTCCAAAGACATCTTCGGAGAGGTCCACATATCCACTTGCAGATTCCACAAAAAGAGAGTTTCAACACTGCTCTATCCATAGGAGGGTTCAACTCTGTGAGTTGAATGCAATCATCACAGAGAAGTTTCTGAGAAGGCTTCTCTCCAGTTTTTATGTGACCATAATTCGTTTTCCACCACAGGCCTGAAAGCGCTCCAAATGTCCACTTGCAGACACTACGAAAAGCATGTTTCAGAACTACTCTATGAAAAGCAACGTGAAACTCTGGGAGTTGAACACAAACATCACAGAGAAGTTTCTGAGAATGCTTCTGTTTTAGTTCTGTGCGTTTTATCCCGTTTCCAACGAAATCCTCAGAGAGGCCCAAATATCCACTTGCAGATTCCACAGAAAGAGTGATTGGAAACTGCTGTTTGAAAAGGAACCTTCAACTCTGTGAGTTGAATGCAATCATCACAAAGAAGTTTCTGACAATGCTTCTGTTTTAGTTCTGTGCGGTTTATCCCGTTTCCAACGAAATCCTCAGAGAGGACCAAACATCCACTTGCAGTTTCTACAAAAAGAGTGTTTCAAAGCTGCACTATCAAAGAAAGGTTCAGCACTGTGAGTTGAATGCAAACATCACGAAGAGGGCTCTGAGAATTCTTCTGTTTAGTTCTGTGCGGTTTATCCCGTTTCCAACGAAATCCTCAGAGAGGACCAAATATCCACTTGCAGTTTCTACAAGAAGAGTGTTTCAAAGCTGAACTATCAAAGAAAGGTTCAGCACTGTGAGTTGAATGCAAACATCACGAAGAGGGTTCTGAGAATGCTTCTGTCTTCTTTCTATAGGAAGTTATTTCCTTTACTACGGTAGGCCTCAAAGAAGTGCAATTATCCCCTTGCAGTTTCTACAAAAAGAGTGTTTCAAACCTGAACTATCAAAGAAAGGTTCCACACTGTGAGTTGAATGCAGACATCACGAAGAAGGTTCTGAGAATGCTTCTGTTTAGTCAGCTGAAATTATCCCGTTTCCAACGAATTCCTCAGAGAGGTCCAAATATGCACTTGCAGATTCTGCAGAAAGTGTGTTTCTAAACTGCTACATCGCAAGGAATGTTCAGCTCTGTGAGTTCCACTCAATCATCCCAAAGAATTTTCTGAGAAAGCTTCTGTCTAGATGTCCTGTGAAGATATACCCGTTTCGAACGAAGGACACAGAGTGGTCCAAATATCCACTTGTAGATCCTGCAAAAAGAGTGTTTCAAACGTGAACTTTGAAAGGAAAGTTCAACTCTGGGATTTGAATGCAAACATCACAAAGAAGATTCTGAGACTGCTTCTGTATAGTTTTTATGTGAAGATGATTCCGTTTCCAACGAAATCTTCAAAGAGGTCTACATGTCCCCTTGCAGATGCCACAGAAAGAGAGTTTCAAAAGTGCGCTCTCAAAAGGAGTGTTCAACTCCGTGAGTTGAATGCAGTCATCACAGAGAAGCTTCTGAGAATGCTTCTATCTAGTATTTAGGTGAAGATATTTCCTTTTCCACCACAAACCACAAAGCCCTCCAAACGTCCACTTGCAGATTCTAGAAAAAGAGTGTTTCATAGCTGCTCTTTCCAAAGGAAAGTTCAACTCTGGGAGTTGAATACAAACATCACCAAAAAGTTCCCTGAGAATGCATTCTGTCTAGTTTTTCTATGAAGCTATTCCCTTTACTACCACAGGCCTCAAAGCGCTCCAAATCTCCACTTGCACATTCCACAACAAGAGTGTTTCCAAACTGCTCTATCAATAGGAATGTTCAACTCTGTGAGGTGAATGCAATCATCACAAAGCAGTTTCTGAGAATGCTTCCGTTTAGTTAGGTGCAGTTATCCCGTTTCCAACGAAATCCTCAGAGAGGTCCAAATATCCACTTGTAGATTCTACAAAAAGTGTGTCTCAAACCTGCTCCATCCAAAGGAATGGTCAGCTCTGTGATTTAAACTCAATCATCACAAAGTATTTTCTGAGAATGCTTCTGTCTAGATTTTATGCGAAGATATACCCGTTTCGAACGAAGGCCACAGAGTGGTCCAAATAGCCACTTGCAGATCCTACAGAAAGAGTGTTTCAAACCTGAACTATCAAAGGAAGGTTCAACTCTGGGATTTGAATGCAAACATCACCAAGAAGTTTCTGAGAATGCTTCTGTTTAGTTTTTATGTGAAGATATTCCCGTTTCCAAAGACATCTTCGGAGAGGTCCACATATCCACTTGCAGATTCCACAAAAAGAGAGTTTCAACACTGCTCTATCCATAGGAGGGTTCAACTCTGTGAGTTGAATGCAATCATCACAGAGAAGTTTCTGAGAAGGCTTCTCTCCAGTTTTTATGTGACCATAATTCGTTTTCCACCACAGGCCTGAAAGCGCTCCAAATGTCCACTTGCAGACACTACGAAAAGCATGTTTCAGAACTACTCTATGAAAAGCAACGTGAAACTCTGGGAGTTGAACACAAACATCACAGAGAAGTTTCTGAGAATGCTTCTGTTTAGCTTTTCTGTGAAGATTCTCCCGTTTCCAACGAAATCTTCAAAGAGGTCGAAATATCCACTTGCAGGTTCCACAGAAAGAGTGATTGGAAACTGCTGTTTGAAAAGGAACCTTCAACTCTGTGAGTTGAATGCAATCATCACAAAGAAGTTTCTGACAATGCTTCTATCTAGCTTTTACGGGAAGATAATTCCTTTTCCACCACAGGCCTCAAAGCTCCCCAAATGTCCACTTGCACATTCTGGAAAAAGAGTGTTTCAAAGCTTCTCTCTCGAAAGGAAAGTTCAACTCTGTGAGTTGAATGCAAGCATCACAAAGAAGTTTCTGAGAATGCTACTGTCTAGCTTTTATATGAAGCTATTTCCTTTACTACCATAGGCCTCAAAGCGGTCCATATCTCCACTTGCAGATTCTACACAAAGAGAGTTTCCAAACTGCTCTGTCAAAGGGAATGTTCAACTCTGTGACTTGAATGCAATCATCACAAAGTAGTTTCTGAGAATGCTTCTGTTTTAGTTCTGTGCGTTTTATCCCGTTTCCAACGAAATCCTCAGAGAGGCCCAAATATCCACTTGCAGATTCTACAAATAGTGTGTTTCGAAACTGCTCCATCCAAAGGAATGTTCAGCTCTGTGAGTTAAACTCAGTCGTCACCAAGAGTTTTCTGTGAATGCTTCTGTTTTAGTTCTGTGCGGTTTATCCCGTTTCCAACGAAATCCTCAGAGAGGACCAAATATCCACTTGCAGTTTCTACAAAAAGAGTGTTTCAAAGCTGCACTATCAAAGAAAGGTTCAGCACTGTGAGTTGAATGCAAACATCACGAAGAGGGCTCTGAGAATTCTTCTGTTTAGTTCTGTGCGGTTTATCCCGTTTCCAACGAAATCCTCAGAGAGGACCAAATATCCACTTGCAGTTTCTACAAGAAGAGTGTTTCAAAGCTGAACTATCAAAGAAAGGTTCAGCACTGTGAGTTGAATGCAAACATCACGAAGAGGGTTCTGAGAATGCTTCTGTCTTCTTTCTATAGGAAGTTATTTCCTTTACTACGGTAGGCCTCAAAGAAGTGCAATTATCCCCTTGCAGTTTCTACAAAAAGAGTGTTTCAAACCTGAACTATCAAAGAAAGGTTCCACACTGTGAGTTGAATGCAGACATCACGAAGAAGGTTCTGAGAATGCTTCTGTTTAGTCAGCTGAAATTATCCCGTTTCCAACGAATTCCTCAGAGAGGTCCAAATATGCACTTGCAGATTCTGCAGAAAGTGTGTTTCTAAACTGCTACATCGCAAGGAATGTTCAGCTCTGTGAGTTCCACTCAATCATCCCGAAGAATTTTCTGAGAAAGCTTCTGTCTAGATGTCATGTGAAGATATACCCGTTTCGAACGAAGGACACAGAGTGGTCCAAATATCCACTTGTAGATCCTGCAAAAAGAGTGTTTCAAACGTGAACTTTGAAAGGAAAGTTCAACTCTGGGATTTGAATGCAAACATCACAAAGAAGATTCTGAGACTGCTTCTGTATAGTTTTTATGTGAAGATGATTCCGTTTCCAACGAAATCTTCAAAGAGGTCTACATGTCCCCTTGCAGATGCCACAGAAAGAGAGTTTCAAAACTGCGCTCTCAAAAGGAGTGTTCAACTCCGTGAGTTGAATGCAGTCATCACAGAGAAGCTTCTGAGAATGCTTCTATCTAGTATTTAGGTGAAGATATTTCGTTTTCCACCACAAACAACAAAGACCTCCAAACGTCCACGTGCAGATTCTAGAAAAAGAGTGTTTCATAGCTGCTCTTTCCAAAGGAAAGTTCAACTCTGGGAGTTGAATACAATCATCACCAAAAAGTTCCTGAGAATGCATCTGTCTATTTTTTCTATGAAGCTATTCCCTTTACTACCATAGGCCTCAAAGCGCTCCAAATCTCCACTTGCACATTCCACAACAAGAGTGTTTCCAAACTGCTCTATCAATAGGAATGTTCAACTCTGTGAGGTGAATGCAATCATCACAAAGCAGTTTCTGAGAATGCTTCCGTTTAGTTAGGTGCAGTTATCCCGTTTCCAACGAAATCCTCAGAGAGGTCCAAATATCCACTTGTAGATTCTACAAAAAGTGTGTCTCAAACCTGCTCCATCCAAAGGAATGTTCAGCTCTGTGAGTTCAACTCAATCATCACAAAGTATTTTCTGAGAATGCTTCTGTCTAGATTTTATGTGAAGATGTACCCGTTTCGAACGAAGGCCACAGAGTGGTCCAAATATCCACTTGCAGATCCTACAAAAAGAGTGTTTCAAACCTGAACTATCAAAGGAAGGTTCAACTCTGGGATTTGAATGCAAACATCACCAAGAAGTTTCTGAGAATGCTTCTGTTTAGCTTTTATGTGAAGATATTCCCGTTTCCAAAGACATCTTCGGAGAGGTCCACATATCCACTTGCAGATTCCACAAAAAGAGAGTTTCAACACTGCTCTATCCATAGGAGGGTTCAACTCTGTGAGTTGAATGCAATCATCACAGAGAAGTTTCTGAGAAGGCTTCTCTCCAGTTTTTATGTGACCATAATTCGTTTTCCACCACAGGCCTGAAAGCGCTCCAAATGTCCACTTGCAGACACTACGAAAAGCATGTTTCAGAACTACTCTATGAAAAGCAATGTGAAACTCTGGGAGTTGAACACAAACATCACAGAGAAGTTTCTGAGAATGCTTCTGTTTAACTTTTCTGTGAAGATTCTCCCGTTTCCAACGAAATCTTCAAAGAGGTCCAAATATCCACTTGCAGATTCCACAGAAAGAGTGATTGGAAACTGCTGTTTGAAAAGGAACCTTCAACTCTGTGAGTTGAATGCAATCATCACAAAGAAGTTTCTGACAATGCTTCTATCTAGCTTTTACAGGAAGATAATTCCTTTTCCACCACAGGCCTCAAAGCCCTCCAAATGTCCACTTGCAGATTCTGGAAAAAGAGTGTTTCAAAGCTTCTCTCTCGAAAGGAAAGTTCAACTCTGTGAGTTGAATGCAAGTATCACAAAGAAGTTTCTGAAAATGCTACTGTCTAGCTTTTATATGAAGCTATTTCCTTTACTACCATAGGCCTCAAAGCGGTCCATATCTCCACTTGCAGATTCTACACAAAGAGAGTTTCCAAACTGCTCTGTCAAAGGGAATGTTCAACTCTGTGACTTGAATGCAATCATCACAAAGTAGTTTCTGAGAATGCTTCTGTTTATTTCTGTGCCGTTTATCCCGTTTCCAACGAAATCCTCAGAGAGGCCCAAATATCCACTTGCACATTCTACAAATAGTGTGTTTCGAAACTGCTCCCTCCAAAGGAATGTTCAGCTCTGTGAGTTAAACTCAGTCGTCACCAAGAGTTTTCTGTGAATGCTTCTATTTAGTTCTGTGCGGTTTATCCCGTTTCCAACGAAATCCTCAGAGAGCACCAAATATCCACTTGCAGTTTCTACAAAAAGAGTGTTTCAAAGCTGATCTATCAAAGAAAGGTTCAGCACTGAGAGTTGAATGCAAACATCACGAAGAAGGATTTGAGAATTCTTCTGTTTAGTTCTGTGCGGTTTATCCCGTTTCCAACGAAATCCTCAGAGAGGACCAAATATCCACTTGCAGTTTCTACAAAAAGAGTGTTTCAAAGCTGAACTATCAAAGAAAGGTTCAGCACCGTGAGTTGAATGCAAACATCACGAAGAGGGTTCTGCGAATGCTTCTGTCTTCTTTTTATAGGAAGTTATTTCCTTTACTACGGTAGGCCTCAAAGAAGTGCAATTATCCCCTTGCAGTTTCTACAAAAAGAGTGTTTCAAACCTGAACTATCAAAGAAAGGTTCCACACTGTGAGTTGAATGCAGACATCACGAAGAAGGTTCTGAGAATGCTTCTGTTTAGTCAGCTGAAATTATCCCGTTTCCAACGAATTCCTCAGAGAGGTCCAAATATGCACTTGCAGATTCTGCAGAAAGTGTGTTTCTGAACTGCTACATCGCAAGGAATGTTCAGCTCTGTGAGTTCAACTCAATCATCCCAAAGAATTTTCTGAGAAAGCTTCTGTCTAGATGTCATGTGAAGATATACCCGTTTCGAACGAAGGACACAGAGTGGTCCAAATATCCACTTGTAGATCCTGCAAAAAGAGTGTTTCAAACGTGAACTTTGAAAGGAAAGTTCAACTCTGGGATTTGAATGCAAACACCACAAAGAAGATTCTGAGACTGCTTCTGTATAGTTTTTATGTGAAGATGATTCCGTTTCCAACGAAATCTTCAAAGAGGTCTACATGTCCCCTTGCAGATGCCACAGAAAGAGAGTTTCAAAACTGCGCTCTCAAAAGGAGTGTTCAACTCCGTGAGTTGAATGCAGTCATCACAGAGAAGCTTCTGAGAATGCTTCTATCTAGTATTTAGGTGAAGATATTTCCTTTTCCACCACAAACCACAAAGCCCTCCAAACGTCCACTTGCAGATTCTAGAAAAAGAGTGTTTCATAGCTGCTCTTTCCAAAGGAAAGTTCAACTCTGGGAGTTGAATACAAACATCACCAAAAAGTTCCTGAGAATGCATCTGTCTAGTTTTTCTATGAAGCTATTCCCTTTACTACCATAGGCCTCAAAGCGCTCCAAATCTCCACTTGCACATTCCACAACAAGAGTGTTTCCAAACTGCTCTATCAATAGGAATGTTCAACTCTGTGAGGTGAATGCAATCATCACAAAGCAGTTTCTGAGAATGCTTCCGTTTAGTTAGGTGCAGTTATCCCGTTTCCAACGAAATCCTCAGAGAGGTCCAAATATCCACTTGTAGATTCTACAAAAAGTGTGTCTCAAACCTGCTCCATCCAAAGGAATGGTCAGCTCTGTGATTTAAACTCAATCATCACAAAGTATTTTCTGAGAATGCTTCTGTCTAGATTTTATGCGAAGATATACCCGTTTCGAACGAAGGCCACAGAGTGGTCCAAATAGCCACTTGCAGATCCTACAGAAAGAGTGTTTCAAACCTGAACTATCAAAGGAAGGTTCAACTCTGGGATTTGAATGCAAACATCACCAAGAAGTTTCTGAGAATGCTTCTGTTTAGTTTTTATGTGAAGATATTCCCGTTTCCAAAGACATCTTCGGAGAGGTCCACATATCCACTTGCAGATTCCACAAAAAGAGAGTTTCAACACTGCTCTATCCATAGGAGGGTTCAACTCTGTGAGTTGAATGCAATCATCACAGAGAAGTTTCTGAGAAGGCTTCTCTCCAGTTTTTATGTGACCATAATTCGTTTTCCACCACAGGCCTGAAAGCGCTCCAAATGTCCACTTGCAGACACTACGAAAAGCATGTTTCAGAACTACTCTATGAAAAGCAACGTGAAACTCTGGGAGTTGAACACAAACATCACAGAGAAGTTTCTGAGAATGCTTCTGTTTAGCTTTTCTGTGAAGATTCTCCCGTTTCCAACGAAATCTTCAAAGAGGTCCAAATATCCACTTGCAGATTCCACAGAAAGAGTGATTGAAACTGCTCTTTGAAAAGGAACCTTCAACTCTGTGACTTGAATGCAATCATCACAAAGAAGTTTCTGACAATGCTTCTATCTAGCTTTTACGGGAAGATAATTCCTTTTCCACCACAGGCCTCAAAGCCCTCCAAATGTCCACTTGCAGATTCTGGAAAAAGAGTGTTTCAAAGCTTCTCTCTCGAAAGGAAAGTTCAACTCTGTGAGTTGAATGCAAGCATCACAAAGAAGTTTCTGAGAATGCTACTGTCTAGCTTTTATATGAAGCTATTTCCTTTACTACCATAGGCCTGAAAGCGGTCCATATCTCCACTTGCAGATTCTACACAAAGAGAGTTTCCAAACTGCTCTGTCAAAGGGAATGTTCAACTCTGTGACTTGAATGCAATCATCACAAAGTAGTTTCTGAGAATGCTTCTGTTTAGTTCTGTGCGGTTTATCCCGTTTCCAACGAAATCCTCAGAGAGGCCCACATATCCACTTGCACATTCTACAAATAGTGTGTTTCGAAACTGCTCCATCCAAACGAATGTTCAGCTCTGTGAGTTAAACTCAGTCGTCACCAAGAGTTTTCTGTGAATGCTTCTGTTTTAGTTGTGTGCGGTTTATCCCGTTTCCAACGAAATCCTCAGAGAGGTCCAAATATCTACTTGCAGTTTCTACAGAAAGACCGTTTCAAACCTGAACTATCAAAGAAAGGTTCAACACTGTGAGTTGAATGCAAACATCACGAAGAAGGTTCTGAGAATGCTTCTGTTTAGTTCTGTGCGGTTTGTCCAGTTTCCAACGAAATCCTCAGAGAGGACCAAATATCCAATTGCAGTTTCTACAAAAAGAGTGTTTCAAAGCTGAACTATCAAAGAAAGGTTCAGCACCGTGAGTTGAATGCAAACATCACGAAGAGGGTTCTGAGAATGCTTCTGTCTTCTTTTTATAGGAAGTTATCTCCTTTACTACGGTAGGCCTCAAAGAAGTGCAATGATCCCCTTGCAGTTTCTACAAAAAGAGTGTTTCAAACCTGAACTATCAAAGAAAGGTTCCACACTGTGAGTTGAATGCAGACATCACGAAGAAGGTTCTGAGAATGCTTCTGTTTAGTCAGCTGAAATTATCCCGTTTCCAACGATTTCCTCAGAGAGGTCCACATATGCACTTGCAGATTCTGCAGAAAGTGTGTTTCTAAACTGCTACATCACAAGGAGTGTTCAGCTCTGTTTGCTCAACTCAATCATCCCAAAGAATTTTCTGAGAAAGCTTCTGTCTAGATGTCATGTGAAGATATACCCGTTTCGAACGAAGGACACAGAGTGGTCCAAATATCCACTTGTAGATCCTGCAAAAAGAGTGTTTCAAACGTGAACTTGGAAAGGAAAGTTCAACTCTGGGATTTGAATGCAAACATCACAAAGAAGATTCTGAGACTGCTTCTGTATAGTTTTGATGTGAAGATGATTCCGTTTCCAACGAAATCTTCAAAGAGGTCTACATGTCCCCTTGCAGATGCCACAGAAAGAGAGTTTCAAAACTGCGCTCTCAAAAGGAGTGTTCAACTCCGTGAGTTGAATGCAGTCATCACAGAGAAGCTTCTGAGAATGCTTCTATCTAGTATTTAGGTGAAGATATTTCCTTTTCCACCACAAACCACAAAGCCCTCCAAACGTCCACTTGCAGATTCTAGAAAAAGAGTGTTTCATAGCTGCTCTTTCCAAAGGAAAGTTCAACTCTGGGAGTTGAATACAAACATCACCAAAAAGTTCCTGAGAATGCATCTGTCTAGTTTTTCTATGAAGCTATTCCCTTTACTACCATAGGCCTCAAAGCGCTCCAAATCTCCACTTGCACATTCCACAACAAGAGTGTTTCCAAACTGCTCTATCAATAGGAATGTTCAACTCTGTGAGGTGAATGCAATCATCACAAAGCAGTTTCTGAGAATGCTTCCGTTTAGTTAGGTGCAGTTATCCCGTTTCCAACGAAATCCTCAGAGAGGTCCAAATATCCACTTGTAGATTCTACAAAAAGTGTGTCTCAAACCTGCTCCATCCAAAGGAATGGTCAGCTCTGTGATTTAAACTCAATCATCACAAAGTATTTTCTGAGAATGCTTCTGTCTAGATTTTATGCGAAGATATACCCGTTTCGAACGAAGGCCACAGAGTGGTCCAAATAGCCACTTGCAGATCCTACAGAAAGAGTGTTTCAAACCTGAACTATCAAAGGAAGGTTCAACTCTGGGATTTGAATGCAAACATCACCAAGAAGTTTCTGAGAATGCTTCTGTTTAGTTTTTATGTGAAGATATTCCCGTTTCCAAAGACATCTTCGGAGAGGTCCACATATCCACTTGCAGATTCCACAAAAAGAGAGTTTCAACACTGCTCTATCCATAGGAGGGTTCAACTCTGTGAGTTGAATGCAATCATCACAGAGAAGTTTCTGAGAAGGCTTCTCTCCAGTTTTTATGTGACCATAATTCGTTTTCCACCACAGGCCTGAAAGCGCTCCAAATGTCCACTTGCAGACACTACGAAAAGCATGTTTCAGAACTACTCTATGAAAAGCAACGTGAAACTCTGGGAGTTGAACACAAACATCACAGAGAAGTTTCTGAGAATGCTTCTGTTTTAGTTCTGTGCGTTTTATCCCGTTTCCAACGAAATCCTCAGAGAGGCCCAAATATCCACTTGCAGATTCCACAGAAAGAGTGATTGGAAACTGCTGTTTGAAAAGGAACCTTCAACTCTGTGAGTTGAATGCAATCATCACAAAGAAGTTTCTGACAATGCTTCTGTTTTAGTTCTGTGCGGTTTATCCCGTTTCCAACGAAATCCTCAGAGAGGACCAAACATCCACTTGCAGTTTCTACAAAAAGAGTGTTTCAAAGCTGCACTATCAAAGAAAGGTTCAGCACTGTGAGTTGAATGCAAACATCACGAAGAGGGCTCTGAGAATTCTTCTGTTTAGTTCTGTGCGGTTTATCCCGTTTCCAACGAAATCCTCAGAGAGGACCAAATATCCACTTGCAGTTTCTACAAGAAGAGTGTTTCAAAGCTGAACTATCAAAGAAAGGTTCAGCACTGTGAGTTGAATGCAAACATCACGAAGAGGGTTCTGAGAATGCTTCTGTCTTCTTTCTATAGGAAGTTATTTCCTTTACTACGGTAGGCCTCAAAGAAGTGCAATTATCCCCTTGCAGTTTCTACAAAAAGAGTGTTTCAAACCTGAACTATCAAAGAAAGGTTCCACACTGTGAGTTGAATGCAGACATCACGAAGAAGGTTCTGAGAATGCTTCTGTTTAGTCAGCTGAAATTATCCCGTTTCCAACGAATTCCTCAGAGAGGTCCAAATATGCACTTGCAGATTCTGCAGAAAGTGTGTTTCTAAACTGCTACATCGCAAGGAATGTTCAGCTCTGTGAGTTCCACTCAATCATCCCAAAGAATTTTCTGAGAAAGCTTCTGTCTAGATGTCGTGTGAAGATATACCCGTTTCGAACGAAGGACACAGAGTGGTCCAAATATCCACTTGTAGATCCTGCAAAAAGAGTGTTTCAAACGTGAACTTTGAAAGGAAAGTTCAACTCTGGGATTTGAATGCAAACATCACAAAGAAGATTCTGAGACTGCTTCTGTATAGTTTTTATGTGAAGATGATTCCGTTTCCAACGAAATCTTCAAAGAGGTCTACATGTCCCCTTGCAGATGCCACAGAAAGAGAGTTTCAAAACTGCGCTCTCAAAAGGAGTGTTCAACTCCGTGAGTTGAATGCAGTCATCACAGAGAAGCTTCTGAGAATGCTTCTATCTAGTATTTAGGTGAAGATATTTCCTTTTCCACCACAAACCACAAAGCCCTCCAAACGTCCACTTGCAGATTCTAGAAAAAGAGTGTTTCATAGCTGCTCTTTCCAAAGGAAAGTTGAACTCTGGGAGTTGAATACAAACATCACCAAAAAGTTCCTGAGAATGCATCTGTCTAGTTTTTCTATGAAGCTATTCCCTTTACTACCATAGGCCTCAAAGCGCTCCAAATCTCCACTTGCACATTCCACAACAAGAGTGTTTCCAAACTGCTCTATCAATAGGAATGTTCAACTCTGTGAGGTGAATGCAATCATCACAAAGCAGTTTCTGAGAATGCTTCCGTTTAGTTAGGTGCAGTTATCGCGTTTCCAACGAAATCCTCAGAGAGGTCCAAATATCCACTTGTAGATTCTACAAAAAGTGTGTCTCAAACCTGCTCCATCCAAAGGAATGTTCAGCTCTGTGAGTTAAACTCAATCATCACAAAGTATTTTCTGAGAATGCTTCTGTCTAGATTTTATGTGAAGATGTACCCGTTTCGAACGAAGGCCACAGAGTGGTCCAAATATCCACTTGCAGATCCTACAAAAAGAGTGTTTCAAACCTGAACTATCACAGGAAGGTTCAACTCTGGGATTTGAATGCAAACATCACCAAGAAGTTTCTGAGAATGCTTCTGTTTAGTTTTTATGTGAAGATATTCCCGTTTCCAAAGACATCTTCGGAGAGGTCCACATATCCACTTGCAGATTCCACAAAAAGAGAGTTTCAACAATGCTCTATCCATAGGAGGGTTCAAACCTGTGAGTTGAATGCAATCATCACAGAGAAGTTTCTGAGAAGGCTTCTCTCCAGTTTTTATGGGACCATAATTCGTTTTCCACCACAGGCCTGAAAGCGCTCCAAATGTCCACTTGCAGACACTACGAAAAGCATGTTTCAGAACTACTCTATGAAAAGCAATGTGAAACTCTGGGAGTTGAACACAAACATCACAGAGAAGTTTCTGAGAATGCTTCTGTTTAGCTTTTCTGTGAAGATTCTCCCGTTTCCAACGAAATCTTCAAAGAGGTCCAAATATCCACTTGCAGATTCCACAGAAAGAGTGTTTGGAAACTGCTGTTTGTAAAGGAACCTTCATCTCTGTGAGTTGAATGCAATCATCACAAAGAAGTTTCTGACAATGCTTCTATCTAGCTTTTACGGGAAGATAATTCCTTTTCCACCACAGGCCTCAAAGCCCTCCAAATGTCCACTTGCAGATTCTGGAAAAAGAGTGTTTCAAAGCTTCTCTCTCGAAAGGAAAGTTCAACTCTGTGAGTTGAATGCAAGCATCACAAAGAAGTTTCTGAGAATGCTACTGTCTAGCTTTTATATGAAGCTATTTCCTTTACTACCATAGGCCTCAAAGCGGTCCATATCTCCACTTGCAGATTCTACACAAAGAGAGTTTCCAAACTGCTCTGTCAAAGGGAATGTTCAACTCTGTGACTTGAATGCAATCATCACAAAGTAGTTTCTGAGAATGCTTCTGTTTAGTTCTGTGCGGTTTATCCCGTTTCCAACGAAATCCTCAGAGAGGCCTAAATATCCACTTGCACATTCTACAAATAGTGTGTTTCGAAACTGCTCCATCCAAAGGAATGTTCAGCTCTGTGAGTTAAACTCAGTCGTCACCAAGAGTTTTCTGTGAATGCTTCTGTTTTAGTTCTGTGCGGGTTATCCCGTTTCCAACGAAATCCTCAGAGAGGTCCAAATATCTACTTGCAGTTTCTACAGAAAGACCGTTTCAAACCTGAACTATCAAAGAAAGGTTCAACACTGTGAGTTGAATGCAAACATCACGAAGAAGGTTCTGAGAATGCTTCTGTTTAGTTCTGTGCAGTTTATCCCGTTTCCAACGAATTCCTCAGAGAGGACCAAATATCCACTTGCAGTTTCTACAAAAAGAGTGTTTCAAAGCTGAACTATCAAAGAAAGGTTCAGCACTGTGAGTTGAATGCAAACATCACGAAGAGGGTTCTGAGAATGCTTCTGTCTTCTTTTTAGAGGAAGTTATTTCCTTTACTACGGTACTCCTCAAAGAGTGCAATTATCCCCTTGCAGTTTCTACAAAAAGAGTGTTTCAAACCTGAACTATCAAAGAAAGGTTCCACACTGTGAGTTGAATGCAGACATCACGAAGAAGGTTCTGAGAATGCTTTCTGTTTAGTCAGCTGAAATTATCCCGTTTCCAACGAATTCCTCACAGAGGTCCAAATATGCACTTGCAGATTCTGCAGAAAGTGTGTTTCTAAACTGCTACATCGCAAGGAATGCTCAGCTCTGTGAGTTCAACTCAATCATCCCAAAGAATTTTCTGAGAAAGCTTCTGTCTAGATGTCATGTGAAGATATACCCGTTTCGAACGAAGGACACAGAGTGGTCCAAATATCCACTTGTAGATCCTGCAAAAAGAGTGTTTCAAACGTGAACTTTGAAAGGAAAGTTCAACTCGGGGATTTGAATGCAAACATCACAAAGAAGATTCTGAGACTGCTTCTGTGTAGTTTTTATGTGAAGATGATTCCGTTTCCAACGAAATCTTCAAAGACGTCTACATGTCCCCTTGCAGATGCCACAGAAAGAGAGTTTCAAAACTGCGCTCTCAAAAGGAGTGTTCAACTCCGTGAGTTGAATGCAGTCATCACAGAGAAGCTTCTGAGGATGCTTCTATCTAGTATTTAGGTGAAGATATTTCCTTTTCCACCACAAACCACAAAGCCCTCCAAACGTCCACTTGCAGATTCTAGAAAAAGAGTGTTTCATAGCTGCTCTTTCCAAAGGAAAGTTCAACTCTGGGAGTTGAATACAAACATCACCAAAAAGTTCCTGAGAATGCATCTGTCTAGTTTTTCTATGAAGCTATTCCCTTTACTACCATAGGCCTCAAAGCGCTCCAAATCTCCACTTGCACATTCCACAACAAGAGTGTTTCCAAACTGCTCTATCAATAGGAATGTTCAACTCTGTGAGGTGAATGCAATCATCACAAAGCAGTTTCTGAGAATGCTTCCGTTTAGTTAGGTGCAGTTATCCCGTTTCCAACGAAATCCTCAGAGAGGTCCAAATATCCACTTGTAGATTCTACAAAAAGTGTGTCTCAAACCTGCTCCATCCAAAGGAATGGTCAGCTCTGTGATTTAAACTCAATCATCACAAAGTATTTTCTGAGAATGCTTCTGTCTAGATTTTATGCGAAGATATACCCGTTTCGAACGAAGGCCACAGAGTGGTCCAAATAGCCACTTGCAGATCCTACAGAAAGAGTGTTTCAAACCTGAACTATCAAAGGAAGGTTCAACTCTGGGATTTGAATGCAAACATCACCAAGAAGTTTCTGAGAATGCTTCTGTTTAGTTTTTATGTGAAGATATTCCCGTTTCCAAAGACATCTTCGGAGAGGTCCACATATCCACTTGCAGATTCCACAAAAAGAGAGTTTCAACACTGCTCTATCCATAGGAGGGTTCAACTCTGTGAGTTGAATGCAATAATCACAGAGAAGTTTCTGAGAAGGCTTCTCTCCAGTTTTTATGTGACCATAATTCGTTTTCCACCACAGGCCTGAAAGCGCTCCAAATGTCCACTTGCAGACACTACGAAAAGCATGTTTCAGAACTACTCTATGAAAAGCAACGTGAAACTCTGGGAGTTGAACACAAACATCACAGAGAAGTTTCTGAGAATGCTTCTGTTTTAGTTCTGTGCGTTTTATCCCGTTTCCAACGAAATCCTCAGAGAGGCCCAAATATCCACTTGCAGATTCCACAGAAAGAGTGATTGGAAACTGCTGTTTGAAAAGGAACCTTCAACTCTGTGAGTTGAATGCAATCATCACAAAGAAGTTTCTGACAATGCTTCTGTTTTAGTTCTGTGCGGTTTATCCCGTTTCCAACGAAATCCTCAGAGAGGACCAAACATCCACTTGCAGTTTCTACAAAAAGAGTGTTTCAAAGCTGCACTATCAAAGAAAGGTTCAGCACTGTGAGTTGAATGCAAACATCACGAAGAGGGCTCTGAGAATTCTTCTGTTTAGTTCTGTGCGGTTTATCCCGTTTCCAACGAAATCCTCAGAGAGGACCAAATATCCACTTGCAGTTTCTACAAGAAGAGTGTTTCAAAGCTGAACTATCAAAGAAAGGTTCAGCACTGTGAGTTGAATGCAAACATCACGAAGAGGGTTCTGAGAATGCTTCTGTCTTCTTTCTATAGGAAGTTATTTCCTTTACTACGGTAGGCCTCAAAGAAGTGCAATTATCCCCTTGCAGTTTCTACAAAAAGAGTGTTTCAAACCTGAACTATCAAAGAAAGGTTCCACACTGTGAGTTGAATGCAGACATCACGAAGAAGGTTCTGAGAATGCTTCTGTTTAGTCAGCTGAAATTATCCCGTTTCCAACGAATTCCTCAGAGAGGTCCAAATATGCACTTGCAGATTCTGCAGAAAGTGTGTTTCTAAACTGCTACATCGCAAGGAATGTTCAGCTCTGTGAGTTCCACTCAATCATCCCAAAGAATTTTCTGAGAAAGCTTCTGTCTAGATGTCGTGTGAAGATATACCCGTTTCGAACGAAGGACACAGAGTGGTCCAAATATCCACTTGTAGATCCTGCAAAAAGAGTGTTTCAAACGTGAACTTTGAAAGGAAAGTTCAACTGCTGGGATTTGAATGCAAACATCACAAAGAAGATTCTGAGACTGCTTCTGTATAGTTTTTATGTGAAGATGATTCCGTTTCCAACGAAATCTTCAAAGAGGTCTACATGTCCCCTTGCAGATGCCACAGAAAGAGAGTTTCAAAACTGCGCTCTCAAAAGGAGTGTTCAACTCCGTGAGTTGAATGCAGTCATCACAGAGAAGCTTCTGAGAATGCTTCTATCTAGTATTTAGGTGAAGATATTTCCTTTTCCACCACAAACCACAAAGCCCTCCAAACGTCCACTTGCAGATTCTAGAAAAAGAGTGTTTCATAGCTGCTCTTTCCAAAGGAAAGTTCAACTCTGGGAGTTGAATACAAACATCACCAAAAAGTTCCTGAGAATGCATCTGTCTAGTTTTTCTATGAAGCTATTCCCTTTACTACCACAGGCCTCAAAGCGCTCCAAATCTCCACTTGCACATTCCACAACAAGAGTGTTTCCAAACTGCTCTATCAATAGGAATGTTCAACTCTGTGAGGTGAATGCAATCATCACAAAGCAGTTTCTGAGAATGCTTCCGTTTAGTTAGGTGCAGTTATCCCGTTTCCAACGAAATCCTCAGAGAGGTCCAAATATCCACTTGTAGATTCTACAAAAAGTGTGTCTCAAACCTGCTCCATCCAAAGGAATGGTCAGCTCTGTGATTTAAACTCAATCATCACAAAGTATTTTCTGAGAATGCTTCTGTCTAGATTTTATGTGAAGGTATACCCGTTTCGAATGAAGGCCACAAAGTGGTCCAAATATCCACTGGCAGATCCTACAAAAAGAGGGTTTCAAACCTGAACTATCAAAGGAAGGTTCAAGTCTGGGATTTGAATGCAAACATCACAAAGAAGTTTCTGAGACTGCTTCTGTTTAGTTTTTATGTGAAGATATTCCCGTTTCCAAAGACATGTTCGGAGAGGTCCACATATCCACTTGCAGATTCCACAAAAAGAGAGTTTCAACACTGCTCTATCCATAGGAGGGTTCAACTCTGTGAGTTGAATGCAGTCATCACAGAGAAGTTTCTGAGAAGGCTTCTCTCCAGTTTTTATGTGACCATAATTCGTTTTCCACCACAGGCCTGAAAGCGCTCCAAATGTCCACTTGCAGACACTACGAAAAGCATGTTTCAGAACTACTCTATGAAAAGCAACGTGAAACTCTGGGAGTTGAACACAAACATCACAGAGAAGTTTCTGAGAATGCTTCTGTTTTAGTTCTGTGCGTTTTATCCCGTTTCCAACGAAATCCTCAGAGAGGCCCAAATATCCACTTGCAGATTCCACAGAAAGAGTGATTGGAAACTGCTGTTTGAAAAGGAACCTTCAACTCTGTGAGTTGAATGCAATCATCACAAAGAAGTTTCTGACAATGCTTCTGTTTTAGTTCTGTGCAGTTTATCCCGTTTCCAACGAAATCCTCAGAGAGGACCAAACATCCACTTGCAGTTTCTACAAAAAGAGTGTTTCGAAGCTGCACTATCAAAGAAAGGTTCAGCACTGTGAGTTGAATGCAAACATCACGAAGAGGGCTCTGAGAATTCTTCTGTTTAGTTCTGTGCGGTTTATCCCGTTTCCAACGAAATCCTCAGAGAGGACCAAATATCCACTTGCAGTTTCTACAAGAAGAGTGTTTCAAAGCTGAACTATCAAAGAAAGGTTCAGCACTGTGAGTTGAATGCAAACATCACGAAGAGGGTTCTGAGAATGCTTCTGTCTTCTTTCTATAGGAAGTTATTTCCTTTACTACGGTAGGCCTCAAAGAAGTGCAATTATCCCCTTGCAGTTTCTACAAAAAGAGTGTTTCAAACCTGAACTATCAAAGAAAGGTTCCACACTGTGAGTTGAATGCAGACATCACGAAGAAGGTTCTGAGAATGCTTCTGTTTAGTCAGCTGAAATTATCCCGTTTCCAACGAATTCCTCAGAGAGGTCCAAATATGCACTTGCAGATTCTGCAGAAAGTGTGTTTCTAAACTGCTACATCGCAAGGAATGTTCAGCTCTGTGAGTTCCACTCAATCATCCCAAAGAATTTTCTGAGAAAGCTTCTGTCTAGATGTCGTGTGAAGTTATACCCGTTTCGAACGAAGGACACAGAGTGGTCCAAATATCCACTTGTAGATCCTGCAAAAAGAGTGTTTCAAACGTGAACTTTGAAAGGAAAGTTCAACTCTGGGATTTGAATGCAAACATCACAAAGAAGATTCTGAGACTGCTTCTGTATAGTTTTTATGTGAAGATGATTCCGTTTCCAACGAAATCTTCAAAGAGGTCTACATGTCCCCTTGCAGATGCCACAGAAAGAGAGTTTCAAAACTGCGCTCTCAAAAGGAGTGTTCAACTCCGTGAGTTGAATGCAGTCATCACAGAGAAGCTTCTGAGAATGCTTCTATCTAGTATTTAGGTGAAGATATTTCCTTTTCCACCACAAACCACAAAGCCCTCCAAACGTCCACTTGCAGATTCTAGAAAAAGAGTGTTTCATAGCTGCTCTTTCCAAAGGAAAGTTCAACTCTGGGAGTTGAATACAAACATCACCAAAAAGTTCCTGAGAATGCATCTGTCTAGTTTTTCTATGAAGCTATTCCCTTTACTACCATAGGCCTCAAAGCGCTCCAAATCTCCACTTGCACATTCCACAACAAGAGTGTTTCCAAACTGCTCTATCAATAGGAATGTTCAACTCTGTGAGGTGAATGCAATCATCACAAAGCAGTTTCTGAGAATGCTTCCGTTTAGTTAGGTGCAGTTATCGCGTTTCCAACGAAATCCTCAGAGAGGTCCAAATATCCACTTGTAGATTCTACAAAAAGTGTGTCTCAAACCTGCTCCATCCAAAGGAATGTTCAGCTCTGTGAGTTAAACTCAATCATCACAAAGTATTTTCTGAGAATGCTTCTGTCTAGATTTTATGCGAAGATATACCCGTTTCGAACGAAGGCCACAGAGTGGTCCAAATATCCACTTGCAGATCCTACAAAAAGAGTGTTTCAAACCTGAACTATCACAGGAAGGTTCAACTCTGGGATTTGAATGCAAACATCACCAAGAAGTTTCTGAGAATGCTTCTGTTTAGTTTTTATGTGAAGATATTCCCGTTTCCAAAGACATCTTCGGAGAGGTCCACATATCCACTTGCAGATTCCACAAAAAGAGAGTTTCAACACTGCTCTATCCATAGGAGGGTTCAACTCTGTGAGTTGAATGCAATCATCACAGAGAAGTTTCTGAGAAGGCTTCTCTCCAGTTTTTATGTGACCATAATTCGTTTTCCACCACAGGCCTGAAAGCGCTCCAAATGTCCACTTGTAGACACTACGAAAAGCATGTTTCAGAACTACTCTATGAAAAGCAATGTGAAACTCTGGGAGTTGAACACAAACATCACAGAGAAGTTTCTGAGAATGCTTCTGTTTAGCTTTCCTGTGAAGATTCTCCCGTTTCCAACGAAATCTTCAAAATAGGTCCAAATATCCACTTGCAGATTCCACACAAAGAGTGATTGGAAACTGCTCTTTGAAAAGGAACCTTCAACTCTGTGAGTTGAATGCAATCATCACAAAGAAGTTTCTGACAATGCTTCTATCTAGCTTTTACGGGAAGATAATTCCTTTTCCACCACAGGCCTCAAAGCCCTCCAAATGTCCACTTGCAGATTCTGGAAAAAGAGTGTTTCAAAGCTTCTCTCTCGAAAGGAAAGTTCAACTCTGTGAGTTGAATGCAAGCATCACAAAGAAGTTTCTGAGAATGCTACTGTCTAGCTTTTATATGAAGCTATTTCCTTTACTACCATAGGCCTCAAAGCGGTCCATATCTCCACTTGCAGATTCTACACAAAGAGAGTTTCCAAACTGCTCTGTCAAAGGGAATGTTCAACTCTGTGACTTGAATGCAATCATCACAAAGTAGTTTCTGAGAATGCTTCTGTTTAGTTCTGTGCGGTTTATCCCGTTTCCAAGGAAATCCTCAGAGAGGCCCAAATATCCACTTGCACATTCTACAAATAGTGTGTTTCGAAACTGCTCCATCCAAAGGAATGTTCAGCTCTGTGAGTTAAACTCAGTCGTCACCAAGAGTTTTCTGTGAATGCTTCTGTTTTAGTTCTGTGCGGTTTATCCCGTTTCCAACGAAATCCTCAGAGAGGTCCAAATATCTACTTGCAGTTTCTACAGAAAGACCGTTTCAAACCTGAACTATCAAAGAAAGGTTCAACACTGTGAGTTGAATGCAAACATCACGAAGAAGGTTCTGAGAATGCTTCTGTATAGTTCTGTGCGGTTTATCCCGTTTCCAACGAAATCCTCAGAGAGGACCAAATATCCACTTGCAGTTTCTACAAAAAGAGTGTTTCAAAGCTGAACTATCAAAGAAAGGTTCAGCACCGTGAATTGAATGCAAACATCACGAAGAGGGTTCTGAGAATGCTTCTGTCTTCTTTTTATAGGAAGTTATTTCCTTTACTACGGTAGGCCTCAAAGAAGTGCAATGATCCCCTTGCAGTTTCTACAAAAAGAGTGTTTCAAACCTGAACTATCAAAGAAAGGTTCCACACTGTGAGTTGAATGCAGACATCACGAGGAAGGTTCTGAGAATGCTTCTGTTTAGTCAGCTGAAATTATCCCGTTTCCAACGAATTCCTCAGAGAGGTCCACATATGCACTTGCAGATTCTGCAGAAAGGGTGTTTCTAAACTGCTACATCGCAAGGAGTGTTCAGCTCTGTTTGCTCCACTCAATCATCCCAAAGAATTTTCTGAGAAAGCTTCTGTCTAGATGTCATGTGAAGATATACCCGTTTCGAACGAAGGACACAGAGTGGTCCAAATATCCACTTGTAGATCCTGCAAAAAGAGTGTTTCAAACGTGAACTTTGAAAGGAAAGTTCAACTCTGGGATTTGAATGCAAACATCACAAAGAAGATTCTGAGACTGCTTCTGTATAGTTTTGATGTGAGGATGATTCCGTTTCCAACGAAATCTTCAAAGAGGTCTACATGTCCCCTTGCAGATGCCACAGAAAGAGAGTTTCAAAACTGCGCTCTCAAAAGGAGTGTTCAACTCCGTGAGTTGAATGCAGTCATCACAGAGAAGCTTCTGAGAATGCTTCTATCTACTATTTAGGTGAAGATATTTCCTTTTCCACCAAAAACCACAAAGCCCTCCAATCGTCCACTTGCAGATTCTAGAAAAAGAGTGTTTCATAGCTGCTCTTTCCAAAGGAAAGTTCAACTCTGGGAGTTGAATACAAACATCACCAAAAAGTTCCTGAGAATGCATCTGTCTAGTTTTTCTATGAAGCTATTCCCTTTACTACCATAGACCTCAAAGCGCTCCAAATCTCCACTTGCACATTCCACAACAAGAGTGTTTCCAAACTGCTCTATCAATGGGAATGGTCAACTCTGTGAGGTGAATGCAATCATCACAAAGCAGTTTCTGAGAATGCTACTGTCTAGCTTTTCTATGAAGCTATTTCCTTTACTACCATAGTCCTCAAAGCATTCCATATCTCCACTTGCAGATTCTACACAAAGAGAGTTTCCAAACTGCTCTGTCAAAGGGAATGTTCAGCTCTGTGACTTGAATGCAATCATCACAAAGTAGTTTCTGAGAATGCTTCTGTTTAGTTCTGTGTGGTTTATCCCGTTTCCAACGAAATCCTCAGAGAGGCCCCAATATCCACTTGCACATTCTACAAATAGTGTTTTTCGAAACTGCTCCATCCAAAGGGATTTTCAGCTCTGTGAGTTAAACGCAGTCGTCACAAAGAGTTTTTCTGTGAATGCTTCTGTTTTAGTTCTGTGCGGTTTATCCCGTTTCCAACGAAATCCTCAGAGAGGTCCAAATATCCACTTGCAGTTTCTACAAAAAGAGTGTTTCAAAGCTGAACTATTAAAGAAAGGTTCAGCACTGTGAGTTGAATGCAAACATCACGAAGAAGGTTCTGAGGATGCTTCTGTTTAGTTCTGTGCGGTTTATCCCGTTTCCAACGAAATCCTCACAGAGGACCAAATATCCACTTGCAGTTTCTACAAAAAGAGTGTTTCAAAGCTGAACTATCAAAGAAAGGTTCAGCACTGTGAGTTGAATGCAAACATCACGAAGAGGGTTCTGAGAATGCTTCTGTCTTCTTTTTATAGGAAGTTATTTCCTTTAGTACGGTAGGCCTCAAAGAAGTGCAATTATCCCCTTGCAGTTTCTACAAAAAGAGTGTTTCAAAGCTGAACTATCAAAGAAAGCTTCCACACTGTGAGTTGAATGCAGTCATCACGAAGAAGGTTCTGAGAATGCTTCTGTTTAGTCAGCTGAAATTATCCCGTTTCCAACGAATTCCTCAGAGAGGTCCAAATATGCACTTGCAGATTCTGCAGAAAGTGTGTTTCTAAACTGCTACATCGCAAGGAATGTTCAGCTCTGTGAGTTCCACTCAATCATCCCAAAGAATTTTCTGAGAAAGCTTCTGTCTAGATGTCGTGTGAAGATATACCCGTTTCGAACGAAGGACACAGAGTGGTCCAAATATCCACTTGTAGATCCTGCAAAAAGAGTGTTTCAAACGTGAACTTTGAAAGGAAAGTTCAACTCTGGGATTTGAATGCAAACATCACAAAGAAGATTCTGAGACTGCTTCTGTATAGTTTTTATGTGAAGATGATTCCGTTTCCAACGAAATCTTCAAAGAGGTCTACATGTCCCCTTGCAGATGCCACAGAAAGAGAGTTTCAAAACTGCGCTCTCAAAAGGAGTGTTCAACTCCGTGAGTTGAATGCAGTCATCACAGAGAAGCTTCTGAGAATGCTTCTATCTAGTATTTAGGTGAAGATATTTCCTTTTCCACCACAAACCACAAAGCCCTCCAAACGTCCACTTGCAGATTCTAGAAAAAGAGTGTTTCATAGCTGCTCTTTCCAAAGGAAAGTTCAACTCTGGGAGTTGAATACAAACATCACCAAAAAGTTCCTGAGAATGCATCTGTCTAGTTTTTCTATGAAGCTATTCCCTTTACTACCATAGGCCTCAAAGCGCTCCAAATCTCCACTTGCACATTCCACAACAAGAGTGTTTCCAAACTGCTCTATCAATAGGAATGTTCAACTCTGTGAGGTGAATGCAATCATCACAAAGCAGTTTCTGAGAATGCTTCCGTTTAGTTAGGTGCAGTTATCCCGTTTCCAACGAAATCCTCAGAGAGGTCCAAATATCCACTTGTAGATTCTACAAAAAGTGTGTCTCAAACCTGCTCCATCCAAAGGAATGGTCAGCTCTGTGATTTAAACTCAATCATCACAAAGTATTTTCTGAGAATGCTTCTGTCTAGATTTTATGCGAAGATATACCCGTTTCGAACGAAGGCCACAGAGTGGTCCAAATAGCCACTTGCAGATCCTACAGAAAGAGTGTTTCAAACCTGAACTATCAAAGGAAGGTTCAACTCTGGGATTTGAATGCAAACATCACCAAGAAGTTTCTGAGAATGCTTCTGTTTAGTTTTTATGTGAAGATATTCCCGTTTCCAAAGACATCTTCGGAGAGGTCCACATATCCACTTGCAGATTCCACAAAAAGAGAGTTTCAACACTGCTCTATCCATAGGAGGGTTCAACTCTGTGAGTTGAATGCAATCATCACAGAGAAGTTTCTGAGAAGGCTTCTCTCCAGTTTTTATGTGACCATAATTCGTTTTCCACCACAGGCCTGAAAGCGCTCCAAATGTCCACTTGCAGACACTACGAAAAGCATGTTTCAGAAGTACTCTATGAAAAGCAACGTGAAACTCTGGGAGTTGAACACAAACATCACAGAGAAGTTTCTGAGAATGCTTCTGTTTTAGTTCTGTGCGTTTTATCCCGTTTCCAACGAAATCCTCAGAGAGGCCCAAATATCCACTTGCAGATTCCACAGAAAGAGTGATTGGAAACTGCTGTTTGAAAAGGAACCTTCAACTCTGTGAGTTGAATGCAATCATCACAAAGAAGTTTCTGACAATGCTTCTGTTTTAGTTCTGTGCGGTTTATCCCGTTTCCAACAAAATCCTCAGAGAGGACCAAACATCCACTTGCAGTTTCTACAAAAAGAGTGTTTCAAAGCTGCACTATCAAAGAAAGGTTCAGCACTGTGAGTTGAATGCAAACATCACGAAGAGGGCTCTGAGAATTCTTCTGTTTAGTTCTGTGCGGTTTATCCCGTTTCCAACGAAATCCTCAGAGAGGACCAAATATCCACTTGCAGTTTCTACAAGAAGAGTGTTTCAAAGCTGAACTATCAAAGAAAGGTTCAGCACTGTGAGTTGAATGCAAACATCACGAAGAGGGTTCTGAGAATGCTTCTGTCTTCTTTCTATAGGAAGTTATTTCCTTTACTACGGTAGGCCTCAAAGAAGTGCAATTATCCCCTTGCAGTTTCTACAAAAAGAGTGTTTCAAACCTGAACTATCAAAGAAAGGTTCCACACTGTGAGTTGAATGCAGACATCACGAAGAAGGTTCTGAGAATGCTTCTGTTTAGTCAGCTGAAATTATCCCGTTTCCAACGAATTCCTCAGAGAGGTCCAAATATGCACTTGCAGATTCTGCAGAAAGTGTGTTTCTAAACTGCTCCATCGCAAGGAATGTTCAGCTCTGTGAGTTCCACTCAATCATCCCAAAGAATTTTCTGAGAAAGCTTCTGTCTAGATGTCGTGTGAAGATATACCCGTTTCGAACGAAGGACACAGAGTGGTCCAAATATCCACTTGTAGATCCTGCAAAAAGAGTGTTTCAAACGTGAACTTTGAAAGGAAAGTTCAACTCTGGGATTTGAATGCAAACATCACAAAGAAGATTCTGAGACTGCTTCTGTATAGTTTTTATGTGAAGATGATTCCGTTTCCAACGAAATCTTCAAAGAGGTCTACATGTCCCCTTGCAGATGCCACAGAAAGAGAGTTTCAAAACTGCGCTCTCAAAAGGAGTGTTCAACTCCGTGAGTTGAATGCAGTCATCACAGAGAAGCTTCTGAGAATGCTTCTATCTAGTATTTAGGTGAAGATATTTCCTTTTCCACCACAAACCACAAAGCCCTCCAAACGTCCACTTGCAGATTCTAGAAAAAGAGTGTTTCATAGCTGCTCTTTCCAAAGGAAAGTTCAACTCTGGGAGTTGAATACAAACATCACCAAAAGGTTCCTGAGAATGCATCTGTCTAGTTTTTCTATGAAGCTATTCCCTTTACTACCATAGACCTCAAAGCGCTCCAAATCTCCACTTGCACATTCCACAACAAGAGTGTTTCCAAACTGCTCTATCAATAGGAATGTTCAACTCTGTGAGGTGAATGCAATCATCACAAAGCAGTTTCTGAGAATGCTTCCGTTTAGTTAGGTGCAGTTATCCCGTTTCCAACGAAATCCTCAGAGAGGTCCAAATATCCACTTGTAGATTCTACAAAAAGTGTGTCTCAAACCTGCTCCATCCAAAGGAATGGTCAGCTCTGTGATTTAAACTCAATCATCACAAAGTATTTTCTGAGAATGCTTCTGTCTAGATTTTATGCGAAGATATACCCGTTTCGAACGAAGGCCACAGAGTGGTCCAAATAGCCACTTGCAGATCCTACAGAAAGAGTGTTTCAAACCTGAACTATCAAAGGAAGGTTCAACTCTGGGATTTGAATGCAAACATCACCAAGAAGTTTCTGAGAATGCTTCTGTTTAGTTTTTATGTGAAGATATTCCCGTTTCCAAAGACATCTTCGGAGAGGTCCACATATCCACTTGCAGATTCCACAAAAAGAGAGTTTCAACACTGCTCTATCCATAGGAGGGTTCAACTCTGTGAGTTGAATGCAATCATCACAGAGAAGTTTCTGAGAAGGCTTCTCTCCAGTTTTTATGTGACCATAATTCGTTTTCCACCACAGGCCTGAAAGCGCTCCAAATGTCCACTTGCAGACACTACGAAAAGCATGTTTCAGAACTACTCTATGAAAAGCAACGTGAAACTCTGGGAGTTGAACACAAACATCACAGAGAAGTTTCTGAGAATGCTTCTGTTTTAGTTCTGTGCGTTTTATCCCGTTTCCAACGAAATCCTCAGAGAGGCCCAAATATCCACTTGCAGATTCCACAGAAAGAGTGATTGGAAACTGCTGTTTGAAAAGGAACCTTCAACTCTGTGAGTTGAATGCAATCATCACAAAGAAGTTTCTGACAATGCTTCTGTTTTAGTTCTGTGCGGTTTATCCCGTTTCCAACGAAATCCTCAGAGAGGACCAAACATCCACTTGCAGTTTCTACAAAAAGAGTGTTTCAAAGCTGCACTATCAAAGAAAGGTTCAGCACTGTGAGTTGAATGCAAACATCACGAAGAGGGCTCTGAGAATTCTTCTGTTTAGTTCTGTGCGGTTTATCCCGTTTCCAACGAAATCCTCAGAGAGGACCAAATATCCACTTGCAGTTTCTACAAGAAGAGTGTTTCAAAGCTGAACTATCAAAGAAAGGTTCAGCACTGTGAGTTGAATGCAAACATCACGAAGAGGGTTCTGAGAATGCTTCTGTCTTCTTTCTATAGGAAGTTATTTCCTTTACTACGGTAGGCCTCAAAGAAGTGCAATTATCCCCTTGCAGTTTCTACAAAAAGAGTGTTTCAAACCTGAACTATCAAAGAAAGGTTCCACACTGTGAGTTGAATGCAGACATCACGAAGAAGGTTCTGAGAATGCTTCTGTTTAGTCAGCTGAAATTATCCCGTTTCCAACGAATTCCTCACAGAGGTCCAAATATGCACTTGCAGATTCTGCAGAAAGTGCGTTTCTAAACTGCTACATCGCAAGGAATGCTCAGCTCTGTGAGTTCAACTCAATCATCCCAAAGAATTTTCTGAGAAAGCTTCTGTCTAGATGTCATGTGAAGATATACCCGTTTCGAACGAAGGACACAGAGTGGTCCAAATATCCACTTGTAGATCCTGCAAAAAGAGTGTTTCAAACGTGAACTTTGAAAGGAAAGTTCAACTCGGGGATTTGAATGCAAACATCACAAAGAAGATTCTGAGACTGCTTCTGTATAGTTTTTATGTGAAGATGATTCCGTTTCCAACGAAATCTTCAAAGAGGTCTACATGTCCCCTTGCAGATGCCACAGAAAGAGAGTTTCAAAACTGCGCTCTCAAAAGGAGTGTTCAACTCCGTGAGTTGAATGCAGTCATCACAGAGAAGCTTCTGAGAATGCTTCTATCTAGTATTTAGGTGAAGATATTTCCTTTTCCACCACAAACCACAAAGCCCTCCAAACGTCCACTTGCAGATTCTAGAAAAAGAGTGTTTCATAGCTGCTCTTTCCAAAGGAAAGTTCAACTCTGGGAGTTGAATACAAACATCACCAAAAAGTTCCTGAGAATGCATCTGTCTAGTTTTTCTATGAAGCTATTCCCTTTACTACCACAGGCCTCAAAGCGCTCCAAATCTCCACTTGCACATTCCACAACAAGAGTGTTTCCAAACTGCTCTATCAATAGGAATGTTCAACTCTGTGAGGTGAATGCAATCATCACAAAGCAGTTTCTGAGAATGCTTCCGTTTAGTTAGGTGCAGTTATCCCGTTTCCAACGAAATCCTCAGAGAGGTCCAAATATCCACTTGTAGATTCTACAAAAAGTGTGTCTCAAACCTGCTCCATCCAAAGGAATGGTCAGCTCTGTGATTTAAACTCAATCATCACAAAGTATTTTCTGAGAATGCTTCTGTCTAGATTTTATGCGAAGATATACCCGTTTCGAACGAAGGCCACAGAGTGGTCCAAATAGCCACTTGCAGATCCTACAGAAAGAGTGTTTCAAACCTGAACTATCAAAGGAAGGTTCAACTCTGGGATTTGAATGCAAACATCACCAAGAAGTTTCTGAGAATGCTTCTGTTTAGTTTTTATGTGAAGATATTCCCGTTTCCAAAGACATCTTCGGAGAGGTCCACATATCCACTTGCAGATTCCACAAAAAGAGAGTTTCAACACTGCTCTATCCATAGGAGGGTTCAACTCTGTGAGTTGAATGCAATCATCACAGAGAAGTTTCTGAGAAGGCTTCTCTCCAGTTTTTATGTGACCATAATTCGTTTTCCACCACAGGCCTGAAAGCGCTCCAAATGTCCACTTGCAGACACTACGAAAAGCATGTTTCAGAACTACTCTATGAAAAGCAACGTGAAACTCTGGGAGTTGAACACAAACATCACAGAGAAGTTTCTGAGAATGCTTCTGTTTTAGTTCTGTGCGTTTTATCCCGTTTCCAACGAAATCCTCAGAGAGGCCCAAATATCCACTTGCAGATTCCACAGAAAGAGTGATTGGAAACTGCTGTTTGAAAAGGAACCTTCAACTCTGTGAGTTGAATGCAATCATCACAAAGAAGTTTCTGACAATGCTTCTGTTTTAGTTCTGTGCGGTTTATCCCGTTTCCAACGAAATCCTCAGAGAGGACCAAACATCCACTTGCAGTTTCTACAAAAAGAGTGTTTCAAAGCTGCACTATCAAAGAAAGGTTCAGCACTGTGAGTTGAATGCAAACATCACGAAGAGGGCTCTGAGAATTCTTCTGTTTAGTTCTGTGCGGTTTATCCCGTTTCCAACGAAATCCTCAGAGAGGACCAAATATCCACTTGCAGTTTCTACAAGAAGAGTGTTTCAAAGCTGAACTATCAAAGAAAGGTTCAGCACTGTGAGTTGAATGCAAACATCACGAAGAGGGTTCTGAGAATGCTTCTGTCTTCTTTCTATAGGAAGTTATTTCCTTTACTACGGTAGGCCTCAAAGAAGTGCAATTATCCCCTTGCAGTTTCTACAAAAAGAGTGTTTCAAACCTGAACTATCAAAGAAAGGTTCCACACTGTGAGTTGAATGCAGACATCACGAAGAAGTTCTGAGAATGCTTCTGTTTAGTCAGCTGAAATTATCCCGTTTCCAACGAATTCCTCAGAGAGGTCCAAATATGCACTTGCAGATTCTGCAGAAAGTGTGTTTCTAAACTGCTACATCGCAAGGAATGTTCAGCTCTGTGAGTTCCACTCAATCATCCCAAAGAATTTTCTGAGAAAGCTTCTGTCTAGATGTCGTGTGAAGATATACCCGTTTCGAACGAAGGACACAGAGTGGTCCAAATATCCACTTGTAGATCCTGCAAAAAGAGTGTTTCAAACGTGAACTTTCAAAGGAAAGTTCAACTCTGGGATTTGAATGCAAACATCACAAAGAAGATTCTGAGACTGCTTCTGTATAGTTTTTATGTGAAGATGATTCCGTTTCCAACGAAATCTTCAAAGAGGTCTACATGTCCCCTTGCAGATGCCACAGAAAGAGAGTTTCAAAACTGCGCTCTCAAAAGGAGTGTTCAACTCCGTGAGTTGAATGCAGTCATCACAGAGAAGCGTCTGAGAATGCTTCTATCTAGTATTTAGGTGAAGATATTTCCTTTTCCACCACAAACCACAAAGCCCTCCAAACGTCCACTTGCAGATTCTAGAAAAAGAGTGTTTCATAGCTGCTCTTTCCAAAGGAAAGTTCAACTCTGGGAGTTGAATACAAACATCACCAAAAAGTTCCTGAGAATGCATCTGTCTAGTTTTTCTATGAAGCTATTCCCTTTACTACCATAGGCCTCAAAGCGCTCCAAATCTCCACTTGCACATTCCACAACAAGAGTGTTTCCAAACTGCTCTATCAATAGGAATGTTCAACTCTGTGAGGTGAATGCAATCATCACAAAGCAGTTTCTGAGAATGCTTCCGTTTAGTTAGGTGCAGTTATCCCGTTTCCAACGAAATCCTCAGAGAGGTCCAAATATCCACTTGTAGATTCTACAAAAAGTGTGTCTCAAACCTGCTCCATCCAAAGGAATGGTCAGCTCTGTGATTTAAACTCAATCATCACAAAGTATTTTCTGAGAATGCTTCTGTCTAGATTTTATGCGAAGATATACCCGTTTCGAACGAAGGCCACAGAGTGGTCCAAATAGCCACTTGCAGATCCTACAGAAAGAGTGTTTCAAACCTGAACTATCAAAGGAAGGTTCAACTCTGGGATTTGAATGCAAACATCACCAAGAAGTTTCTGAGAATGCTTCTGTTTAGTTTTTATGTGAAGATATTCCCGTTTCCAAAGACATCTTCGGAGAGGTCCACATATCCACTTGCAGATTCCACAAAAAGAGAGTTTCAACACTGCTCTATCCATAGGAGGGTTCAACTCTGTGAGTTGAATGCAATCATCACAGAGAAGTTTCTGAGAAGGCTTCTCTCCAGTTTTTATGTGACCATAATTCGTTTTCCACCACAGGCCTGGAAGCGCTCCAAATGTCCACTTGTAGACACTACGAAAAGCATGTTTCAGAACTACTCTATGAAAAGCAATGTGAAACTCTGGGAGTTGAACACAAACATCACAGAGAAGTTTCTGAGAATGCTTCTGTTTAGCTTTTCTGTGAAGATTATCCCGTTTCCAACGAAATCTTCAAAATAGGTCGAAATATCCACTTGCAGATTCCACAGAAAGAGTGATTGGAAACTGCTCTTTGAAAAGGAACCTTCAACTCTGTGAGTTGAATGCAATCATCACAAAGAAGTTTCTGACAATGCTTCTATCTAGCTTTTACGGGAAGATAATTCCTTTTCCACCACAGGCCTCAAAGCCCACCAAATGTCCACTTGCACATTCTGGAAAAAGAGTGTTTCAAAGCTTCTCTCTCGAAAGGAAAGTTCAACTCTGTGAGTTGAATGCAAGCATCACAAAGAAGTTTCTGAGAATGCTAATGTCTAGCTTTTATATGAAGCTATTTCCTTTACTACCATAGGCCTCAAAGCGGTCCATATCTCCACTTGCAGATTCTACACAAAGAGAGTTTCCAAACTGCTCTGTCAAAGGGAATGTTCAACTCTGTGACTTGAATGCAATCATCACAAAGTAGTTTCTGAGAATGCTTCTGTTTAGTTCTGTGCGGTTTATCCCGTTTCCAACGAAATCCTCAGAGAGGCCCAAATATCCACTTGCACATTCTACAAATAGTGTGTTTCGAAACTGCTCCATCCAAAGGAATGTTCAGCTCTGTGAGTTAAACTCAGTCGTCACCAAGAGTTTTCTGTGAATGCTTCTGTTTTAGTTCTGTGCGGTTTATCCCGTTTCCAACGAAATCCTCAGAGAGGTCCAAATATCTACTTGCAGTTTCTACAGAAAGACCGTTTCAAACCTGAACTATGAAAGAAAGGTTCAACACTGTGAGTTGAATGCAAACATCACGAAGAAGGTTCTGAGAATGCTTCTGTTTTAGTTACTGTGCGGTTTATCCCGTTTCCAACGAAATCCTCAGAGAGGACCAAACATCCACTTGCAGTTTCTACAAAAAGAGTGTTTCAAAGCTGCACTATCAAAGAAAGGTTCAGCACTGTGAGTTGAATGCAAACATCACGAAGAGGGCTCTGAGAATTCTTCTGTTTAGTTCTGTGCGGTTTATCCCGTTTCCAACGAAATCCTCAGAGAGGACCAAATATCCACTTGCAGTTTCTACAAGAAGAGTGTTTCAAAGCTGAACTATCAAAGAAAGGTTCAGCACTGTGAGTTGAATGCAAACATCACGAAGAGGGTTCTGAGAATGCTTCTGTCTTCTTTCTATAGGAAGTTATTTCCTTTACTACGGTAGGCCTCAAAGAAGTGCAATTATCCCCTTGCAGTTTCTACAAAAAGAGTGTTTCAAACCTGAACTATCAAAGAAAGGTTCCACACTGTGAGTTGAATGCAGACATCACGAAGAAGGTTCTGAGAATGCTTCTGTTTAGTCAGCTGAAATTATCCCGTTTCCAACGAATTCCTCAGAGAGGTCCAAATATGCACTTGCAGATTCTGCAGAAAGTGTGTTTCTAAACTGCTACATCGCAAGGAATGTTCAGCTCTGTGAGTTCCACTCAATCATCCCAAAGAATTTTCTGAGAAAGCTTCTGTCTAGATGTCGTGTGAAGTTATACCCGTTTCGAACGAAGGACACAGAGTGGTCCAAATATCCACTTGTAGATCCTGCAAAAAGAGTGTTTCAAACGTGAACTTTGAAAGGAAAGTTCAACTCTGGGATTTGAATGCAAACATCACAAAGAAGATTCTGAGACTGCTTCTGTATAGTTTTTATGTGAAGATGATTCCGTTTCCAACGAAATCTTCAAAGAGGTCTACATGTCCCCTTGCAGATGCCACAGAAAGAGAGTTTCAAAACTGCGCTCTCAAAAGGAGTGTTCAACTCCGTGAGTTGAATGCAGTCATCACAGAGAAGCTTCTGAGAATGCTTCTATCTAGTATTTAGGTGAAGATATTTCCTTTTCCACCACAAACCACAAAGCCCTCCAAACGTCCACTTGCAGATTCTAGAAAAAGAGTGTTTCATAGCTGCTCTTTCCAAAAGAAAGTTCAACTCTGGGAGTTGAATACAAACATCACCAAAAAGAAGTTCCTGATAATGCATCTGTCTAGTTTTTCTATGAAGCTATTCCCTTTACTACCACAGGCCTCAAAGCGCTCCAAATCTCCACTTGCACATTCCACAACAAGAGTGTTTCCAAACTGCTCTATCAATAGGAATGTTCAACTCTGTGAGGTGAATGCAATCATCACAAAGCAGTTTCTGAGAATGCTTCCGTTTAGTTAGGTGCAGTTATCCCGTTTCCAACGAAATCCTCAGAGAGGTCCAAATATCCACTTGTAGATTCTACAAAAAGTGTGTCTCAAACCTGCTCCATCCAAAGGAATGGTCAGCTCTGTGATTTAAACTCAATCATCACAAAGTATTTTCTGAGAATGCTTCTGTCTAGATTTTATGCGAAGATATACCCGTTTCGAACGAAGGCCACAGAGTGGTCCAAATAGCCAATTGCAGATCCTACAAAAAGAGTGTTTCAAACCTGAACTATCAAAGGAAGGTTCAACTCTGGGATTTGAATGCAAACATCACCAAGAAGTTTCTGAGAATGCTTCTGTTTAGTTTTTATGTGAAGATATTCCCGTTTCCAAAGACATCTTCGGAGAGGTCCACATATCCACTTGCAGATTCCACAAAAAGAGAGTTTCAACACTGCTCTATCCATAGGAGGGTTCAACTCTGTGAGTTGAATGCAATCATCACAGAGAAGTTTCTGAGAAGGCTTCTCTCCAGTTTTTATGTGACCATAATTCGTTTTCCACCACAGGCCTGAAAGCGCTCCAAATGTCCACTTGCAGACACTACGAAAAGCATGTTTCAGAACTACTCTATGAAAAGCAACGTGAAACTCTGGGAGTTGAACACAAACATCACAGAGAAGTTTCTGAGAATGCTTCTGTTAAGCTTTTCTGTGAAGATTCTCCCGTTTCCAACGAAATCTTCAAAGAGGTCGAAATATCCACTTGCAGATTCCACAGAAAGAGTGATTGGAAACTGCTGTTTGAAAAGGAACCTTCAACTCTGTGAGTTGAATGCAATCATCACAAAGAAGTTTCTGACAATGCTTCTATCTAGCTTTTACGGGAAGATAATTCCTTTTCCACCCCAGGCCTCAAACCTCCCCAAATGTCCACTTGCACATTCTGGAAAAAGAGTGTTTCAAAGCTTCTCTCTCGAAAGGAAAGTTCAACTCTGTGAGTTGAATGCAAGCATCACAAAGAAGTTTCTGAGAATGCTACTGTCTAGCTTTTATATGAAGCTATTTCCTTTACTACCATAGGCCTCAAAGCGGTCCATATCTCCACTTGCAGATTCTACACAAAGAGAGTTTCCAAACTGCTCTGTCAAAGGGAATGTTCAACTCTGTGACTTGAATGCAATCATCACAAAGTAGTTTCTGAGAATGCTTCTGTTTTAGTTCTGTGCGTTTTATCCCGTTTCCAACGAAATCCTCAGAGAGGCCCAAATATCCACTTGCAGATTCTACAAATAGTGTGTTTCGAAACTGCTCCATCCAAAGGAATGTTCAGCTCTGTGAGTTAAACTCAGTCGTCACCAAGAGTTTTCTGTGAATGCTTCTGTTTTAGTTCTGTGCGGTTTATCCCGTTTCCAACGAAATCCTCAGAGAGGACCAAACATCCACTTGCAGTTTCTACAAAAAGAGTGTTTCAAAGCTGCACTATCAAAGAAAGGTTCAGCACTGTGAGTTGAATGCAAACATCACGAAGAGGGCTCTGAGAATGCTTCTGTTTAGTTCTGTGCGGTTTATCCCGTTTCCAACGAAATCCTCAGAGAGGACCAAATATCCACTTGCAGTTTCTACAAGAAGAGTGTTTCAAAGCTGAACTATCAAAGAAAGGTTCAGCACTGTGAGTTGAATGCAAACATCACGAAGAGGGTTCTGAGAATGCTTCTGTCTTCTTTCTATAGGAAGTTATTTCCTTTACTACGGTAGGCCTCAAAGAAGTGCAATTATCCCCTTGCAGTTTCTACAAAAAGAGTGTTTCAAACCTGAACTATCAAAGAAAGGTTCCACACTGTGAGTTGAATGCAGACATCACGAAGAAGGTTCTGAGAATGCTTCTGTTTAGTCAGCTGAAATTATCCCGTTTCCAACGAATTCCTCAGAGAGGTCCAAATATGCACTTGCAGATTCTGCAGAAAGTGTGTTTCTAAACTGCTACATCGCAAGGAATGTTCAGCTCTGTGAGTTCCACTCAATCATCCCAAAGGATTTTCTGAGAAAGCTTCTGTCTAGATGTCATGTGAAGATATACCCGTTTCGAACGAAGGACACAGAGTGGTCCAAATATCCACTTGTAGATCCTGCAAAAAGAGTGTTTCAAACGTGAACTTTGAAAGGAAAGTTCAACTCTGGGATTTGAATGCAAACATCACAAAGAAGATTCTGAGACTGCTTCTGTATAGTTTTGATGTGAAGATGATTCCGTTTCCAACGAAATCTTCAAAGAGGTCTACATGTCCCCTTGCAGATGCCACAGAAAGAGAGTTTCAAAACTGCGCTCTCAAAAGGAGTGTTCAACTCCGTGAGTTGAATGCAGTCATCACAGAGAAGCTTCTGAGAATGCTTCTATCTAGTATTTAGGTGAAGATATTTCCTTTTCCACCACAAACCACAAAGCCCTCCAAACGTCCACTTGCAGATTCTAGAAAAAGAGTGTTTCATAGCTGCTCTTTCCAAAGGAAAGTTCAACTCTGGGAGTTGAATACAAACATCACCAAAAAGTTCCTGAGAATGCATCTGTCTAGTTTTTCTATGAAGCTATTCCCTTTACTACCATAGGCCTCAAAGCGCTCCAAATCTCCACTTGCACATTCCACAACAAGAGTGTTTCCAAACTGCTCTATCAATAGGAATGTTCAACTCTGTGAGGTGAATGCAATCATCACAAAGCAGTTTCTGAGAATGCTTCCGTTTAGTTAGGTGCAGTTATCCCGTTTCCAACGAAATCCTCAGAGAGGTCCAAATATCCACTTGTAGATTCTACAAAAAGTGTGTCTCAAACCTGCTCCATCCAAAGGAATGGTCAGCTCTGTGATTTAAACTCAATCATCACAAAGTATTTTCTGAGAATGCTTCTGTCTAGATTTTATGCGAAGATATACCCGTTTCGAACGAAGGCCACAGAGTGGTCCAAATAGCCACTTGCAGATCCTACAAAAAGAGTGTTTCAAACCTGAACTATCAAAGGAAGGTTCAACTCTGGGATTTGAATGCAAACATCACCAAGAAGTTTCTGAGAATGCTTCTGTTTAGTTTTTATGTGAAGATATTCCCGTTTCCAAAGACATCTTCGGAGAGGTCCACATATCCACTTGCAGATTCCACAAAAAGAGAGTTTCAACACTGCTCTATCCATAGGAGGGTTCAACTCTGTGAGTTGAATGCAATCATCACAGAGAAGTTTCTGAGAAGGCTTCTCTCCAGTTTTTATGTGACCATAATTCGTTTTCCACCACAGGCCTGAAAGCGCTCCAAATGTCCACTTGCAGACACTACGAAAAGCATGTTTCAGAACTACTCTATGAAAAGCAACGTGAAACTCTGGGAGTTGAACACAAACATCACAGAGAAGTTTCTGAGAATGCTTCTGTTTTAGTTCTGTGCGTTTTATCCCGTTTCCAACGAAATCCTCAGAGAGGCCCAAATATCCACTTGCAGATTCCACAGAAAGAGTGATTGGAAACTGCTGTTTGAAAAGGAACCTTCAACTCTGTGAGTTGAATGCAATCATCACAAAGAAGTTTCTGACAATGCTTCTGTTTTAGTTCTGTGCGGTTTATCCCGTTTCCAACGAAATCCTCAGAGAGGACCAAACATCCACTTGCAGTTTCTACAAAAAGAGTGTTTCAAAGCTGCACTATCAAAGAAAGGTTCAGCACTGTGAGTTGAATGCAAACATCACGAAGAGGGCTCTGAGAATTCTTCTGTTTAGTTCTGTGCGGTTTATCCCGTTTCCAACGAAATCCTCAGAGAGGACCAAATATCCACTTGCAGTTTCTACAAGAAGAGTGTTTCAAAGCTGAACTATCAAAGAAAGGTTCAGCACTGTGAGTTGAATGCAAACATCACGAAGAGGGTTCTGAGAATGCTTCTGTCTTCTTTCTATAGGAAGTTATTTCCTTTACTACGGTAGGCCTCAAAGAAGTGCAATTATCCCCTTGCAGTTTCTACAAAAAGAGTGTTTCAAACCTGAACTATCAAAGAAAGGTTCCACACTGTGAGTTGAATGCAGACATCACGAAGAAGGTTCTGAGAATGCTTCTGTTTAGTCAGCTGAAATTATCCCGTTTCCAACGAATTCCTCAGAGAGGTCCAAATATGCACTTGCAGATTCTGCAGAAAGTGTGTTTCTAAACTGCTACATCGCAAGGAATGTTCAGCTCTGTGAGTTCCACTCAATCATCCCAAAGAATTTTCTGAGAAAGCTTCTGTCTAGATGTCGTGTGAAGATATACCCGTTTCGAACGAAGGACACAGAGTGGTCCAAATATCCACTTGTAGATCCTGCAAAAAGAGTGTTTCAAACGTGAACTTTGAAAGGAAAGTTCAACTCTGGGATTTGAATGCAAACATCACAAAGAAGATTCTGAGACTGCTTCTGTATAGTTTTTATGTGAAGATGATTCCGTTTCCAACGAAATCTTCAAAGAGGTCTACATGTCCCCTTGCAGATGCCACAGAAAGAGAGTTTCAAAACTGCGCTCTCAAAAGGAGTGTTCAACTCCGTGAGTTGAATGCAGTCATCACAGAGAAGCTTCTGAGAATGCTTCTATCTAGTATTTAGGTGAAGATATTTCCTTTTCCACCACAAACCACAAAGCCCTCCAAACGTCCACTTGCAGATTCTAGAAAAAGAGTGTTTCATAGCTGCTCTTTCCAAAGGAAAGTTCAACTCTGGGAGTTGAATACAAACATCACCAAAAGGTTCCTGAGAATGCATCTGTCTAGTTTTTCTATGAAGCTATTCCCTTTACTACCATAGGCCTCAAAGCGCTCCAAATCTCCACTTGCACATTCCACAACAAGAGTGTTTCCAAACTGCTCTATCAATAGGAATGTTCAACTCTGTGAGGTGAATGCAATCATCACAAAGCAGTTTCTGAGAATGCTTCCGTTTAGTTAGGTGCAGTTATCCCGTTTCCAACGAAATCCTCAGAGAGGTCCAAATATCCACTTGTAGATTCTACAAAAAGTGTGTCTCAAACCTGCTCCATCCAAAGGAATGGTCAGCTCTGTGATTTAAACTCAATCATCACAAAGTATTTTCTGAGAATGCTTCTGTCTAGATTTTATGCGAAGATATACCCGTTTCGAACGAAGGCCACAGAGTGGTCCAAATAGCCACTTGCAGATCCTACAGAAAGAGTGTTTCAAACCTGAACTATCAAAGGAAGGTTCAACTCTGGGATTTGAATGCAAACATCACCAAGAAGTTTCTGAGAATGCTTCTGTTTAGTTTTTATGTGAAGATATTCCCGTTTCCAAAGACATCTTCGGAGAGGTCCACATATCCACTTGCAGATTCCACAAAAAGAGAGTTTCAACACTGCTCTATCCATAGGAGGGTTCAACTCTGTGAGTTGAATGCAATCATCACAGAGAAGTTTCTGAGAAGGCTTCTCTCCAGTTTTTATGTGACCATAATTCGTTTTCCACCACAGGCCTGAAAGCGCTCCAAATGTCCACTTGCAGACACTACGAAAAGCATGTTTCAGAACTACTCTATGAAAAGCAACGTGAAACTCTGGGAGTTGAACACAAACATCACAGAGAAGTTTCTGAGAATGCTTCTGTTTTAGTTCTGTGCGTTTTATCCCGTTTCCAACGAAATCCTCAGAGAGGCCCAAATATCCACTTGCAGATTCCACAGAAAGAGTGATTGGAAACTGCTGTTTGAAAAGGAACCTTCAACTCTGTGAGTTGAATGCAATCATCACAAAGAAGTTTCTGACAATGCTTCTGTTTTAGTTCTGTGCGGTTTATCCCGTTTCCAACGAAATCCTCAGAGAGGACCAAACATCCACTTGCAGTTTCTACAAAAAGAGTGTTTCAAAGCTGCACTATCAAAGAAAGGTTCAGCACTGTGAGTTGAATGCAAACATCACGAAGAGGGCTCTGAGAATTCTTCTGTCTTCTTTCTATAGGAAGTTATTTCCTTTACTACGGTACGCCTCAAAGAAGTGCAATTATCCCCTTGCAGTTTCTACAAAAAGAGTGTTTCAAACCTGAACTATCAAAGAAAGGTTCCACACTGTGAGTTGAATGCAGACATCACGAAGAAGGTTCTGAGAATGCTTCTGTTTAGTCAGCTGAAATTATCCCGTTTCCAACGAATTCCTCAGAGAGGTCCAAATATGCACTTGCAGATTCTGCAGAAAGTGTGTTTCTAAACTGCTACATCGCAAGGAATGTTCAGCTCTGTGAGTTCCACTCAATCATCACAAAGAATTTTCTGAGAAAGCTTCTGTCTAGATTTTATGCGAAGATATACCCGTTTCGAACGAAGGCCACAGAGTGGTCCAAATATCCACTTGCAGATCCTACAAAAAGAGTGTTTCAAACGTGAACTTTGAAAGGAAAGTTCAACTCTGGGATTTGAATGCAAACATCACAAAGAAGATTCTGAGACTGCTTCTGTTTAGTTTTTATGTGAAGATATTGCCGTTTCCAAAGACATCTTCGGAGAGGTCCACATATCCACTTGCAGATTCCACAAAAAGAGAGTTTCAACACTGCTCTATCCATAGGAGGGTTCAACTCTGTGAGTTGAATGCAATCATCACAGAGAAGTTTCTGAGAAGGCTTCTCTCCAGTTTTTATGTGACCATAATTCGTTTTCCACCACAGGCCTGAAAGCGCTCCAAATGTCCACTTGCAGACACTACGAAAAGCATGTTTCAGAACTACTCTATGAAAAGCAACGTGAAACTCTGGGAGTTGAACACAAACATCACAGAGAAGTTTCTGAGAATGCTTCTGTTTAGCTTTTCTGTGAAGATTCTCCCGTTTCCAACGAAATCTTCAAAGAGGTCGAAATATCCACTTGCAGATTCCACAGAAAGAGTGATTGGAAACTGCTGTTTGAAAAGGAACCTTCAACTCTGTGAGTTGAATGCAATCATCACAAAGAAGTTTCTGACAATGCTTCTATCTAGCTTTTACGGGAAGATAACTCCTTTTCCACCACAGGCCTCAAAGCTCCCCAAATGTCCACTTGCACATTCTGGAAAAAGAGTGTTTCAAAGCTTCTCTCTCGAAAGGAAAGTTCAACTCTGTGAGTTGAATGCAAGCATCACAAAGAAGTTTCTGAGAATGCTACTGTCTAGCTTTTATATGAAGCTATTTCCTTTACTACCATAGGCCTCAAAGCGGTCCATATCTCCACTTGCAGATTCTACACAAAGAGAGTTTCCAAACTGCTCTGTCAAAGGGAATGTTCAACTCTGTGACTTGAATGCAATCATCACAAAGTAGTTTCTGAGAATGCTTCTGTTTTAGTTCTGTGCGTTTTATCCCGTTTCCAACGAAATCCTCAGAGAGGCCCAAATATCCACTTGCAGATTCTACAAATAGTGTGTTTCGAAACTGCTCCATCCAAAGGAATGTTCAGCTCTGTGAGTTAAACTCAGTCGTCACCAAGAGTTTTCTGTGAATGCTTCTGTTTTAGTTCTGTGCGGTTTATCCCGTTTCCAACGAAATCCTCAGAGAGGACCAAACATCCACTTGCAGTTTCTACAAAAAGAGTGTTTCAAAGCTGCACTATCAAAGAAAGGTTCAGCACTGTGAGTTGAATGCAAACATCACGAAGAGGGCTCTGAGAATTCTTCTGTTTAGTTCTGTGCGGTTTATCCCGTTTCCAACGAAATCCTCAGAGAGGACCAAATATCCACTTGCAGTTTCTACAAGAAGAGTGTTTCAAAGCTGAACTATCAAAGAAAGGTTCAGCACTGTGAGTTGAATGCAAACATCACGAAGAGGGTTCTGAGAATGCTTCTGTCTTCTTTCTATAGGAAGTTATTTCCTTTACTACGGTAGGCCTCAAAGAAGTGCAATTATCCCCTTGCAGTTTCTACAAAAAGAGTGTTTCAAACCTGAACTATCAAAGAAAGGTTCCACACTGTGAGTTGAATGCAGACATCACGAAGAAGGTTCTGAGAATGCTTCTGTTTAGTCAGCTGAAATTATCCCGTTTCCAACGAATTCCTCAGAGAGGTCCAAATATGCACTTGCAGATTCTGCAGAAACTGTGTTTCTAAACTGCTATATCGCAAGGAATGTTCAGCTCTGTGAGTTCAACTCAATCATCCCAAAGAATTTTCTGAGAAAGCTTCTGTCTAGATGTCATGTGAAGATATACCCGTTTCGAACGAAGGACACAGAGTGGTCCAAATATCCACTTGTAGATCCTGCAAAAAGAGTGTTTCAAACGTGAACTTTGAAAGGAAAGTTCAACTCTGGGATTTGAATGCAAACATCACAAAGAAGATTCTGAGACTGCTTCTGTATAGTTTTTATGTGAAGATGATTCCGTTTCCAACGAAATCTTCAAAGAGGTCTACATGTCCCCTTGCAGATGCCACAGAAAGAGAGTTTCAAAACTGCGCTCTCAAAAGGAGTGTTCAACTCCGTGAGTTGAATGCAGTCATCACAGAGAAGCTTCTGAGAATGCTTCTATCTAGTATTTAGGTGAAGATATTTCCTTTTCCACCACAAACCACAAAGCCCTCCAAACGTCCACTTGCAGATTCTAGAAAAAGAGTGTTTCATAGCTGCTCTTTCCAAAGGAAAGTTCAACTCTGGGAGTTGAATACAAACATCACCAAAAAGTTCCTGAGAATGCATCTGTCTAGTTTTTCTATGAAGCTATTCCCTTTACTACCATAGGCCTCAAAGCGCTCCAAATCTCCACTTGCACATTCCACAACAAGAGTGTTTCCAAACTGCTCTATCAATAGGAATGTTCAACTCTGTGAGGTGAATGCAATCATCACAAAGCAGTTTCTGAGAATGCTTCCGTTCAGTTAGGTGCAGTTATCCCGTTTCCAACGAAATCCTCAGAGAGGTCCAAATATCCACTTGTAGATTCTACAAAAAGTGTGTCTCAAACCTGCTCCATCCAAAGGAATGTTCAGCTCTGTGAGTTCAACTCAATCATCACAAAGTATTTTCTGAGAATGCTTCTGTCTAGATTTTATGCGAAGATATACCCGTTTCGAACGAAGGCCACAGAGTGGTCCAAATAGCCACTTGCAGATCCTACAAAAAGAGTGTTTCAAACCTGAACTATCAAAGGAAGGTTCAACTCTGGGATTTGAATGCAAACATCACCAAGAAGTTTCTGAGAATGCTTCTGTTTAGTTTTTATGTGAAGATATTCCCGTTTCCAAAGACATCTTCGGAGAGGTCCACATATCCACTTGCAGATTCGACAAAAAGAGAGTTTCAACACTGCTCTATCCATAGGAGGGTTCAACTCTGTGAGTTGAATGCAATCATCACAGAGAAGTTTCTGAGAAGGCTTCTCTCCAGTTTTTATGTGACCATAATTCGTTTTCCACCACAGGCCTGAAAGCGCTCCAAATGTCCACTTGCAGACACTACGAAAAGCATGTTTCAGAACTACTCTATGAAAAGCAACGTGAAACTCTGGGAGTTGAACACAAACATCACAGAGAAGTTCTGAGAATGCTTCTGTTTTAGTTCTGTGCGTTTTATCCCGTTTCCAACGAAATCCTCAGAGAGGCCCAAATATCCACTTGCAGATTCCACAGAAAGAGTGATTGGAAACTGCTGTTTGAAAAGGAACCTTCAACTCTGTGAGTTGAATGCAATCATCACAAAGAAGTTTCTGACAATGCTTCTGTTTTAGTTCTGTGCGGTTTATCCCGTTTCCAACGAAATCCTCAGAGAGGACCAAACATCCACTTGCAGTTTCTACAAAAAGAGTGTTTCAAAGCTGCACTATCAAAGAAAGGTTCAGCACTGTGAGTTGAATGCAAACATCACGAAGAGGGCTCTGAGAATTCTTCTGTTTAGTTCTGTGCGGTTTATCCCGTTTCCAACGAAATCCTCAGAGAGGACCAAATATCCACTTGCAGTTTCTACAAGAAGAGTGTTTCAAAGCTGAACTATCAAAGAAAGGTTCAGCACTGTGAGTTGAATGCAAACATCACGAAGAGGGTTCTGAGAATGCTTCTGTCTTCTTTCTATAGGAAGTTATTTCCTTTACTACGGTAGGCCTCAAAGAAGTGCAATTATCCCCTTGCAGTTTCTACAAAAAGAGTGTTTCAAACCTGAACTATCAAAGAAAGGTTCCACACTGTGAGTTGAATGCAGACATCACGAAGAAGGTTCTGAGAATGCTTCTGTTTAGTCAGCTGAAATTATCACGTTTCCAACGAATTCCTTAGAGAGGTCCAAATATGCACTTGCAGATTCTGCAGAAAGTGTGTTTCTAAACTGCTACATCGCAAGGAATGTTCAGCTCTGTGAGTTCCACTCAATCATCCCAAAGAATTTTCTGAGAAAGCTTCTGTCTAGATGTCATGTGAAGATATACCCGTTTCGAACTTAGGACACAGAGTGGTCCAAATATCCACTTGTAGATCCTGCAAAAAGAGTGTTTCAAACGTGAACTTTGAAAGGAAAGTTCAACTCTGGGATTTGAATGCAAACATCACAAAGAAGATTCTGAGACTGCTTCTGTATAGTTTTTATGTGAAGATGATTCCGTTTCCAACGAAATCTTCAAAGAGGTCTACATGTCCCCTTGCAGATGCCACAGAAAGAGAGTTTCAAAACTGCGCTCTCAAAAGGAGTGTTCAACTCCGTGAGTTGAATGCAGTCATCACAGAGAAGCTTCTGAGAATGCTTCTATCTAGTATTTAGGTGAAGATATTTCCTTTTCCCCCACAAACCACAAAGCCCTCCAAACGTCCTCTTGCAGATTCTAGAAAAAGAGTGTTTCACAGCTGCTCTTTCCAAAGGAAAGTTCAACTCTGGGAGTTGAATACAAACATCACCAAAAAGTTCCTGAGAATGCATCTGTCTAGTTTTTCTATGAAGCTATTCCCTTTACTACCATAGGCCTCAAAGCGCTCCAAATCTCCACTTGCACATTCCACAACAAGAGTGTTTCCAAACTGCTCTATCAATAAGAATGTTCAACTCTGTGAGGTGAATGCAATCATCACAAAGCAGTTTCTGAGAATGCTTCCGTTTAGTTAGGTGCAGTTATCCCGTTTCCAACGAAATCCTCAGAGAGGTCCAAATATCCACTTGTAGATTCTACAAAAAGTGTGTCTCAAACCTGCTCCATCCAAAGGAATGTTCAGCTCTGTGATTTAAACTCAATCATCACAAAGTATTTTCTGAGAATGCTTCTGTCTAGATTTTATGCGAAGATATACCCGTTTCGAACGAAAGCCACAGAGTGGTCCAAATAGCCACTTGCAGATCCTACAAAAAGAGTGTTTCAAACCTGAACTATCAAAGGAAGGTTCAACTCTGGGATTTGAATGCAAACATCACCAAGAAGTTTCTGAGAATGCTTCTGTTTAGTTTTTATGTGAAGATATTCCCGTTTCCAAAGACATCTTCGGAGAGGTCCACATATCCGCTTGCAGATTCCACAAAAAGAGAGTTTCAACACTGCTCTATCCATAGGAGGGTTCAACTCTGTGAGTTGAATGCAATCATCTCAGAGAAGTTTCTGAGAAGGCTTCTCTCCAGTTTTTATGTGACCATAATTCGTTTTCCACCACAGGCCTGAAAGCGCTCCAAATGTCCACTTGCAGACACTACGAAAAGCATGTTTCAGAACTACTCTATGAAAAGCAATGTGAAACTCTGGGAGTTGAACACAAACATCACAGAGAAGTTTCTGAGAATGCTTCTGTTTAGCTTTTCTGTGAAGATACTCCCGTTTCCAACGAAATCTTCAAAGAGGTCCAAATATCCACTTGCAGATTCCACAGAAAGAGTGATTGGAAACTGCTGTTTGAAAAGGAACCTTCAACTCTGTGAGTTGAATGCAATCATCACAAAGAAGTTTCTGACAATGCTTCTATCTAGCTTTTACGGGAAGATAATTCCTTTTCCACCACAGGCCTCAAAGCCCTCCAAATGTCCACTTGCAGATTCTGGAAAAAGAGTGTTTCAAAGCTTCTCTCTCGAAAGGAAAGTTCAACTCTGTGAGTTGAATGCAAGCATCACAAAGAAGTTTCTGAGAATGCTACTGTCTAGCTTTTATATGAAGCTATTTCCTTTACTACCATAGGCCTCAAAGCGGTCCATATCTCCACTTGCAGATTCTACACAAAGAGAGTTTCCAAACTGCTCTGTCAAAGGGAATGTTCAACTCTGTGACTTGAATGCAATCATCACAAAGTAGTTTCTGAGAATGCTTCTGTTTAGTTCTGTGCGGTTTATCCCGTTTCCAACGAAATCCTCAGAGAGGCCCACATATCCACTTGCACATTCTACAAATAGTGTGTTTCGAAACTGCTCCATCCAAAGGAATGTTCAGCTCTGTGAGTTAAACTCAGTCGTCACCAAGAGTTTTCTGTGAATGCTTCTGTTTTAGTTCTGTGCGGTTTATCCCGTTTCCAACGAAATCCTCAGAGAGGTCCAAATATCTACTTGCAGTTTCTACAGAAAGACCGTTTCAAACCTGAACTATCAAAGAAAGGTTCAACACTGTGAGTTGAATGCAAACATCACGAAGAAGGTTCTGAGAATGCTTCTGTTTAGTTCTGTGCGGTTTATCCCGTTTCCAACGAAATCCTCAGAGAGGACCAAATATCCACTTGCAGTTTCTACAAAAAGAGTGTTTCAAAGCTGAACTATCAAAGAAAGGTTCAGCACCGTGAGTTGAATGCAAACATCACGAAGAGGGTTCTGAGAATGCTTCTGTCTTCTTTTTATAGGAAGTTATTTCCTTTACTACGGTAGGCCTCAAAGAAGTGCAATGATCCCCTTGCAGTTTCTACAAAAAGAGTGTTTCAAACCTGAACTATCAAAGAAAGGTTCCACACTGTGAGTTGAATGCAGACATCACGAAGAAGGTTCTGAGAATGCTTCTGTTTAGTCAGCTGAAATTATCCCGTTTCCAACGAATTCCTCAGAGAGGTCCACATATGCACTTGCAGATTCTGCAGAAAGGGTGATTCTAAACTGCTACATCGCAAGGAGTGTTCAGCTCTGTTTGCTCAACTCAATCATCACAAAGAATTTTCTGAGAAAGCTTCTGTCTAGATGTCATGTGAAGATATACCCGTTTCGAACGGAGGACACGGAGTGGTCCAAATATCCACTTGTAGATCCTGCAAAAAGAGTGTTTCAAACGTGAACTTTGAAAGGAAAGTTCAACTCTGGGATTTGAATGCAAACATCACAAAGAAGATTCTGAGACTGCTTCTGTATAGTTTTTATGTGAAGATGATTCCGTTTCCAACGAAATCTTCAAAGAGGTCCACATGTCCCCTTGCGGATGCCACAGAAGGAGAGTTTCAAAACTGCGCTCTCAAAAGGAGTGTTCAACTCCGTGAGTTGAATGCAGTCATCACAGAGAAGCTTCTGAGAATGCTTCTATCTAGTATTTAGGTGAAGATATTTCCTTTTCCACCACAAACCACAAAGCCCTCCAAACGTCCACTTGCAGATTCTAGAAAAAGAGTGTTTCATAGCTGCTCTTTCCAAAGGAAAGTTCAACTCTGGGAGTTGAATACAAACATCACCAAAAAGTTCCTGAGAATGCATCTGTCTAGTTTTTCTATGAAGCTATTCCCTTTACTACCATAGGCCTCAAAGCGCTCCAAATCTCCTCTTGCACATTCCACAAGAAGAGTGTTTCCAAACTGCTCTATCAATAGGAATGTTCAACTCTGTGAGGTGAATGCAATCATCACAAAGCAGTTTCTGAGAATGCTTCCGTTTAGTTAGGTGCAGTTATCCCGTTTCCAACGAAATCCTCAGAGAGGTCCAAATATCCACTTGTAGATTCTACAAAAGGTGTGTCTCAAACCTGCTCCATCCAAAGGAATGTTCAGCTCTGTGAGTTAAACTCAATCATCACAAAGTATTTTCTGAGAATGCTTCTGTCTAGATTTTATGCGAAGATGTACCCGTTTCGAACGAAGGCCACAGAGTGGTCCAAATATCCACTTGCAGATCCTACAAAAAGAGTGTTTCAAACCTGAACTATCAAAGGAAGGTTCAACTCTGGGATTTGAATGCAAACATCACCAAGAAGTTTCTGAGAATGCTTCTGTTTAGTTTTTATGTGAAGATATTCCCGTTTCCAAAGACATCTTCGGAGAGGTCCACATATCCACTTGCAGATTCCACAAAAAGAGAGTTTCAACACTGCTCTATCCATAGGAGGGTTCAACTCTGTGAGTTGAATGCAATCATCACAGAGAAGTTTCTGAGAAGGCTTCTCTCCAGTTTTTATGTGACCATAATTCGTTTTCCACCACAGGCCTGAAAGCGCTCCAAATGTCCACTTGTAGACACTACGAAAAGCATGTTTCAGAACTACTCTATGAAAAGCAATGTGAAACTCTGGGAGTTGAACACAAACATCACAGAGAAGTTTCTGAGAATGCTTCTGTTTAGCTTTCCTGTGAAGATTCTCCCGTTTCCAACGAAATCTTCAAAATAGGTCCAAATATCCACTTGCAGATTCCACACAAAGAGTGATTGGAAACTGCTCTTTGAAAAGGAACCTTCAACTCTGTGAGTTGAATGCAATCATCACAAAGAAGTTTCTGACAATGCTTCTATCTAGCTTTTACGGGAAGATAATTCCTTTTCCACCACAGGCCTCAAAGCCCTCCAAATGTCCACTTGCAGATTCTGGAAAAAGAGTGTTTCAAAGCTTCTCTCTCGAAAGGAAATTTCAACTCTGTGAGTTGAATGCAAGCATCACAAAGAAGTTTCTGAGAATGCTACTGTCTAGCTTTTATATGAAGCTATTTCCTTTACTACCATAGGCCTCAAAGCGGTCCATATCTCCACTTGCAGATTCTACACAAAGAGAGTTTCCAAACTGCTCTGTCAAAGGGAATGTTCAACTCTGTGACTTGAATGCAATCATCACAAAGTAGTTTCTGAGAATGCTTCTGTTTAGTTCTGTGCGGTTTATCCCGTTTCCAACGAAATCCTCAGAGAGGCCCAAATATCCACTTGCACATTCTACAAATAGTGTGTTTCGAAACTGCTCCATCCAAAGGAATGTTCAGCTCTGTGAGTTAAACTCAGTCGTCACCAAGAGTTTTCTGTGAATGCTTCTGTTTTAGTTCTGTGCGGGTTATCCCGTTTCCAACGAAATCCTCAGAGAGGTCCAAATATCTACTTGCAGTTTCTACAGAAAGACCGTTTCAAACCTGAACTATGAAAGAAAGGTTCAACACTGTGAGTTGAATGCAAACATCACGAAGAAGGTTCTGAGAATGCTTCTGTTTAGTTCTGTGCGGTTTATCCCTTTTCCAACGAAATCCTCAGAGAGGACCAAATATCCACTTGCAGTTTCTACAAGAAGAGTGTTTCAAAGCTGAACTATCAAAGAAAGGTTCAGCACTGTGAGTTGAATGCAAACATCACGAAGAGGATTCTGAGAATGCTTCTGTCTTCTTTCTATAGGAAGTTATTTCCTTTACTACGGTAGGCCTCAAAGAAGTGCAATTATCCCCTTGCAGTTTCTACAAAAAGAGTGTTTCAAACCTGAACTATCAAAGAAAGGTTCCACACTGTGAGTTGAATGCAGACATCACGAAGAAGGTTCTGAGAATGCTTCTGTTTAGTCAGCTGAAATTATCCCGTTTCCAACGAATTCCTCAGAGAGGTCCAAATATGCACTTGCAGATTCTGCAGAAAGTGTGTTTCTAAACTGCTACATCGCAAGGAATGTTCAGCTCTGTGAGTTCCACTCAATCATCCCAAAGAATTTTCTGAGAAAGCTTCTGTCTAGATGTCATGTGAAGATATACCCGTTTCGAACGAAGGACACAGAGTGGTCCAAATATCCACTTGTAGATCCTGCAAAAAGAGTGTTTCAAACGTGAACTTTGAAAGGAAAGTTCAACTCTGGGATTTGAATGCAAACATCACAAAGAAGATTCTGAGACTGCTTCTGTATAGTTTTTATGTGAAGATGATTCCGTTTCCAACGAAATCTTCAAAGAGGTCCACATGTCCCCTTGCGGATGCCACAGAAAGAGAGTTTCAAAACTGCGCTCTCAAAAGGAGTGTTCAACTCCGTGAGTTGAATGCAGTCATCACAGAGAAGCTTCTGAGAATGCTTCTCTCTAGTATTTAGGTGAAGATATATCCTTTTCCACCACAAACCACAAAGCCCTCCAAACGTCCACTTGCAGATTCTAGAAAAAGAGTGTTTCATAGCTGCTCTTTCCAAAGGAAAGTTCAACTCTGGGAGTTGAATACAAACATCACCAAAAAGTTCCTGAGAATGCATCTGTCTAGTTTTTCTATGAAGCTATTCCCTTTACTACCATAGGCCTCAAAGCGCTCCAAATCTCCATTTGCACATTCCACAACAAGAGTGTTTCCAAACTGCTCTATCAATAGGAATGTTCAACTCTGTGAGGTGAATGCAATCATCACAAAGCAGTTTCTGAGAATGCTTCCGTTTAGTTAGGTGCAGTTATCCCGTTTCCAACGAAATCCTCAGAGAGGTCCAAATATCCACTTGTAGATTCTACAAAAAGTGTGTCTCAAACCTGCTCCATCCAAAGGAATGTTCAGCTCTGTGATTTAAACTCAATCATCACAAAGTATTTTCTGAGAATGTTTCTGTCTAGATTTTATGCGAAGATATACCCGTTTCGAACGAAGGCCACAGAGTGGTCCAAATAGCCACTTGCAGATCCTACAAAAAGAGTGTTTCAAACCTGAACTATCAAAGGAAGGTTCAACTCTGGGATTTGAATGCAAACATCACCAAGAAGTTTCTGAGAATGCTTCTGTTTAGTTTTTATGTGAAGATATTCCCGTTTCCAAAGACATCTTCGGAGAGGTCCACATATCCACTTGCAGATTCCACAAAAAGAGAGTTTCAACACTGCTCTATCCATAGGAGGGTTCAACTCTGTGAGTTGAATGCAATCATCACAGAGAAGTTTCTGAGAAGGCTTCTCTCCAGTTTTTATGTGACCATAATTCGTTTTCCACCACAGGCCTGAAAGCGCTCCAAATGTCCACTTGCAGACACTACGAAAAGCATGTTTCAGAACTACTCTATGAAAAGCAACGTGAAACTCTGGGAGTTGAACACAAACATCACAGAGAAGTTTCTGAGAATGCTTCTGTTTTAGTTCTGTGCGTTTTATCCCGTTTCCAACGAAATCCTCAGAGAGGCCCAAATATCCACTTGCAGATTCCACAGAAAGAGTGATTGGAAACTGCTGTTTGAAAAGGAACCTTCAACTCTGTGAGTTGAATGCAATCATCACAAAGAAGTTTCTGACAATGCTTCTGTTTTAGTTCTGTGCGGTTTATCCCGTTTCCAACGAAATCCTCAGAGAGGACCAAACATCCACTTGCAGTTTCTACAAAAAGAGTGTTTCAAAGCTGCACTATCAAAGAAAGGTTCAGCACTGTGAGTTGAATGCAAACATCACGAAGAGGGCTCTGAGAATTCTTCTGTTTAGTTCTGTGCGGTTTATCCCGTTTCCAACGAAATCCTCAGAGAGGACCAAATATCCACTTGCAGTTTCTACAAGAAGAGTGTTTCAAAGCTGAACTATCAAAGAAAGGTTCAGCACTGTGAGTTGAATGCAAACATCACGAAGAGGGTTCTGAGAATGCTTCTGTCTTCTTTCTATAGGAAGTTATTTCCTTTACTACGGTAGGCCTCAAAGAAGTGCAATTATCCCCTTGCAGTTTCTACAAAAAGAGTGTTTCAAACCTGAACTATCAAAGAAAGGTTCCACACTGTGAGTTGAATGCAGACATCACGAAGAAGGTTCTGAGAATGCTTCTGTTTAGTCAGCTGAAATTATCCCGTTTCCAACGAATTCCTCAGAGAGGTCCAAATATGCACTTGCAGATTCTGCAGAAAGTGTGTTTCTAAACTGCTACATCGCAAGGAATGTTCAGCTCTGTGAGTTCCACTCAATCATCCCAAAGAATTTTCTGAGAAAGCTTCTGTCTAGATGTCGTGTGAAGATATACCCGTTTCGAACGAAGGACACAGAGTGGTCCAAATATCCACTTGTAGATCCTGCAAAAAGAGTGTTTCAAACGTGAACTTTGAAAGGAAAGTTCAACTCTGGGATTTGAATGCAAACATCACAAAGAAGATTCTGAGACTGCTTCTGTATAGTTTTTATGTGAAGATGATTCCGTTTCCAACGAAATCTTCAAAGAGGTCTACATGTCCCCTTGCAGATGCCACAGAAAGAGAGTTTCAAAACTGCGCTCTCAAAAGGAGTGTTCAACTCCGTGAGTTGAATGCAGTCATCACAGAGAAGACTTCTGAGGATGCTTCTATCTAGTATTTAGGTGAAGATATTTCCTTTTCCACCACAAACCACAAAGCCCTCCAAACGTCCACTTGCAGATTCTAGAAAAAGAGTGTTTCATAGCTGCTCTTTCCAAAGGAAAGTTCAACTCTGGGAGTTGAATACAAACATCACCAAAAAGTTCCTGAGAATGCATCTGTCTAGTTTTTCTATGAAGCTATTCCCTTTACTACCATAGACCTCAAAGCGCTCCAAATCTCCACTTGCACATTCCACAACAAGAGTGTTTCCAAACTGCTCTATCAATAGGAATGTTCAACTCTGTGAGGTGAATGCAATCATCACAAAGCAGTTTCTGAGAATGCTTCCGTTTAGTTAGGTGCAGTTATCCCGTTTCCAAAGAAATCCTCAGAGAGGTCCAAATATCCACTTGTAGATTCTACAAAAAGTGTGTCTCAAACCTGCTCCATCCAAAGGAATGTTCAGCTCTGTGATTTAAACTCAATCATCACAAAGTATTTTCTGAGAATGCTTCTGTCTAGATTTTATGCGAAGATATACCCGTTTCGAACGAAGGCCACAGAGTGGTCCAAATAGCCACTTGCAGATCCTACAAAAAGAGTGTTTCAAACCTGAACTATCAAAGGAAGGTTCAACTCTGGGATTTGAATGCAAACATCACCAAGAAGTTTCTGAGAATGCTTCTGTTTAGTTTTTATGTGAAGATATTCCCGTTTCCAAAGACATCTTCGGAGAGGTCCACATATCCACTTGCAGATTCCACAAAAAGAGAGTTTCAACACTGCTCTATCCATAGGAGGGTTCAACTCTGTGAGTTGAATGCAATCATCACAGAGAAGTTTCTGAGAAGGCTTCTCTCCAGTTTTTATGTGACCATAATTCGTTTTCCACCACAGGCCTGAAAGCGCTCCAAATGTCCACTTGCAGACACTACGAGAAGCATGTTTCAGAACTACTCTATGAAAAGCAACGTGAAACTCTGGGAGTTGAACACAAACATCACAGAGAAGTTTCTGAGAATGCTTCTGTTTAGCTTTTCTGTGAAGATTCTCCCGTTTCCAACGAAATCTTCAAAGAGGTCGAAATATCCACTTGCAGATTCCACAGAAAGAGTGATTGGAAACTGCTGTTTGAAAAGGAACCTTCAACTCTGTGAGTTGAATGCAATCATCACAAAGAAGTTTCTGACAATGCTTCTATCTAGCTTTTACGGGAAGATAATTCCTTTTCCACCACAGGCCTCAAAGCTCCCCAAATGTCCACTTGCACATTCTGGAAAAAGAGTGTTTCAAAGCTTCTCTCTCGAAAGGAAAGTTCAACTCTGTGAGTTGAATGCAAGCATCACAAAGAAGTTTCTGAGAATGCTACTGTCTAGCTTTTATATGAAGCTATTTCCTTTACTACCATAGGCCTCAAAGCGGTCCATATCTCCACTTGCAGATTCTACACAAAGAGAGTTTCCAAACTGCTCTGTCAAAGGGAATGTTCAACTCTGTGACTTGAATGCAATCATCACAAAGTAGTTTCTGAGAATGCTTCTGTTTAGTTCAGTGCGGTTTATCCCGTTTGCAACGAAATCCTCAGAGAGGCCCAAATATCCACTTGCAGATTCTACAAATAGTGTGTTTCGAAACTGCTCCATTCAAAGGAATCTTCAGCTCTGTGAGTTAAACTCAGTCGTCACCAAGAGTTTTCTGTGAATGCTTCTGTTTTAGTTCTGTGCGGGTTATCCCGTTTCCAACGAAATCCTCAGAGAGGTCCAAATATCTACTTGCAGTTTCTACAGAAAGACCGTTTCAAACCTGAGCTATCAAAGAAAGGTTCAACACTGTGAGTTGAATGCAAACATCACGAAGAAGGTTCTAAGAATGCTTCTGTTTAGTTCTGTGTGGTTTATCACGTTTCCAAGGAAATCCTCAGAGAGGACCAAATATCCACTTGCAGTTTCTACAAGAAGAGTGTTTCAAAGCTGAACTATCAAAGAAAGGTTCAGCACTGTGAGTTGAATGCAAACATCACGAAGAGGGTTCTGAGAATGCTTCTGTCTTCTTTCTATAGGAAGTTATTTCCTTTACTACGGTAGGCCTCAAAGAAGTGCAATTATCCCCTTGCAGTTTCTACAAAAAGAGTGTTTCAAACCTGAACTATCAAAGAAAGGTTCCACACTGTGAGTTGAATGCAGACATCACGAAGAAGGTTCTGAGAATGCTTCTGTTTAGTCAGCTGAAATTATCCCGTTTCCAACGAATTCCTCAGAGAGGTCCAAATATGCACTTGCAGATTCTGCAGAAAGTGTGTTTCTAAACTGCTACATCGCAAGGAATGTTCAGCTCTGTGAGTTCCACTCAATCATCCCAAAGAATTTTCTGAGAAAGCTTCTGTCTAGATGTCGTGTGAAGATATACCCGTTTCGAACGAAGGACACAGAGTGGTCCAAATATCCACTTGTAGATCCTGCAAAAAGAGTGTTTCAAACGTGAACTTTGAAAGGAAAGTTCAACTCTGGGATTTGAATGCAAACATCACAAAGAAGATTCTGAGACTGCTTCTGTATAGTTTTTATGTGTTAGATGATTCCGTTTCCAACGAAATCTTCAAAGAGGTCTACATGTCCCCTTGCAGATGCCACAGAAAGAGAGTTTCAAAACTGCGCTCTCAAAAGGAGTGTTCAACTCCGTGAGTTGAATGCAGTCATCACAGAGAAGCTTCTGAGAATGCTTCTATCTAGTATTTAGGTGAAGATATTTCCTTTTCCACCACAAACCACAAAGCCCTCCAAACGTCCACTTGCAGATTCTAGAAAAAGAGTGTTTCATAGCTGCTCTTTCCAAAGGAAAGTTCAACTCTGGGAGTTGAATACAAACATCACCAAAAAGTTACCTGAGAATGCATCTGTCTAGTTTTTCTATGAAGCTATTCCCTTTACTACCATAGGCCTCAAAGCGCTCCAAATCTCCACTTGCACATTCCACAACAAGAGTGTTTCCAAACTGCTCTATCAATAGGAATGTTCAACTCTGTGAGGTGAATGCAATCATCACAAAGCAGTTTCTGAGAATGCTTCCGTTTAGTTAGGTGCAGTTATCCCGTTTCCAACGAAATCCTCAGAGAGGTCCAAATATCCACTTGTAGATTCTACAAAAGGTGTGTCTCAAACCTGCTCCATCCAAAGGAATGTTCAGCTCTGTGAGTTAAACTCAATCATCACAAAGTATTTTCTGAGAATGCTTCTCTCCAGTTTTTATGTGACCATAATTCGTTTTCCACCACAGGCCTGAAAGCGCTCCAAATGTCCACTTGCAGACACTACGAAAAGCATGTTTCAGAACTACTCTATGAAAAGCAACGTGAAACTCTGGGAGTTGAACACAAACATCACAGAGAAGTTTCTGAGAATGCTTCTGTTTTAGTTCTGTGCGTTTTATCCCGTTTCCAACGAAATCCTCAGAGAGGCCCAAATATCCACTTGCAGATTCCACAGAAAGAGTGATTGGAAACTGCTGTTTGAAAAGGAACCTTCAACTCTGTGAGTTGAATGCAATCATCACAAAGAAGTTTCTGACAATGCTTCTGTTTTAGTTCTGTGCGGTTTATCCCGTTTCCAACGAAATCCTCAGAGAGGACCAAACATCCACTTGCAGTTTCTACAAAAAGAGTGTTTCAAAGCTGCACTATCAAAGAAAGGTTCAGCACTGTGAGTTGAATGCAAACATCACGAAGAGGGCTCTGAGAATTCTTCTGTTTAGTTCTGTGCGGTTTATCCCGTTTCCAACGAAATCCTCAGAGAGGACCAAATATCCACTTGCAGTTTCTACAAGAAGAGTGTTTCAAAGCTGAACTATCAAAGAAAGGTTCAGCACTGTGAGTTGAATGCAAACATCACGAAGAGGGTTCTGAGAATGCTTCTGTCTTCTTTCTATAGGAAGTTATTTCCTTTACTACGGTAGGCCTCAAAGAAGTGCAATTATCCCCTTGCAGTTTCTACAAAAAGAGTGTTTCAAACCTGAACTATCAAAGAAAGGTTCCACACTGTGAGTTGAATGCAGACATCACGAAGAAGGTTCTGAGAATGCTTCTGTTTAGTCAGCTGAAATTATCCCGTTTCCAACGAATTCCTCAGAGAGGTCCAAATATGCACTTGCAGATTCTGCAGAAAGTGTGTTTCTAAACTGCTACATCGCAAGGAATGTTCAGCTCTGTGAGTTCCACTCAATCATCCCAAAGAATTTTCTGAGAAAGCTTCTGTCTAGATGTCGTGTGAAGATATACCCGTTTCGAACGAAGGACACAGAGTGGTCCAAATATCCACTTGTAGATCCTGCAAAAAGAGTGTTTCAAACGTGAACTTTGAAAGGAAAGTTCAACTCTGGGATTTGAATGCAAACATCACAAAGAAGATTCTGAGACTGCTTCTGTATAGTTTTTATGTGAAGATGATTCCGTTTCCAACGAAATCTTCAAAGAGGTCTACATGTCCCCTTGCAGATGCCACAGAAAGAGAGTTTCAAAACTGCGCTCTCAAAAGGAGTGTTCAACTCCGTGAGTTGAATGCAGTCATCACAGAGAAGCTTCTGAGAATGCTTCTATCTAGTATTTAGGTGAAGATATTTCCTTTTCCACCACAAACCACAAAGCCCTCCAAACGTCCACTTGCAGATTCTAGAAAAAGAGTGTTTCATAGATGCTCTTTCCAAAGGAAAGTTCAACTCTGGGAGTTGAATACAAACATCACCAAAAAGTTCCTGAGAATGCATCTGTCTAGTTTTTCTATGAAGCTATTCCCTTTACTACCATAGGCCTCAAAGCGCTCCAAATCTCCACTTGCACATTCCACAACAAGAGTGTTTCCAAACTGCTCTATCAATAGGAATGTTCAACTCTGTGAGGTGAATGCAATCATCACAAAGCAGTTTCTGAGAATGCTTCCGTTTAGTTAGGTGCAGTTATCCCGTTTCCAACGAAATCCTCAGAGAGGTCCAAATATCCACTTGTAGATTCTACAAAAAGTGTGTCTCAAACCTGCTCCATCCAAAGGAATGTTCAGCTCTGTGAGTTCAACTCAATCATCACAAAGTATTTTCTGAGAATGCTTCTGTCTAGCATTTTATGCGAAGATGTACCCGTTTCGAACGAAGGCCACAGAGTGGTCCAAATATCCACTTGCAGATCCTACAAAAAGAGTGTTTCAAACCTGAACTATCAAAGGAAGGTTCAACTCTGGGATTGGAATGCAAACATCACCAAGAAGTTTCTGAGAATGCTTCTGTTTAGTTTTTATGTGAAGATATTCCCGTTTCCAAAGACATCTTCGGAGAGGTCCACATATCCACTTGCAGATTCCACAAAAAGAGAGTTTCAACACTGCTCTATCCATAGGAGGGTTCAACTCTGTGAGTTGAATGCAATCATCACAGAGAAGTTTCTGAGAAGGCTCTCTCCAGTTTTTATGGGACCATAATTCGTTTTCCACCACAGGCCTGAAAGCGCTCCAAATGTCCACTTGCAGACACTACGAAAAGCATGTTTCAGAACTACTCTATGAAAAGCAATGTGAAACTCTGGGAGTTGAACACAAACATCACAGAGAAGTTTCTGAGAATGCTTCTGTTTAGCTTTTCTGTGAAGATTCTCCCGTTTCCAACGAAATCTTCAAAGAGGTCCAAATATCCACTTGCAGATTCCACAGAAAGAGTGTTTGGAAACTGCTGTTTGTAAAGGAACCTTCATCTCTGTGAGTTGAATGCAATCATCACAAAGAAGTTTCTGACAATGCTTCTATCTAGCTTTTACGGGAAGTTAATTCCTTTTCCACCACAGGCCTCAAAGCCCTCCAAATGTCCACTTGCAGATTCTGGAAAAAGAGTGTTTCAAAGCTTCTCTCTCGAAAGGAAAGTTCAACTCTGTGAGTTGAATGCAAGCATCACAAAGAAGTTTCTGAGAATGCTACTGTCTAGCTTTTATATGAAGCTATTTCCTTTACTACCATAGGCCTCAAAGCGGTCCATATCTCCACTTGCAGATTCTACACAAAGAGAGTTTCCAAACTGCTCTGTCAAAGGGAATGTTCAACTCTGTGACTTGAATGCAATCATCACAAAGTAGTTTCTGAGAATGCTTCTGTTTTAGTTCTGTGCGTTTTATCCCGTTTCCAACGAAATCCTCAGAGAGGCCCAAATATCCACTTGCAGATTCTACAAATAGTGTGTTTCGAAACTGCTCCATCCAAAGGAATGTTCAGCTCTGTGAGTTAAACTCAGTCGTCAACAAGAGTTTTCTGTGAATGCTTCTGTTTTAGTTCTGTGCGGTTTATCCCGTTTCCAACGAAATCCTCAGAGAGGTCCAAATATCTACTTGCAGTTTCTACAGACAGACCGTTTCAAACCTGAACTATCAAAGAAAGGTTCAACACCGTGAGTTGAATGCAAACATCACGAAGAAGGTTTTGAGAATGCTCTGTTTAGTTCTGTGCGGTTTATCCCGTTTCCAACGAAATCCTCAGAGAGGACCAAATATCCACTTGCAGTTTCTACAAGAAGAGTGTTTCAAAGCTGAACTATCAAAGAAAGGTTCAGCACTGTGAGTTGAATGCAAACATCACGAAGAGGGTTCTGAGAATGCTTTCTGTCTTCTTTCTATAGGAAGTTATTTCCTTTACTACGGTAGGCCTCAAAGAAGTGCAATTATCCCCTTGCAGTTTCTACAAAAAGAGTGTTTCAAACCTGAACTATCAAAGAAAGGTTCCACACTGTGAGTTGAATGCAGACATCACGAAGAAGGTTCTGAGAATGCTTCTGTTTAGTCAGCTGAAATTATCCCGTTTCCAACGAATTCCTCAGAGAGGTCCAAATATGCACTTGCAGATTCTGCAGAAAGTGTGTTTCTAAACTGCTACATCGCAAGGAATGTTCAGCTCTGTGAGTTCCACTCAATCATCCCAAAGAATTTTCTGAGAAAGCTTCTGTCTAGATGTCGTGTGAAGATATACCCGTTTCGAACGAAGGACACAGAGTGGTCCAAATATCCACTTGTAGATCCTGCAAAAAGAGTGTTTCAAACGTGAACTTTGAAAGGAAAGTTCAACTCTGGGATTTGAATGCAAACATCACAAAGAAGATTCTGAGACTGCTTCTGTATAGTTTTTATGTGAAGATGATTCCGTTTCCAACGAAATCTTCAAAGAGGTCTACATGTCCCCTTGCAGATGCCACAGAAAGAGAGTTTCAAAACTGCGCTCTCAAAAGGAGTGTTCAACTCCGTGAGTTGAATGCAGTCATCACAGAGAAGCTTCTGAGAATGCTTCTATCTAGTATTTAGGTGAAGATATTTCCTTTTCCACCACAAACCACAAAGCCCTCCAAACGTCCACTTGCAGATTCTAGAAAAAGAGTGTTTCATAGCTGCTCTTTCCAAAGGAAAGTTCAACTCTGGGAGTTGAATACAAACATCACCAAAAAGTTCCTGAGAATGCATCTGTCTAGTTTTTCTATGAAGCTATTCCCTTTACTACCATAGGCCTCAAAGCGCTCCAAATCTCCACTTGCACATTCCACAACAAGAGTGTTTCCAAACTGCTCTATCAATAGGAATGTTCAACTCTGTGAGGTGAATGCAATCATCACAAAGCAGTTTCTGAGAATGCTTCCGTTTAGTTAGGTGCAGTTATCCCGTTTCCAACGAAATCCTCAGAGAGGTCCAAATATCCACTTGTAGATTCTACAAAAAGTGTGTCTCAAACCTGCTCCATCCAAAGGAATGTTCAGCTCTGTGATTTAAACTCAATCATCACAAAGTATTTTCTGAGAATGCTTCTGTCTAGATTTTATGCGAAGATATACCCGTTTCGAACGAAGGCCACACAATGGTCCAAATAGCCACTTGCAGATCCTACAAAAAGAGTGTTTCAAACCTGAACTATCAAAGGAAGGTTCAACTCTGGGATTTGAATGCAAACATCACCAAGAAGTTTCTGAGAATGCTTCTGTTTAGTTTTTATGTGAAGATATTCCCGTTTCCAAAGACATCTTCGGAGAGGTCCACATATCCACTTGCAGATTCCACAAAAAGAGAGTTTCAACACTGCTCTATCCATAGGAGGGTTCAACTCTGTGAGTTGAATGCAATCATCACAGAGAAGTTTCTGAGAAGGCTTCTCTCCAGTTTTTATGTGACCATAATTCGTTTTCCACCACAGGCCTGAAAGCGCTCCAAATGTCCACTTGCAGACACTACGAAAAGCATGTTTCAGAACTACTCTATGAAAAGCAACGTGAAACTCTGGGAGTTGAACACAAACATCACAGAGAAGTTTCTGAGAATGCTTCTGTTTTAGTTCTGTGCGTTTTATCCCGTTTCCAACGAAATCCTCAGAGAGGCCCAAATATCCACTTGCAGATTCCACAGAAAGAGTGATTGGAAACTGCTGTTTGAAAAGGAACCTTCAACTCTGTGAGTTGAATGCAATCATCACAAAGAAGTTTCTGACAATGCTTCTGTTTTAGTTCTGTGCGGTTTATCCCGTTTCCAACGAAATCCTCAGAGAGGACCAAATATCCACTTGCAGGTTCTACAAAAAGAGTGTTTCAAAGCTGCACTATCAAAGAAAGGTTCAGCACTGTGAGTTGAATGCAAACATCACGAAGAGGGCTCTGAGAATTCTTCTGTTTAGTTCTGTGCGGTTTATCCCGTTTCCAACGAAATCCTCAGAGAGGACCAAATATCCACTTGCAGTTTCTACAAGAAGAGTGTTTCAAAGCTGAACTATCAAAGAAAGGTTCAGCACTGTGAGTTGAATGCAAACATCACGAAGAGGGTTCTGAGAATGCTTCTGTCTTCTTTCTATAGGAAGTTATTTCCTTTACTACGGTAGGCCTCAAAGAAGTGCAATTATCCCCTTGCAGTTTCTACAAAAAGAGTGTTTCAAACCTGAACTATCAAAGAAAGGTTCCACACTGTGAGTTGAATGCAGACATCACGAAGAAGGTTCTGAGAATGCTTCTGTTTAGTCAGCTGAAATTATCCCGTTTCCAACGAATTCCTCAGAGAGGTCCAAATATGCACTTGCAGATTCTGCAGAAAGTGTGTTTCTAAACTGCTACATCGCAAGGAATGTTCAGCTCTGTGAGTTCCACTCAATCATCCCAAAGAATTTTCTGAGAAAGCTTCTGTCTAGATGTCGTGTGAAGATATACCCGTTTCGAACGAAGGACACAGAGTGGTCCAAATATCCACTTGTAGATCCTGCAAAAAGAGTGTTTCAAACGTGAACTTTGAAAGGAAAGTTCAACTCTGGGATTTGAATGCAAACATCACAAAGAAGATTCTGAGACTGCTTCTGTATAGTTTTTATGTGAAGATGATTCCGTTTCCAACGAAATCTTCAAAGAGGTCTACATGTCCCCTTGCAGATGCCACAGAAAGAGAGTTTCAAAACTGCGCTCTCAAAAGGAGTGTTCAACTCCGTGAGTTGAATGCAGTCATCACAGAGAAGCTTCTGAGAATGCTTCTGTCTAGTATTTAGGTGAAGATATTTCCTTTTCCACCACAAACCACAAAGCCCTCCAAACGTCCACTTGCAGATTCTAGAAAAAGAGTGTTTCATAGCTGCTCTTTCCAAAGGAAAGTTCAACTCTGGGAGTTGAATACAAACATCACCAAAAAGTTCCTGAGAATGCATCTGTCTAGTTTTTCTATGAAGCTATTCCCTTTACTACCATAGGCCTCAAAGCGCTCCAAATCTCCACTTGCACATTCCACAACAAGAGTGTTTCCAAACTGCTCTATCAATAGGAATGTTCAACTCTGTGAGGTGAATGCAATCATCACAAAGCAGTTTCTGAGAATGCTTCCGTTTAGTTAGGTGCAGTTATCCCGTTTCCAACGAAATCCTCAGAGAGGTCCAAATATCCACTTGTAGATTCTACAAAAAGTGTGTCTCAAACCTGCTCCATCCAAAGGAATGGTCAGCTCTGTGATTTAAACTCAATCATCACAAAGTATTTTCTGAGAATGCTTCTGTCTAGATTTTATGCGAAGATATACCCGTTTCGAACGAAGGCCACAGAGTGGTCCAAATAGCCACTTGCAGATCCTACAGAAAGAGTGTTTCAAACCTGAACTATCAAAGGAAGGTTCAACTCTGGGATTTGAATGCAAACATCACCAAGAAGTTTCTGAGAATGCTTCTGTTTAGTTTTTATGTGAAGATATTCCCGTTTCCAAAGACATCTTCGGAGAGGTCCACATATCCACTTGCAGATTCCACAAAAAGAGAGTTTCAACACTGCTCTATCCATAGGAGGGTTCAACTCTGTGAGTTGAATGCAATCATCACAGAGAAGTTTCTGAGAAGGCTTCTCTCCAGTTTTTATGTGACCATAATTCGTTTTCCACCACAGGCCTGAAAGCGCTCCAAATGTCCACTTGCAGACACTACGAAAAGCATGTTTCAGAACTACTCTATGAAAAGCAACGTGAAACTCTGGGAGTTGAACACAAACATCACAGAGAAGTTTCTGAGAATGCTTCTGTTTAGCTTTTCTGTGAAGATTCTCCCGTTTCCAACGAAATCTTCAAAGAGGTCGAAATATCCACTTGCAGATTCCACAGAAAGAGTGATTGGAAACTGCTGTTTGAAAAGGAACCTTCAACTCTGTGAGTTGAATGCAATCATCACAAAGAAGTTTCTGACAATGCTTCTATCTAGCTTTTACGGGAAGATAATTCCTTTTCCACCACAGGCCTCAAAGCCCTCCAAATGTCCACTTGCAGATTCCGGAAAAAGAGTGTTTCAAAGCTTCTCTCTCCAAAGGAAAGTTCAACTCTGTGAGTTGAATGCAAGCATCACAAAGAAGTTTCTGAGAATGCTACTGTCTAGCTTTTATATGAAGCTATTTCCTTTACTACCATAGGCCTCAAAGCGGTCCATATCTCCACTTGCAGATTCTACACAAAGAGAGTTTCCAAACTGCTCTGTCAAAGGGAATGTTCAACTCTGTGACTTGAATGCAATCATCACAAAGTAGTTTCTGAGAATGCTTCTGTTTATTTCTGTGCGGTTTATCCCGTTTCCAACGAAATCCTCAGAGAGGCCCAAATATCCACTTGCACATTCTACAAATAGTGTGTTTCGAAACTGCTCCATCCAAAGGAATGTTCAGCTCTGTGAGTTAAACTCAGTCGTCACCAAGAGTTTTCTGTGAATGCTTCTGTTTTAGTTCTGTGCGGTTTATCCCGTTTCCAACGAAATCCTCAGAGAGGTCCAAATATCTACTTGCAGTTTCTACAGAAAGACCGTTTCAAACCTGAACTATCAAAGAAAGGTTCAACACTGTGAGTTGAATGCAAACATCACGAAGAAGGTTCTGAGAATGCTTCTGTTTAGTTCTGTGCGGTTTATCCCGTTTCCAACGAAATCCTCAGAGAGGACCAAATATCCACTTGCAGTTTCTACAAGAAGAGTGTTTCAAAGCTGAACTATCAAAGAAAGGTTCAGCACTGTGAGTTGAATGCAAACATCACGAAGAGGGTTCTGAGAATGCTTCTGTCTTCTTTCTATAGGAAGTTATTTCCTTTACTACGGTAGGCCTCAAAGAAGTGCCATTATCCCCTTGCAGTTTCTACAAAAAGAGTGTTTCAAACCTGAACTATCAAAGAAAGGTTCCACACTGTGAGTTGAATGCAGACATCACGAAGAAGGTTCTGAGAATGCTTCTGTTTAGTCAGCTGAAATTATCCCGTTTCCAACGAATTCCTCAGAGAGGTCCAAATATGCACTTGCAGATTCTGCAGAAAGTGTGTTTCTAAACTGCTACATCGCAAGGAATGTTCAGCTCTGTGAGTTCCACTCAATCATCCCAAAGAATTTTCTGAGAAAGCTTCTGTCTAGATGTCATGTGAAGATATACCCGTTTCGAACGAAGGACACAGAGTGGTCCAAATATCCACTTGTAGATCCTGCAAAAAGAGTGTTTCAAACGTGAACTTTGAAAGGAAAGTTCAACTCTGGGATTTGAATGCAAACATCACAAAGAAGATTCTGAGACTGCTTCTGTATAGTTTTTATGTGAAGATGATTCCGTTTCCAACGAAATCTTCAAAGAGGTCAACATGTCCCCTTGCAGATGCTACAGAAAGAGAGTTTCAAAACTGCGCTCTCAAAAGGAGTGTTCAACTCCGTGAGTTGAATGCAGTCATCACAGAGAAGCTTCTGAGAATGCTTCTATCTAGTATTTAGGTGAAGATATTTCCTTTTCCACCACAAACCACAAAGCCCTCCAAACGTCCACTTGCAGATTCTAGAAAAAGAGTGTTTCATAGCTGCTCTTTCCAAAGGAAAGTTCAACTCTGGGAGTTGAATACAAACATCACCAAAAAGTTCCTGTGAATGCATCTGTCTAGATTTTCTATGAAGCTATTCCCTTTACTACCATAGGCCTCAAAGCGCTCCAAATCTGCACTTGCACATTCCACAACAAGAGTGTTTCCAAACTGCTCTATCAATAGGAATGGTCAACTCTGTGAGGTGAATGCAATCATCACAAAGCAGTTTCTGAGAATGCTTCCGTTTAGTTAGGTGCAGTTATCCCGTTTCCAACGAAATCCTCAGAGAGGTCCAAATATCCGCTTGTAGATTCTACAAAAAGTGTGTCTCAAACCTGCTCCATCCAAAGGAATGTTCAGCTCTGTGAGTTAAACTCAATCATCACAAAGTATTTTCTGAGAATGCTTCTGTCTAGATTTTATGCGAAGATGTACCCGTTTCGAACGAAGGCCACAGAGTGGTCCAAATAGCCACTTGCAGATCCTACAAAAAGAGTGTTTCAAACCTGAACTATCAAAGGAAGGTTCAACTCTGGGATTTGAATGCAAATATCACCAAGAAGTTTCTGAGAATGCTTCTGTTTAGTTTTTATGTGAAGATATTCCCGTTTCCAAAGACATCTTCGGAGAGGTCCACATATCCACTTGCAGATTCCACAAAAAGAGAGTTTCAACACTGCTCTATCCATAGGAGGGTTCAACTCTGTGAGTTGAATGCAATCATCACAGAGAAGTTTCTGAGAAGGCTTCTCTCCAGTTTTTATGTGACCATAATTCGTTTTCCACCACAGGCCTGAAAGCGCTCCAAATGTCCACTTGCAGACACTACGAAAAGCATGTTTCAGAACTACTCTATGAAAAGCAACGTGAAACTCTGGGAGTTGAACACAAACATCACAGAGAAGTTTCTGAGAATGCTTCTGTTTAGCTTTTCTGGGAAGATTCTCCCGTTTCCAACGAAATCTTCAAAGAGGTCGAAATATCCACTTGCAGATTCCACAGAAAGAGTGATTGGAAACTGCTGTTTGAAAAGGAACCTTCAACTCTGTGAGTTGAATGCAATCATCACAAAGAAGTTTCTGACAATGCTTCTATCTAGCTTTTACGGGAAGATAATTCCTTTTCCACCCCAGGCCTCAAAGCTCCCCAAATGTCCACTTGCACATTCTGGAAAAAGAGTGTTTCAAAGCTTCTCTCTCGAAAGGAAAGTTCAACTCTGTGAGTTGAATGCAAGCATCACAAAGAAGTTTCTGAGAATGCTACTGTCTAGCTTTTATATGAAGCTATTTCCTTTACTACCGTAGGCCTCAAAGCGGTCCATATCTCCACTTGCAGATTCTACACAAAGAGAGTTTCCAAACTGCTATGTCAAAGGGAATGTTCAACTCTGTGACTTGAATGCAATCATCACAAAGTAGTTTCTGAGAATGCTTCTGTTTTAGTTCTGTGCGTTTTATCCCGTTTCCAACGAAATCCTCAGAGAGGCCCAAATATCCACTTGCAGATTCTACAAATAGTGTGTTTCGAAACTGCTCCATCCAAAGGAATGTTCAGCTCTGTGAGTTAAACTCAGTCGTCACCAAGAGTTTTCTGTGAATGCTTCTGTTTTAGTTCTGTGCGGTTTATCCCGTTTCCAACGAAATCCTCAGAGAGGACCAAATATCCACTTGCAGTTTCTACAAAAAGAGTGTTTCAAAGCTGCACTATCAAAGAAAGGTTCAGCACTGTGAGTTGAATGCAAACATCACGAAGAGGGCTCTGAGAAATCTTCTGTTTAGTTCTGTGCGGTTTATCCCGTTTCCAACGAAATCCTCAGAGAGGACCAAATATCCACTTGCAGTTTCTACAAGAAGAGTGTTTCAAAGCTGAACTATCAAAGAAAGGTTCAGCACTGTGAGTTGAATGCAAACATCACGAAGAGGGTTCTGAGAATGCTTCTGTCTTCTTTTTATAGGAAGTTATTTCCTTTACTACGGTAGGCCTCAAAGAAGTGCAATTATCCCCTTGCAGTTTCTACAAAAAGAGTGTTTCAAACCTGAACTATCAAAGAAAGATTCCACACTGTGAGTTGAATGCAGACATCACGAAGAAGGTTCTGAGAATGCTTCTGTTTAGTCAGCTGAAATTATCCCGTTTCCAACGAATTCCTCAGAGAGGTCCAAATATGCACTTGCAGATTCTGCAGAAAGTGTGTTTCTAAACTGCTACATCGCAAGGAATGTTCAGCTCTGTGAGTTCAACTCAATCATCCCAAAGAATTTTCTGAGAAAGCTTCTGTCTAGATGTCATGTGAAGATATACCCGTTTCGAACGAAGGACACAGAGTGGTCCAAATATCCACTTGTAGATCCTGCAAAAAGAGTGTTTCAAACGTGAACTTTGAAAGGAAAGTTCAACTCTGGGATTTGAATGCAAACATCACAAAGAAGATTCTGAGACTGCTTCTGTATAGTTTTTATGTGAAGATGAATTCCGTTTCCAACGAAATCTTCAAAGAGGTCTACATGTCCCCTTGCAGATGCCACAGAAAGAGAGTTTCAAAACTGCGCTCTCAAAAGGAGTGTTCAACTCCGTGAGTTGAATGCAGTCATCACAGAGAAGCTTCTGAGAATGCTTCTATCTAGTATTTAGGTGAAGATATTTCCTTTTCCACCACAAACCACAAAGCCCTCCAAACGTCCACTTGCAGATTCTAGAAAAAGAGTGTTTCATAGCTGCTCTTTCCAAAGGAAAGTTCAACTCTGGGAGTTGAATACAAACATCACCAAAAAGTTCCTGAGAATGCATCTGTCTAGTTTTTCTATGAAGCTATTCCCTTTACTACCATAGGCCTCAAAGCGCTCCAAATCTCCACTTGCACATTCCACAACAAGAGTGTTTCCAAACTGCTCTATCAATAGGAATGTTCAACTCTGTGATGTGAATGCAATCATCACAAAGCAGTTTCTGAGAATGCTTCCGTTTAGTTAGGTGCAGTTATCCCGTTTCCAACGAAATCCTCAGAGAGGTCCAAATATCCACTTGTAGATTCTACAAAAAGTGTGTCTCAAACCTGCTCCATCCAAAGGAATGTTCAGCTCTGTGAGTTCAACTCAATCATCACAAACTATTTTCTGAGAATGCTTCTGTCTAGATTTTATGTGAAGATGTACCCGTTTCGAACGAAGGCCACAGAGTGGTCCAAATATCCACTTGCAGATTCTGCAACAAGAGCGTTTATGAACTGCTTTATCAATAGGAATGTTCAACTCTGTGAGGTGAATGCAATCATCACAAAGCAGTTTCTGAGAATGCTTCTGTTTAGTTTTTATGTGAAGATATTCCCGTTTCCAAAGACATCTTCGGAGAGGTCCACATATCCACTTGCAGATTCCACAAAAAGAGAGTTTCAACACTGCTCTATCCATAGGAGGGTTCAACTCTGTGAGTTGAATGCAATCATCACAGAGAAGTTTCTGAGAAGGCTTCTCTCCAGTTTTTATGTGACCATAATTCGTTTTCCACCACAGGCCTGAAAGCGCTCCAAATGTCCACTTGCAGACACTACGAAAAGCATGTTTCAGAACTACTCTATGAAAAGCAACGTGAAACTCTGGGAGTTGAACACAAACATCACAGAGAAGTTTCTGAGAATGCTTCTGTTTTAGTTCTGTGCGTTTTATCCCGTTTCCAACGAAATCCTCAGAGAGGCCCAAATATCCACTTGCAGATTCCACAGAAAGAGTGATTGGAAACTGCTGTTTGAAAAGGAACCTTCAACTCTGTGAGTTGAATGCAATCATCACAAAGAAGTTTCTGACAATGCTTCTGTTTTAGTTCTGTGCGGTTTATCCCGTTTCCAACGAAATCCTCAGAGAGGACCAAACATCCACTTGCAGTTTCTACAAAAAGAGTGTTTCAAAGCTGCACTATCAAAGAAAGGTTCAGCACTGTGAGTTGAATGCAAACATCACGAAGAGGGCTCTGAGAATTCTTCTGTTTAGTTCTGTGCGGTTTATCCCGTTTCCAACGAAATCCTCAGAGAGGACCAAATATCCACTTGCAGTTTCTACAAGAAGAGTGTTTCAAAGCTGAACTATCAAAGAAAGGTTCAGCACTGTGAGTTGAATGCAAACATCACGAAGAGGGTTCTGAGAATGCTTCTGTCTTCTTTCTATAGGAAGTTATTTCCTTTACTACGGTAGGCCTCAAAGAAGTGCAATTATCCCCTTGCAGTTTCTACAAAAAGAGTGTTTCAAACCTGAACTATCAAAGAAAGGTTCCACACTGTGAGTTGAATGCAGACATCACGAAGAAGGTTCTGAGAATGCTTCTGTTTAGTCAGCTGAAATTATCCCGTTTCCAACGAATTCCTCAGAGAGGTCCAAATATGCACTTGCAGATTCTGCAGAAAGTGTGTTTCTAAACTGCTCCATCGCAAGGAATGTTCAGCTCTGTGAGTTCCACTCAATCATCCCAAAGAATTTTCTGAGAAAGCTTCTGTCTAGATGTCGTGTGAAGATATACCCGTTTCGAACGAAGGACACAGAGTGGTCCAAATATCCACTTGTAGATCCTGCAAAAAGAGTGTTTCAAACGTGAACTTTGAAAGGAAAGTTCAACTCTGGGATTTGAATGCAAACATCACAAAGAAGATTCTGAGACTGCTTCTGTATAGTTTTTATGTGAAGATGATTCCGTTTCCAACGAAATCTTCAAAGAGGTCTACATGTCCCCTTGCAGATGCCACAGAAAGAGAGTTTCAAAACTGCGCTCTCAAAAGGAGTGTTCAACTCCGTGAGTTGAATGCAGTCATCACAGAGAAGCTTCTGAGAATGCTTCTATCTAGTATTTAGGTGAAGATATTTCCTTTTCCACCACAAACCACAAAGCCCTCCAAACTGTCCACTTGCAGATTCTAGAAAAAGAGTGTTTCATAGCTGCTCTTTCCAAAGGAAAGTTCAACTCTGGGAGTTGAATACAAACATCACCAAAAAGTTCCTGAGAATGCATCTGTCTAGTTTTTCTATGAAGCTATTCCCTTTACTACCATAGGCCTCAAAGCGCTCCAAATCTCCACTTGCACATTCCACAACAAGAGTGTTTCCAAACTGCTCTATCAATAGGAATGTTCAACTCTGTGAGGTGAATGCAATCATCACAAAGCAGTTTCTGAGAATGCTTCCGTTTAGTTAGGTGCAGTTATCCCATTTCCAACGAAATCCTCAGAGAGGTCCAAATATCCACTTGTAGATTCTACAAAAAGTGTGTCTCAAACCTGCTCCATCCAAAGGAATGTTCAGCTCTGTGAGTTCAACTCAATCATCACAAAGTATTTTCTGAGAATGCTTCTGTCTAGATTTTATGCGAAGATGTACCCGTTTCGAACGAAGGCCACAGAGTGGTCCAAATATCCACTTGCAGATCCTACAAAAAGAGTGTTTCAAACCTGAACTATCAAAGGAAGGTTCAACTCTGGGATTTGAATGCAAACATCACCAAGAAGTTTCTGAGAATGCTTCTGTTTAGTTTTTATGTGAAGATATTCCCGTTTCCAAAGACATCTTCGGAGAGGTCCACATATCCACTTGCAGATTCCACAAAAAGAGAGTTTCAACACTGCTCTATCCATAGGGAGGGTTCAACTCTGTGAGTTGAATGCAATCATCACAGAGAAGTTTCTGAGAAGGCTTCTCTCCAGTTTTTATGTGACCATAATTCGTTTTCCACCACAGGCCTGAAAGCGCTCCAAATGTCCACTTGCAGACACTACGAAAAGCATGTTTCAGAACTACTCTATGAAAAGCAACGTGAAACTCTGGGAGTTGAACACAAACATCACAGAGAAGTTTCTGAGAATGCTTCTGTTTAGCTTTTCTGTGAAGATTCTCCCGTTTCCAACGAAATCTTCAAAGAGGTCGAAATATCCACTTGCAGATTCCACAGAAAGAGTGATTGGAAACTGCTGTTTGAAAAGGAACCTTCAACTCTGTGAGTTGAATGCAATCATCACAAAGAAGTTTCTGACAATGCTTCTATCTAGCTTTTACGGGAAGATAATTCCTTTTCCAGCACAGGCCTCAAAGCTCCCCAAATGTCCACTTGCACATTCTGGAAAAAGAGTGTTTCAAAGCTTCTCTCTCGAAAGGAAAGTTCAACTCTGTGAGTTGAATGCAAGCATCACAAAGAAGTTTCTGAGAATGCTACTGTCTAGCTTTTATATGAAGCTATTTCCTTTACTACCATAGGCCTCAAAGCGGTCCATATCTCCACTTGCAGATTCTACACAAAGAGAGTTTCCAAACTGCTCTGTCAAAGGGAATGTTCAACTCTGTGACTTGAATGCAATCATCACAAAGTAGTTTCTGAGAATGCTTCTGTTTTAGTTCTGTGCGTTTTATCCCGTTTCCAACGAAATCCTCAGAGAGGCCCAAATATCCACTTGCAGATTCTACAAATAGTGTGTTTCGAAACTGCTCCATCCAAAGGAATGTTCAGCTCTGTGAGTTAAACTCAGTCGTCACCAAGAGTTTTCTGTGAATGCTTCTGTTTTAGTTCTGTGCGGTTTATCCCGGTTTCCAACGAAATCCTCAGAGAGGACCAAACATCCACTTGCAGTTTCTACAAAAAGAGTGTTTCAAAGCTGCACTATCAAAGAAAGGTTCAGCACTGTGAGTTGAATGCAAACATCACGAAGAGGGCTCTGAGAATTCTTCTGTTTAGTTCTGTGCGGTTTATCCCGTTTCCAACGAAATCCTCAGAGAGGACCAAATATCCACTTGCAGTTTCTACAAGAAGAGTGTTTCAAAGCTGAACTATCAAAGAAAGGTTCAGCACTGTGAGTTGAATGCAAACATCACGAAGAGGGTTCTGAGAATGCTTCTGTCTTCTTTCTATAGGAAGTTATTTCCTTTACTACGGTAGGCCTCAAAGAAGTGCAATTATCCCCTTGCAGTTTCTACAAAAAGAGTGTTTCAAACCTGAACTATCAAAGAAAGGTTCCACACTGTGAGTTGAATGCAGACATCACGAAGAAGGTTCTGAGAATGCTTCTGTTTAGTCAGCTGAAATTATCCCGTTTCCAACGAATTCCTCAGAGAGGTCCAAATATGCACTTGCAGATTCTGCAGAAAGTGTGTTTCTAAACTGCTACATCGCAAGGAATGTTCAGCTCTGTGAGTTCCACTCAATCATCCCAAAGAATTTTCTGAGAAAGCTTCTGTCTAGATGTCGTGTGAAGATATACCCGTTTCGAACGAAGGACACAGAGTGGTCCAAATATCCACTTGTAGATCCTGCAAAAAGAGTGTTTCAAACGTGAACTTTGAAAGGAAAGTTCAACTCTGGGATTTGAATGCAAACATCACAAAGAAGATTCTGAGACTGCTTCTGTATAGTTTTTATGTGAAGATGATTCCGTTTCCAACGAAATCTTCAAAGAGGTCTACATGTCCCCTTGCAGATGCCACAGAAAGAGAGTTTCAAAACTGCGCTCTCAAAAGGAGTGTTCAACTCCGTGAGTTGAATGCAGTCATCACAGAGAAGCTTCTGAGAATGCTTCTATCTAGTATTTAGGTGAAGATATTTCCTTTTCCACCACAAACCACAAAGCCCTCCAAACGTCCACTTGCAGATTCTAGAAAAAGAGTGTTTCATAGCTGCTCTTTCCAAAGGAAAGTTCAACTCTGGGAGTTGAATACAAACATCACCAAAAGGTTCCTGAGAATGCATCTGTCTAGTTTTTCTATGAAGCTATTCCCTTTACTACCACAGGCCTCAAAGCGCTCCAAATCTCCACTTGCACATTCCGCAACAAGAGTGTTTCCAAACTGCTCTATCAATAGGAATGTTCAACTCTGTGAGGTGAATGCAATCATCACAAAGCAGTTTCTGAGAATGCTTCCGTTTAGTTAGGTGCAGTTATCCCGTTTCCAACGAAATCCTCAGAGAGGTCCAAATATCCACTTGTAGATTCTACAAAAAGTGTGTCTCAAACCTGCTCCATCCAAAGGAATGGTCAGCTCTGTGATTTAAACTCAATCATCACAAAGTATTTTCTGAGAATGCTTCTGTCTAGATTTTATGCGAAGATATACCCGTTTCGAACGAAGGCCACAGAGTGGTCCAAATAGCCACTTGCAGATCCTACAGAAAGAGTGTTTCAAACCTGAACTATCAAAGGAAGGTTCAACTCTGGGATTTGAATGCAAACATCACCAAGAAGTTTCTGAGAATGCTTCTGTTTAGTTTTTATGTGAAGATATTCCCGTTTCCAAAGACATCTTCGGAGAGGTCCACATATCCACTTGCAGATTCCACAAAAAGAGAGTTTCAACACTGCTCTATCCATAGGAGGGTTCAACTCTGTGAGTTGAATGCAATCATCACAGAGAAGTTTCTGAGAAGGCTTCTCTCCAGTTTTTATGTGACCATAATTCGTTTTCCACCACAGGCCTGAAAGCGCTCCAAATGTCCACTTGCAGACACTACGAAAAGCATGTTTCAGAACTACTCTATGAAAAGCAACGTGAAACTCTGGGAGTTGAACACAAACATCACAGAGAAGTTTCTGAGAATGCTTCTGTTTTAGTTCTGTGCGTTTTATCCCGTTTCCAACGAAATCCTCAGAGAGGCCCAAATATCCACTTGCAGATTCCACAGAAAGAGTGATTGGAAACTGCTGTTTGAAAAGGAACCTTCAACTCTGTGAGTTGAATGCAATCATCACAAAGAAGTTTCTGACAATGCTTCTGTTTTAGTTCTGTGCGGTTTATCCCGTTTCCAACGAAATCCTCAGAGAGGACCAAACATCCACTTGCAGTTTCTACAAAAAGAGTGTTTCAAAGCTGCACTATCAAAGAAAGGTTCAGCACTGTGAGTTGAATGCAAACATCACGAAGAGGGCTCTGAGAATGCTTCTGTTTAGTTCTGTGCGGTTTATCCCGTTTCCAACGAAATCCTCAGAGAGGACCAAATATCCACTTGCAGTTTCTACAAGAAGAGTGTTTCAAAGCTGAACTATCAAAGAAAGGTTCAGCACTGTGAGTTGAATGCAAACATCACGAAGAGGGTTCTGAGAATGCTTCTGTCTTCTTTCTATAGGAAGTTATTTCCTTTACTACGGTAGGCCTCAAAGAAGTGCAATTATCCCCTTGCAGTTTCTACAAAAAGAGTGTTTCAAACCTGAACTATCAAAGAAAGGTTCCACACTGTGAGTTGAATGCAGACATCACGAAGAAGGTTCTGAGAATGCTTCTGTTTAGTCAGCTGAAATTATCCCGTTTCCAACGAATTCCTCAGAGAGGTCCAAATATGCACTTGCAGATTCTGCAGAAAGTGTGTTTCTAAACTGCTCCATCGCAAGGAATGTTCAGCTCTGTGAGTTCCACTCAATCATCCCAAAGAATTTTCTGAGAAAGCTTCTGTCTAGATGTCGTGTGAAGATATACCCGTTTCGAACGAAGGACACAGAGTGGTCCAAATATCCACTTGTAGATCCTGCAAAAAGAGTGTTTCAAACGTGAACTTTGAAAGGAAAGTTCAACTCTGGGATTTGAATGCAAACATCACAAAGAAGATTCTGAGACTGCTTCTGTATAGTTTTTATGTGAAGATGATTCCGTTTCCAACGAAATCTTCAAAGAGGTCTACATGTCCCCTTGCAGATGCCACAGAAAGAGAGTTTCAAAACTGCGCTCTCAAAAGGAGTGTTCAACTCCGTGAGTTGAATGCAGTCATCACAGAGAAGCTTCTGAGAATGCTTCTATCTAGTATTTAGGTGAAGATATTTCCTTTTCCACCACAAACCACAAAGCCCTCCAAACGTCCACTTGCAGATTCTAGAAAAAGAGTGTTTCATAGCTGCTCTTTCCAAAGGAAAGTTCAACTCTGGGAGTTGAATACAAACATCACCAAAAGGTTCCTGAGAATGCATCTGTCTAGTTTTTCTATGAAGCTATTCCCTTTACTACCATAGGCCTCAAAGCGCTCCAAATCTCCACTTGCACATTCCACAACAAGAGTGTTTCCAAACTGCTCTATCAATAGGAATGTTCAACTCTGTGACGTGAATGCAATCATCACAAAGCAGTTTCTGAGAATGCTTCCGTTTAGTTATGTGCAGTTATCCCGTTTCCAACGAAATCCTCAGAGAGGTCCAAATATCCACTTGTAGATTCTACAAAAAGTGTGTCTCAAACCTGCTCCATCCAAAGGAATGTTCAGCTCTGTGAGTTCAACTCAATCATCACAAAGTATTTTCTGAGAATGCTTCTGTCTAGATTTTATGCGAAGATGTACCCGTTTGGAACGAAGGCCACAGAGTGGTCCAAATATCCACTTGCAGATCCTACAAAAAGAGTGTTTCAAACCTGAACTATCAAAGGAAGGTTCAACTCTGGGATTTGAATGCAAACATCACCAAGAATTTTCTGAGAATGCTTCTGTTTAGTTTTTATGTGAAGATATTCCCGTTTCCAAAGACATCTTCGGAGAGGTCCACATATCCACTTGCAGATTCCACAAAAAGAGAGTTTCAACACTGCTCTATCCATAGGGAGGGTTCAACTCTGTGAGTTGAATGCAATCATCACAGAGAAGTTTCTGAGAAGGCTTCTCTCCAGTTTTTATGTGACCATAATTCGTTTTCCACCACAGGCCTGAAAGCGCTCCAAATGTCCACTTGTAGACACTACGAAAAGCATGTTTCAGAACTACTCTATGAAAAGCAATGTGAAACTCTGGGAGTTGAACACAAACATCACAGAGAAGTTTCTGAGAATGCTTCTGTTTTAGTTCTGTGCGTTTTATCCCGTTTCCAACGAAATCCTCAGAGAGGCCCAAATATCCACTTGCAGATTCCACAGAAAGAGTGATTGGAAACTGCTGTTTGAAAAGGAACCTTCAACTCTGTGAGTTGAATGCAATCATCACAAAGAAGTTTCTGACAATGCTTCTGTTTTAGTTCTGTGCGGTTTATCCCGTTTCCAACGAAATCCTCAGAGAGGACCAAACATCCACTTGCAGTTTCCACAAAAAGAGTGTTTCAAAGCTGCACTATCAAAGAAAGGTTCAGCACTGTGAGTTGAATGCAAACATCACGAAGAGGGCTCTGAGAATTCTTCTGTTTAGTTCTGTGCGGTTTATCCCGTTTCCAACGAAATCCTCAGAGAGGACCAAATATCCACTTGCAGTTTCTACAAGAAGAGTGTTTCAAAGCTGAACTATCAAAGAAAGGTTCAGCACTGTGAGTTGAATGCAAACATCACGAAGAGGGTTCTGAGAATGCTTCTGTCTTCTTTCTATAGGAAGTTATTTCCTTTACTACGGTAGGCCTCAAAGAAGTGCAATTATCCCCTTGCAGTTTCTACAAAAAGAGTGTTTCAAACCTGAACTATCAAAGAAAGGTTCCACACTGTGAGTTGAATGCAGACATCACGAAGAAGGTTCTGAGAATGCTTCTGTTTAGTCAGCTGAAATTATCCCGTTTCCAACGAATTCCTCAGAGAGGTCCAAATATGCACTTGCAGATTCTGCAGAAAGTGTGTTTCTAAACTGCTACATCGCAAGGAATGTTCAGCTCTGTGAGTTCCACTCAATCATCCCAAAGAATTTTCTGAGAAAGCTTCTGTCTAGATGTCGTGTGAAGATATACCCGTTTCGAACGAAGGACACAGAGTGGTCCAAATATCCACTTGTAGATCCTGCAAAAAGAGTGTTTCAAACGTGAACTTTGAAAGGAAAGTTCAACTCTGGGATTTGAATGCAAACATCACAAAGAAGATTCTGAGACTGCTTCTGTATAGTTTTTATGTGAAGATGATTCCGTTTCCAACGAAATCTTCAAAGAGGTCTACATGTCCCCTTGCAGATGCCACAGAAAGAGAGTTTCAAAACTGCGCTCTCAAAAGGAGTGTTCAACTCCGTGAGTTGAATGCAGTCATCACAGAGAAGCTTCTGAGAATGCTTCTATCTAGTATTTAGGTGAAGATATTTCCTTTTCCACCACAAACCACAAAGCCCTCCAAACGTCCACTTGCAGATTCTAGAAAAAGAGTGTTTCATAGCTGCTCTTTCCAAAGGAAAGTTCAACTCTGGGAGTTGAATACAAACATCACCAAAAAGTTCCTGAGAATGCATCTGTCTAGTTTTTCTATGAAGCTATTCCCTTTACTACCATAGGCCTCAAAGCGCTCCAAATCTCCACTTGCACATTCCACAACAAGAGTGTTTCCAAACTGCTCTATCAATAGGAATGTTCAACTCTGTGAGGTGAATGCAATCATCACAAAGCAGTTTCTGAGAATGCTTCCGTTTAGTTAGGTGCAGTTATCCCGTTTCCAACGAAATCCTCAGAGAGGTCCAAATATCCACTTGTAGATTCTACAAAAAGTGTGTCTCAAACCTGCTCCATCCAAAGGAATGGTCAGCTCTGTGATTTAAACTCAATCATCACAAAGTATTTTCTGAGAATGCTTCTGTCTAGATTTTAATGCGAAGATATACCCGTTTCGAACGAAGGCCACAGAGTGGTCCAAATAGCCACTTGCAGATCCTACAGAAAGAGTGTTTCAAACCTGAACTATCAAAGGAAGGTTCAACTCTGGGATTTGAATGCAAACATCACCAAGAAGTTTCTGAGAATGCTTCTGTTTAGTTTTTATGTGAAGATATTCCCGTTTCCAAAGACGTCTTCGGAGAGGTCCACGTATCCACTTGCAGATTCCACAAAAAGAGAGTTTCAACACTGCTCTATCCATAGGAGGGTTCAACTCTGTGAGTTGAATGCAATCATCACAGAGAAGTTTCTGAGAACGCTTCTCTCCAGTTTTTATGTGACCATAATTCGTTTTCCACCACAGGCCTGAAAGCGCTCCAAATGTCCACTTGTAGACACTACGAAAAGCATGTTTCAGAACTACTCTATGAAAAGCAATGTGAAACTCTGGGAGTTGAACACAAACATCACAGAGAAGTTTCTGAGAATGCTTCTGTTTAGCTTTCCTGTGAAGATTCTCCCGTTTCCAACGAAATCTTCAAAATAGGTCCAAATATCCACTTGCAGATTCCACACAAAGAGTGATTGGAAACTGCTCTTTGAAAAGGAACCTTCAACTCTGTGAGTTGAATGCAATCATCACAAAGAAGTTTCTGACAATGCTTCTATCTAGCTTTTACGGGAAGATAATTCCTTTTCCACCACAGGCCTCAAAGCCCTCCAAATGTCCACTTGCAGATTCTGGAAAAAGAGTGTTTCAAAGCTTCTCTCTCGAAAGGAAAGTTCAACTCTGTGAGTTGAATGCAAGCATCACAAAGAAGTTTCTGAGAATGCTACTGTCTAGCTTTTATATGAAGCTATTTCCTTTACTACCATAGGCCTCAAAGCGGTCCATATCTCCACTTGCAGATTCTACACAAAGAGAGTTTCCAAACTGCTCTGTCAAAGGGAATGTTCAACTCTGTGACTTGAATGCAATCATCACAAAGTAGTTTCTGAGAATGCTTCTGTTTAGTTCTGTGCGGTTTATCCCGTTTCCAACGAAATCCTCAGAGAGGCCCAAATATCCACTTGCACATTCTACAAATAGTGTGTTTCGAAACTGCTCCATCCAAAGGAATGTTCAGCTCTGTGAGTTAAACTCAGTCGTCACCAAGAGTTTTCTGTGAATGCTTCTGTTTTAGTTCTGTGCGGGTTATCCCGTTTCCAACGAAATCCTCAGAGAGGTCCAAATATCTACTTGCAGTTTCTACAGAAAGACCGTTTCAAACCTGAACTATCAAAGAAAGGTTCAACACTGTGAGTTGAATGCAAACATCACGAAGAAGGTTCTGAGAATGCTTCTGTTTAGTTCTGTGCAGTTTATCCCGTTTCCAACGAAATGCTCAGAGAGGACCAAATATCCACTTGCAGTTTCTACAAAAAGAGTGTTTCAAAGCTGAACTATCAAAGAAAGGTTCAGCACTGTGAGTTGAATGCAAACATCACGAAGAGGGTTCTGAGAATGCTTCTGTCTTCTTTTTATAGGAAGTTATTTCCTTTACTACGGTACTCCTCAAAGAGTGCAATTATCCCCTTGCAGTTTCTACAAAAAGAGTGTTTCAAACCTGAACTATCAAAGAAAGGTTCCACACTGTGAGTTGAATGCAGACATCACGAAGAAGGTTCTGAGAATGCTTCTGTTTAGTCAGCTGAAATTATCCCGTTTCCAACGAATTCCTCACAGAGGTCCAAATATGCACTTGCAGATTCTGCAGAAAGTGTGTTTCTAAACTGCTACATCGCAAGGAATGCTCAGCTCTGTGAGTTCAACTCAATCATCCCAAAGAATTTTCTGAGAAAGCTTCTGTCTAGATGTCATGTGAAGATATACCCGTTTCGAACGAAGGACACAGAGTGGTCCAAATATCCACTTGTAGATCCTGCAAAAAGAGTGTTTCAAACGTGAACTTTGAAAGGAAAGTTCAACTCGGGGATTTGAATGCAAACATCACAAAGAAGATTCTGAGACTGCTTCTGTATAGTTTTTATGTGAAGATGATTCCGTTTCCAACGAAATCTTCAAAGAGGTCTACATGTCCCCTTGCAGATGCCACAGAAAGAGAGTTTCAAAACTGCGCTCTCAAAAGGAGTGTTCAACTCCGTGAGTTGAATGCAGTCATCACAGAGAAGCTTCTGAGGATGCTTCTATCTAGTATTTAGGTGAAGATATTTCCTTTTCCACCACAAACCACAAAGCCCTCCAAACGTCCACTTGCAGATTCTAGAAAAAGAGTGTTTCATAGCTGCTCTTTCCAAAGGAAAGTTCAACTCTGGGAGTTGAATACAAACATCACCAAAAAGTTCCTGAGAATGCATCTGTCTAGTTTTTCTATGAAGCTATTCCCTTTACTACCACAGGCCTCAAAGCGCTCCAAATCTCCACTTGCACATTCCACAACAAGAGTGTTTCCAAACTGCTCTATCAATAGGAATGTTCAACTCTGTGAGGTGAATGCAATCATCACAAAGCAGTTTCTGAGAATGCTTCCGTTTAGTTAGGTGCAGTTATCCCGTTTCCAACGAAATCCTCAGAGAGGTCCAAATATCCACTTGTAGATTCTACAAAAAGTGTGTCTCAAACCTGCTCCATCCAAAGGAATGGTCAGCTCTGTGATTTAAACTCAATCATCACAAAGTATTTTCTGAGAATGCTTCTGTCTAGATTTTATGCGAAGATATACCCGTTTCGAACGAAGGCCACAGAGTGGTCCAAATAGCCACTTGCAGATCCTACAGAAAGAGTGTTTCAAACCTGAACTATCAAAGGAAGGTTCAACTCTGGGATTTGAATGCAAACATCACCAAGAAGTTTTCTGAGAATGCTTCTGTTTAGTTTTTATGTGAAGATATTCCCGTTTCCAAAGACATCTTCGGAGAGGTCCACATATCCACTTGCAGATTCCACAAAAAGAGAGTTTCAACACTGCTCTATCCATAGGAGGGTTCAACTCTGTGAGTTGAATGCAATCATCACAGAGAAGTTTCTGAGAAGGCTTCTCTCCAGTTTTTATGTGACCATAATTCGTTTTCCACCACAGGCCTGAAAGCGCTCCAAATGTCCACTTGCAGACACTACGAAAAGCATGTTTCAGAACTACTCTATGAAAAGCAACGTGAAACTCTGGGAGTTGAACACAAACATCACAGAGAAGTTTCTGAGAATGCTTCTGTTTTAGTTCTGTGCGTTTTATCCCGTTTCCAACGAAATCCTCAGAGAGGCCCAAATATCCACTTGCAGATTCCACAGAAAGAGTGATTGGAAACTGCTGTTTGAAAAGGAACCTTCAACTCTGTGAGTTGAATGCAATCATCACAAAGAAGTTTCTGACAATGCTTCTGTTTTAGTTCTGTGCGGTTTATCCCGTTTCCAACGAAATCCTCAGAGAGGACCAAACATCCACTTGCAGTTTCTACAAAAAGAGTGTTTCAAAGCTGCACTATCAAAGAAAGGTTCAGCACTGTGAGTTGAATGCAAACATCACGAAGAGGGCTCTGAGAATTCTTCTGTTTAGTTCTGTGCGGTTTATCCCGTTTCCAACGAAATCCTCAGAGAGGACCAAATATCCACTTGCAGTTTCTACAAGAAGAGTGTTTCAAAGCTGAACTATCAAAGAAAGGTTCAGCACTGTGAGTTGAATGCAAACATCACGAAGAGGGTTCTGAGAATGCTTCTGTCTTCTTTCTATAGGAAGTTATTTCCTTTACTACGGTAGGCCTCAAAGAAGTGCAATTATCCCCTTGCAGTTTCTACAAAAAGAGTGTTTCAAACCTGAGCTATCAAAGAAAGGTTCCACACTGTGAGTTGAATGCAGACATCACGAAGAAGGTTCTGAGAATGCTTCTGTTTAGTCAGCTGAAATTATCCCGTTTCCAACGAATTCCTCAGAGAGGTCCAAATATGCACTTGCAGATTCTGCAGAAAGTGTGTTTCTAAACTGCTACATCGCAAGGAATGTTCAGCTCTGTGAGTTCCACTCAATCATCCCAAAGAATTTTCTGAGAAAGCTTCTGTCTAGATGTCGTGTGAAGATATACCCGTTTCGAACGAAGGACACAGAGTGGTCCAAATATCCACTTGTAGATCCTGCAAAAAGAGTGTTTCAAACGTGAACTTTGAAAGGAAAGTTCAACTCTGGGATTTGAATGCAAACATCACAAAGAAGATTCTGAGACTGCTTCTGTATAGTTTTTATGTGAAGATGATTCCGTTTCCAACGAAATCTTCAAAGAGGTCTACATGTCCCCTTGCAGATGCCACAGAAAGAGAGTTTCAAAACTGCGCTCTCAAAAGGAGTGTTCAACTCCGTGAGTTGAATGCAGTCATCACAGAGAAGCTTCTGAGAATGCTTCTATCTAGTATTTAGGTGAAGATATTTCCTTTTCCACCACAAACCACAAAGCCCTCCAAACGTCCACTTGCAGATTCTAGAAAAAGAGTGTTTCATAGCTGCTCTTTCCAAAGGAAAGTTCAACTCTGGGAGTTGAATACAAACATCACCAAAAAGAAGTTCCTGAGAATGCATCTGTCTAGTTTTTCTATGAAGCTATTCCCTTTGCTACCACAGGCCTCAAAGCGCTCCAAATCTCCACTTGCACATTCCACAACAAGAGTGTTTCCAAACTGCTCTATCAATAGGAATGTTCAACTCTGTGAGGTGAATGCAATCATCACAAAGCAGTTTCTGAGAATGCTTCCGTTTAGTTAGGTGCAGTTATCCCGTTTCCAACGAAATCCTCAGAGAGGTCCAAATATCCACTTGTAGATTCTACAAAAAGTGTGTCTCAAACCTGCTCCATCCAAAGGAATGGTCAGCTCTGTGATTTAAACTCAATCATCACAAAGTATTTTCTGAGAATGCTTCTGTCTAGATTTTATGCGAAGATATACCCGTTTCGAACGAAGGCCACAGAGTGGTCCAAATAGCCACTTGCAGATCCTACAGAAAGAGTGTTTCAAACCTGAACTATCAAAGGAAGGTTCAACTCTGGGATTTGAATGCAAACATCACCAAGAAGTTTCTGAGAATGCTTCTGTTTAGTTTTTATGTGAAGATATTCCCGTTTCCAAAGACATCTTCGGAGAGGTCCACATATCCACTTGCAGATTCCACAAAAAGAGAGTTTCAACACTGCTCTATCCATAGGAGGGTTCAACTCTGTGAGTTGAATGCAATCATCACAGAGAAGTTTCTGAGAAGGCTTCCCTCCAGTTTTTATGGGACCATAATTCGTTTTCCACCACAGGCCTGAAAGCGCTCCAAATGTCCACTTGCAGACACTACGAAAAGCATGTTTCAGAACTACTCTATGAAAAGCAATGTGAAACACTGGGAGTTGAACACAAACATCACAGAGAAGTTTCTGAGGATGCTTCTGTTTTAGTTCTGTGCGTTTTATCCCGTTTCCAACGAAATCCTCAGAGAGGCCCAAATATCCACTTGCAGATTCCACAGAAAGAGTGATTGGAAACTGCTGTTTGAAAAGGAACCTTCAACTCTGTGAGTTGAATGCAATCATCACAAAGAAGTTTCTGACAATGCTTCTGTTTTAGTTCTGTGCGGTTTATCCCGTTTCCAACGAAATCCTCAGAGAGGACCAAACATCCACTTGCAGTTTCTACAAAAAGAGTGTTTCAAAGCTGCACTATCAAAGAAAGGTTCAGCACTGTGAGTTGAATGCAAACATCACGAAGAGGGCTCTGAGAATTCTTCTGTTTAGTTCTGTGCGGTTTATCCCGTTTCCAACGAAATCCTCAGAGAGGACCAAATATCCACTTGCAGTTTCTACAAGAAGAGTGTTTCAAAGCTGAACTATCAAAGAAAGGTTCAGCACTGTGAGTTGAATGCAAACATCACGAAGAGGGTTCTGAGAATGCTTCTGTCTTCTTTCTATAGGAAGTTATTTCCTTTACTACGGTAGGCCTCAAAGAAGTGCAATTATCCCCTTGCAGTTTCTACAAAAAGAGTGTTTCAAACCTGAACTATCAAAGAAAGGTTCCACACTGTGAGTTGAATGCAGACATCACGAAGAAGGTTCTGAGAATGCTTCTGTTTAGTCAGCTGAAATTATCCCGTTTCCAACGAATTCCTCAGAGAGGTCCAAATATGCACTTGCAGATTCTGCAGAAAGTGTGTTTCTAAACTGCTCCATCGCAAGGAATGTTCAGCTCTGTGAGTTCCACTCAATCATCCCAAAGAATTTTCTGAGAAAGCTTCTGTCTAGATGTCGTGTGAAGATATACCCGTTTCGAACGAAGGACACAGAGTGGTCCAAATATCCACTTGTAGATCCTGCAAAAAGAGTGTTTCAAACGTGAACTTTGAAAGGAAAGTTCAACTCTGGGATTTGAATGCAAACATCACAAAGAAGATTCTGAGACTGCTTCTGTATAGTTTTTATGTGAAGATGATTCCGTTTCCAACGAAATCTTCAAAGAGGTCTACATGTCCCCTTGCAGATGCCACAGAAAGAGAGTTTCAAAACTGCGCTCTCAAAAGGAGTGTTCAACTCCGTGAGTTGAATGCAGTCATCACAGAGAAGCTTCTGAGAATGCTTCTATCTAGTATTTAGGTGAAGATATTTCCTTTTCCACCACAAACCACAAAGCCCTCCAAACGTCCACTTGCAGATTCTAGAAAAAGAGTGTTTCATAGCTGCTCTTTCCAAAGGAAAGTTCAACTCTGGGAGTTGAATACAAACATCACCAAAAAGTTCCTGAGAATGCATCTGTCTAGTTTTTCTATGAAGCTATTCCCTTTACTACCATAGGCCTCAAAGCGCTCCAAATCTCCACTTGCACATTCCACAACAAGAGTGTTTCCAAACTGCTCTATCAATAGGAATGTTCAACTCTGTGAGGTGAATGCAATCATCACAAAGCAGTTTCTGAGAATGCTTCCGTTTAGTTAGGTGCAGTTATCCCGTTTCCAACGAAATCCTCAGAGAGGTCCAAATATCCACTTGTAGATTCTACAAAAAGTGTGTCTCAAACTTGCTCCACCCAAAGGAATGTTCAGCTCTTTGAGTTAAACTCAATCATCACAAAGTATTTTCTGAGAATGCTTCTGTCTAGATTTTATGCGAAGATATACCCGTTTCGAACGAAGGCCACAGAGTGGTCCAAATATCCACTTGCAGATCCTACAAAAAGAGTGTTTCAAACCTGAACTATCAAAGGAAGGTTCAACTCTGGGATTTGAATGCAAACATCACCAAGAAGTTTCTGAGAATGCTTCTGTTTAGTTTTTATGTGAAGATATTCCCGTTTCCAAAGACATCTTCGGAGAGGTCCACGTATCCACTTGCAGATTCCACAAAAAGAGAGTTTCAACACTGCTCTATCCATAGGAGGGTTCAACTCTGTGAGTTGAATGCAATCATCACAGAGAAGTTTCTGAGAAGGCTTCTCTCCAGTTTTTATGTGACCATAATTCGTTTTCCACCACAGGCCTGAAAGCGCTCCAAATGTCCACTTGTAGACACTACGAAAAGCATGTTTCAGAACTACTCTATGAAAAGCAATGTGAAACTCTGGGAGTTGAACACAAACATCACAGAGAAGTTTCTGAGAATGCTTCTGTTTAGCTTTCCTGTGAAGATTCTCCCGTTTCCAACGAAATCTTCAAAATAGGTCCAAATATCCACTTGCAGATTCCACACAAAGAGTGATTGGAAACTGCTCTTTGAAAAGGAACCTTCAACTCTGTGAGTTGAATGCAATCATCACAAAGAAGTTTCTGACAATGCTTCTATCTAGCTTTTACGGGAAGATAATTCCTTTTCCACCACAGGCCTCAAAGCCCTCCAAATGTCCACTTGCAGATTCTGGAAAAAGAGTGTTTCAAAGCTTCTCTCTCGAAAGGAAAGTTCAACTCTGTGAGTTGAATGCAAGCATCACAAAGAAGTTTCTGAGAATGCTACTGTCTAGCTTTTATATGAAGCTATTTCCTTTACTACCATAGGCCTCAAAGCGGTCCATATCTCCACTTGCAGATTCTACACAAAGAGAGTTTCCAAACTGCTCTGTCAAAGGGAATGTTCAACTCTGTGACTTGAATGCAATCATCACAAAGTAGTTTCTGAGAATGCTTCTGATTTAGTTCTGTGCGTTTTATCCCGTTTCCAACGAAATCCTCAGAGAGGCCCAAATATCCACTTGCACATTCTACAAATAGTGTGTTTCGAAACTGCTCCATCCAAAGGAATGTTCAGCTCTGTGAGTTAAACTCAGTCGTCACCAAGAGTTTTCTGTGAATGCTTCTGTTTTAGTTCTCTGGGATTTATCCCGTTTCCAACGAAATCCTCAGAGAGGACCAAATATCCACTTGCAGTTTCTACAAAAAGAGTGTTTCAAAGCTGCACTATCAAAGAAAGGTTCAGCACTGTGAGTTGAATGCAAACATCACGAAGAGGGCTCTGAGAATGCTTCTGTTTAGTTCTGTGCGGTTTATCCCTTTTCCAACGAAATCCTCAGAGAGGACCAAATATCCACTTGCAGTTTCTACAAGAAGAGTGTTTCAAAGCTGAACTATCAAAGAAAGGTTCAGCACTGTGAGTTGAATGCAAACATCACGAAGAGGGTTCTGAGAATGCTTCTGTCTTCTTTCTATAGGAAGTTATTTCCTTTACTACGGTAGGCCTCAAAGAAGTGCAATTATCCCCTTGCAGTTTCTACAAAAAGAGTGTTTCAAACCTGAACTATCAAAGAAAGGTTCCACACTGCGAGTTGAATGCAGACATCACGAAGAAGGTTCTGAGAATGCTTCTGTTTAGTCAGCTGAAATTATCCCGTTTCCAACGAATTCCTCAGAGAGGTCCAAATATGCACTTGCAGATTCTGCAGAAAGTGTGTTTCTAAACTGCTACATCGCAAGGAATGTTCAGCTCTGTGAGTTCCACTCAATCATCCCAAAGAATTTTCTGAGAAAGCTTCTGTCTAGATGTCATGTGAAGATATACCCGTTTCGAACGAAGGACACAGAGTGGTCCAAATATCCACTTGTAGATCCTGCAAAAAGAGTGTTTCAAACGTGAACTTTGAAAGGAAAGTTCAACTCTGGGATTTGAATGCAAACATCACAAAGAAGATTCTGAGACTGCTTCTGTATAGTTTTGATGTGAAGATGATTCCGTTTCCAACGAAATCTTCAAAGAGGTCTACATGTCCCCTTGCAGATGCCACAGAAAGAGAGTTTCAAAACTGCGCTCTCAAAAGGAGTGTTCAACTCCGTGAGTTGAATGCAGTCATCACAGAGAAGCTTCTGAGAATGCTTCTATCTAGTATTTAGGTGAAGATATTTCCTTTTCCACCACAAACCACAAAGCCCTCCAAACGTCCACTTGCAGATTCTAGAAAAAGAGTGTTTCATAGCTGCTCTTTCCAAAGGAAAGTTCAACTCTGGGAGTTGAATACAAACATCACCAAAAAGTTCCTGAGAATGCATCTGTCTAGTTTTTCTATGAAGCTATTCCCTTTACTACCATAGGCCTCAAAGCGCTCCAAATCTCCACTTGCACATTCCACAACAAGAGTGTTTCCAAACTGCTCTATCAATAGGAATGTTCAACTCTGTGAGGTGAATGCAATCATCACAAAGCAGTTTCTGAGAATGCTTCCGTTTAGTTAGGTGCAGTTATCCCGTTTCCAACGAAATCCTCAGAGAGGTCCAAATATCCACTTGTAGATTCTACAAAAAGTGTGTCTCAAACCTGCTCCATCCAAAGGAATGTTCAGCTCTGTGAGTTAAACTCAATCATCACAAAGTATTTTCTGAGAATGCTTCTGTCTAGATTTTATGCGAAGATATACCCGTTTCGAACGAAGGCCACAGAGTGGTCCAAATATCCACTTGCAGATCCTACAAAAAGAGTGTTTCAAACCTGAACTATCAAAGGAAGGTTCAACTCTGGGATTTGAATGCAAACATCACCAAGAAGTTTCTGAGAATGCTTCTGTTTAGTTTTTATGTGAAGATATTCCCGTTTCCAAAGACATCTTCGGAGAGGTCCACATATCCACTTGCAGATTCCACAAAAAGAGAGTTTCAACACTGCTCTATCCATAGGAGGGTTCAACTCTGTGAGTTGAATGCAATCATCACAGAGAAGTTTCTGAGAAGGCTTCTCTCCAGTTTTTATGTGACCATAATTCGTTTTCCACCACAGGCCTGAAAGCGCTCCAAATGTCCACTTGTAGACACTACGAAAAGCATGTTTCAGAACTACTCTATGAAAAGCAATGTGAAACTCTGGGAGTTGAACACAAACATCACAGAGAAGTTTCTGAGAATGCTTCTGTTTAGCTTTCCTGTGAAGATTCTCCCGTTTCCAACGAAATCTTCAAAATAGGTCCAAATATCCACTTGCAGATTCCACACAAAGAGTGATTGGAAACTGCTCTTTGAAAAGGAACCTTCAACTCTGTGAGTTGAATGCAATCATCACAAAGAAGTTTCTGACAATGCTTCTATCTAGCTTTTACGGGAAGATAATTCCTTTTCCACCACAGGCCTCAAAGCCCTCCAAATGTCCACTTGCAGATTCTGGAAAAAGAGTGTTTCAAAGCTTCTCTCTCGAAAGGAAAGTTCAACTCTGTGAGTTGAATGCAAGCATCACAAAGAAGTTTCTGAGAATGCTACTGTCTAGCTTTTATATGAAGCTATTTCCTTTACTACCATAGGCCTCAAAGCGGTCCATATCTCCACTTGCAGATTCTACACAAAGAGAGTTTCCAAACTGCTCTGTCAAAGGGAATGTTCAACTCTGTGACTTGAATGCAATCATCACAAAGTAGTTTCTGAGAATGCTTCTGTTTAGTTCTGTGCGGTTTATCCCGTTTCCAACGAAATCCTCAGAGAGGCCTAAATATCCACTTGCACATTCTACAAATAGTGTGTTTCGAAACTGCTCCATCCAAAGGAATGTTCAGCTCTGTGAGTTAAACTCAGTCGTCACCAAGAGTTTTCTGTGAATGCTTCTGTTTTAGTTCTGTGCGGGTTATCCCGTTTCCAACGAAATCCTCAGAGAGGTCCAAATATCTACTTGCAGTTTCTACAGAAAGACCGTTTCAAACCTGAACTATCAAAGAAAGGTTCAACACTTGTGAGTTGAATGCAAACATCACGAAGAAGGTTCTGAGAATGCTTCTGTTTAGTTCTGTGCAGTTTATCCCGTTTCCAACGAAATCCTCAGAGAGGACCAAATATCCACTTGCAGTTTCTACAAAAAGAGTGTTTCAAAGCTGAACTATCAAAGAAAGGTTCAGCACTGTGAGTTGAATGCAAACATCAGGAAGAGGGTTCTGAGAATGCTTCTGTCTTCTTTTTATAGGAAGTTATTTCCTTTACTACGGTAGGCCTCAAAGAAGTGCAATTATCCCCTTGCAGTTTCTACAAAAAGAGTGTTTCAAACCTGAACTATCAAAGAAAGGTTCCACACTGTGAGTTGAATGCAGACATCACGAAGAAGGTTACTGAGAATGCTTCTGTTTAGTCAGCTGAAATTATCCCGTTTCCAACGAATTCCTCAGAGAGGTCCAAATATGCACTTGCAGATTCTGCAGAAAGTGTGTTTCTAAACTGCTACATCGCAAGGAATGTTCAGCTCTGTGAGTTCAACTCAATCATCCCAAAGAATTTTCTGAGAAAGCTTCTGTCTAGATGTCATGTGAAGATATACCCGTTTCGAACGAAGGACACAGAGTGGTCCAAATATCCACTTGTAGATCCTGCAAAAAGAGTGTTTCAAACGTGAACTTTGAAAGGCAAGTTCAACTCTGGGATTTGAATGCAAACATCACAAAGAAGATTCTGAGACTGCTTCTGTATAGTTTTTATGTGAAGATGATTCCGTTTCCAACGAAATCTTCAAAGAGGTCTACATGTCCCCTTGCAGATGCCACAGAAAGAGAGTTTCAAAACTGCGCTCTCAAAAGGAGTGTTCAACTCCGTGAGTTGAATGCAGTCATCACAGAGAAGCTTCTGAGGATGCTTCTATCTAGTATTTAGGTGAAGATATTTCCTTTTCCACCACAAACCACAAAGCCCTCCAAACGTCCACTTGCAGATTCTAGAAAAAGAGTGTTTCATAGCTGCTCTTTCCAAAGGAAAGTTCAACTCTGGGAGTTGAATACAAACATCACCAAAAAGTTCCTGAGAATGCATCTGTCTAGTTTTTCTATGAAGCTATTCCCTTTACTACCATAGGCCTCAAAGCGCTCCAAATCTCCACTTGCACATTCCACAACAAGAGTGTTTCCAAACTGCTCTATCAATAGGAATGTTCAACTCTGTGAGGTGAATGCAATCATCACAAAGCAGTTTCTGAGAATGCTTCCGTTTAGTTAGGTGCAGTTATCCCGTTTCCAACGAAATCCTCAGAGAGGTCCAAATATCCACTTGTAGATTCTACAAAAAGTGTGTCTCAAACCTGCTCCATCCAAAGGAATGGTCAGCTCTGTGATTTAAACTCAATCATCACAAAGTATTTTCTGAGAATGCTTCTGTCTAGATTTTATGCGAAGATGTACCCGTTTCGAACGAAGGCCACAGAGTGGTCCAAATATCCACTTGCAGATCCTACAAAAAGAGTGTTTCAAACCTGAACTATCAAAGGAAGGTTCAACTCTGGGATTTGAATGCAAACATCACCAAGAAGTTTCTGAGAATGCTTCTGTTTAGTTTTTATGTGAAGATAGTCCCGTTTCCAAAGACATCTTTGGAGAGGTCCACATATACACTTGCAGATTCCACAAAAAGAGAGTTTCAACACTGCTCTATCCATAGGAGGGTTCAACTCTGTGAGTTGAATGCAATCATCACAGAGAAGTTTCTGAGAAGGCTTCTCTCCAGTTTTTATGTGACCATAATTCGTTTTCCACCACAGGCCTGAAAGCGCTCCAAATGTCCACTTGCAGACACTACGAAAAGCATGTTTCAGAACTACTCTATGAGAAGCAATGTGAAACTCTGGGAGTTGAACACAAACATCACAGAGAAGTTTCTGAGAATGCTTCTGTTTAGCTTTTCTGTGAAGATTCTCCCGTTTCCAACGAAATCTTCAAAGAGGTCCAAATATCCACTTGCAGATTCCACAGAAAGAGTGATTGGAAACTGCTCTTTGAAAAGGAACCTTCAACTCTGTGACTTGAATGCAATCATCACAAAGAAGTTTCTGACAATGCTTCTATCTAGCTTTTACGGGAAGATAATTCCTTTTCCACCACAGGCCTCAAAGCCCTCCAAATGTCCACTTGCAGATTCTGGAAAAAGAGTGTTTCAAAGCTTCTCTCTCGAAAGGAAAGTTCAACTCTGTGAGTTGAATGCAAGCATCACAAAGAAGTTTCTGAGAATGCTACTGTCTAGCTTTTATATGAAGCTATTTCCTTTACTACCATAGGCCTCAAAGCGGTCCATATCTCCACTTGCAGATTCTACACAAAGAGAGTTTCCAAACTGCTCTGTCAAAGGGAATGTTCAACTCTGTGACTTGAATGCAATCATCACAAAGTAGTTTCTGAGAATGCTTCTGTTTAGTTCTGTGCGGTTTATCCCGTTTCCAACGAAATCCTCAGAGAGGCCTAAATATCCACTTGCACATTCTACAAATAGTGTGTTTCGAAACTGCTCCATCCAAAGGAATGTTCAGCTCTGTGAGTTAAACTCAGTCGTCACCAAGAGTTTTCTGTGAATGCTTCTGTTTTAGTTCTGTGCGGTTTATCCCGTTTCCAACGAAATCCTCAGAGAGGTCCAAATATCTAATTGCAGTTTCTACAGAAAGACCGTTTCAAACCTGAACTATCAAAGAAAGGTTCAACACTGTGAGTTGAATGCAAACATCACGAAGAAAGTTCTGAGAATGCTTCTGTTTAGTTCTGTGCGTTTTATCCCGTTTCCAACGAAATCCTCAGAGAGGACCAAATATCCACTTGCAGTTTCTACAAAAAGAGTGTTTCAAAGCTGAACTATCAAAGAAAGTTTCAGCACCGTGAGTTGAATGCAAACATCACGAAGAAGGTTCTGAGAATGCTTCTGTCTTCTTTCTATAGGAAGTTATTTCCTTTACTACGGTAGGCCTCAAAGAAGTGCAATTATCCCCTTGCAGTTTCTACAAAAAGAGTGTTTCAAACCTGAACTATCAAAGAAAGGTTCCACACTGTGAGTTGAATGCAGACATCACGAAGAAGTTCTGAGAATGCTTCTGTTTAGTCAGCTGAAATTATCCCGTTTCCAACGAATTCCTCAGAGAGGTCCAAATATGCACTTGCAGATTCTGCAGAAAGTGTGTTTCTAAACTGCTACATCGCAAGGAATGTTCAGCTCTGTGAGTTCCACTCAATCATCCCAAAGAATTTTCTGAGAAAGCTTCTGTCTAGATGTCGTGTGAAGATATACCCGTTTCGAACGAAGGACACAGAGTGGTCCAAATATCCACTTGTAGATCCTGCAAAAAGAGTGTTTCAAACGTGAACTTTGAAAGGAAAGTTCAACTCTGGGATTTGAATGCAAACATCACAAAGAAGATTCTGAGACTGCTTCTGTATAGTTTTTATGTGAAGATGATTCCGTTTCCAACGAAATCTTCAAAGAGGTCTACATGTCCCCTTGCAGATGCCACAGAAAGAGAGTTTCAAAACTGCGCTCTCAAAAGGAGTGTTCAACTCCGTGAGTTGAATGCAGTCATCACAGAGAAGCTTCTGAGAATGCTTCTATCTAGTATTTAGGTGAAGATATTTCCTTTTCCACCACAAACCACAAAGCCCTCCAAACGTCCACTTGCAGATTCTAGAAAAAGAGTGTTTCATAGCTGCTCTTTCCAAAGGAAAGTTCAACTCTGGGAGTTGAATACAAACATCACCAAAAGGTTCCTGAGAATGCATCTGTCTAGTTTTTCTATGAAGCTATTCCCTTTACTACCATAGGCCTCAAAGCGCTCCAAATCTCCACTTGCACATTCCACAACAAGAGTGTTTCCAAACTGCTCTATCAATAGGAATGTTCAACTCTGTGAGGTGAATGCAATCATCACAAAGCAGTTTCTGAGAATGCTTCCGTTTAGTTAGGTGCAGTTATCCCGTTTCCAACGAAATCCTCAGAGAGGTCCAAATATCCACTTGTAGATTCTACAAAAAGTGTGTCTCAAACCTGCTCCATCCAAAGGAATGGTCAGCTCTGTGATTTAAACTCAATCATCACAAAGTATTTTCTGAGAATGCTTCTGTCTAGATGTTATGTGAAGATGTACCCGTTTCGAACGAAGGCCACAGAGTGGTCCAAATATCCACTTGCAGATCGTACAGAAAGAGTGTTTCAAACCTGACCTATCAAAGGAAGTTTCAACTCTGGGATTTGAATGCAAATATCACAAAGAAGTTTCTGAGAATGCTTCTGTTTAGTTTTTATGTGAAGATATTCCCGTTTCCAAAGACATCTTCGGAGAGGTCCACATATCCACTTGCAGATTCCACAAAAAGAGAGTTTCAACACTGCTCTATCCATAGGAGGGTTCAACTCTGTGAGTTGAATGCAATCATCACAGAGAAGTTTCCTGAGAAGGCTTCTCTCCAGTTTTTATGTGACCATAATTCGTTTTCCACCACAGGCCTGAAAGCGCTCCAAATGTCCACTTGTAGACACTACGAAAAGCATGTTTCAGAACTACTCTATGAAAAGCAATGTGAAACTCTGGGAGTTGAACACAAACATCACAGAGAAGTTTCTGAGAATGCTTCTGTTTAGCTTTCCTGTGAAGATTCTCCCGTTTCCAACGAAATCTTCAAAATAGGTCCAAATATCCACTTGCAGATTCCACACAAAGAGTGATTGGAAACTGCTCTTTGAAAAGGAACCTTCAACTCTGTGAGTTGAATGCAATCATCACAAAGAAGTTTCTGACAATGCTTCTATCTAGCTTTTACGGGAAGATAATTCCTTTTCCACCACAGGCCTCAAAGCCCTCCAAATGTCCACTTGCAGATTCTGGAAAAAGAGTGTTTCAAAGCTTCTCTCTCGAAAGGAAAGTTCAACTCTGTGAGTTGAATGCAAGCATCACAAAGAAGTTTCTGAGAATGCTACTGTCTAGCTTTTATATGAAGCTATTTCCTTTACTACCATAGGCCTCAAAGCGGTCCATATCTCCACTTGCAGATTCTACACAAAGAGAGTTTCCAAACTGCTCTGTCAAAGGGAATGTTCAACTCTGTGACTTGAATGCAATCATCACAAAGTAGTTTCTGAGAATGCTTCTGTTTAGTTCTGTGCGGTTTATCCCGTTTCCAACGAAATCCTCAGAGAGGCCTAAATATCCACTTGCACATTCTACAAATAGTGTGTTTCGAAACTGCTCCATCCAAAGGAATGTTCAGCTCTGTGAGTTAAACTCAGTCGTCACCAAGAGTTTTTCTGTGAATGCTTCTGTTTTAGTTCTGTGCGGGTTATCCCGTTTCCAACGAAATCCTCAGAGAGGTCCAAATATCTACTTGCAGTTTCTACAGAAAGACCGTTTCAAACCTGAACTATCAAAGAAAGGTTCAACACTGTGAGTTGAATGCAAACATCACGAAGAAGGTTCTGAGAATGCTTCTGTTTAGTTCTGTGCAGTTTATCCCGTTTCCAACGAAATGCTCAGAGAGGACCAAATATCCACTTGCAGTTTCTACAAAAAGAGTGTTTCAAAGCTGAACTATCAAAGAAAGGTTCAGCACTGTGAGTTGAATGCAAACATCACGAAGAGGGTTCTGAGAATGCTTCTGTCTTCTTTTTATAGGAAGTTATTTCCTTTACTACGGTACTCCTCAAAGAGTGCAATTATCCCCTTGCAGTTTCTACAAAAAGAGTGTTTCAAACCTGAACTATCAAAGAAAGGTTCCACACTGTGAGTTGAATGCAGACATCACGAAGAAGGTTCTGAGAATGCTTCTGTTTAGTCAGCTGAAATTATCCCGTTTCCAACGAATTCCTCACAGAGGTCCAAATATGCACTTGCAGATTCTGCAGAAAGTGTGTTTCTAAACTGCTACATCGCAAGGAATGCTCAGCTCTGTGAGTTCAACTCAATCATCCCAAAGAATTTTCTGAGAAAGCTTCTGTCTAGATGTCATGTGAAGATATACCCGTTTCGAACGAAGGACACAGAGTGGTCCAAATATCCACTTGTAGATCCTGCAAAAAGAGTGTTTCAAACGTGAACTTTGAAAGGAAAGTTCAACTCGGGGATTTGAATGCAAACATCACAAAGAAGATTCTGAGACTGCTTCTGTATAGTTTTTATGTGAAGATGATTCCGTTTCCAACGAAATCTTCAAAGAGGTCTACATGTCCCCTTGCAGATGCCACAGAAAGAGAGTTTCAAAACTGCGCTCTCAAAAGGAGTGTTCAACTCCGTGAGTTGAATGCAGTCATCACAGAGAAGCTTCTGAGGATGCTTCTATCTAGTATTTAGGTGAAGATATTTCCTTTTCCACCACAAACCACAAAGCCCTCCAAACGTCCACTTGCAGATTCTAGAAAAACAGTGTTTCATAGCTGCTCTTTCCAAAGGAAAGTTCAACTCTGGGAGTTGAATACAAACATCACCAAAAAGTTCCTGAGAATGCATCTGTCTAGTTTTTCTATGAAGCTATTCCCTTTACTACCATAGGCCTCAAAGCGCTCCAAATCTCCACTTGCACATTCCACAACAAGAGTGTTTCCAAACTGCTCTATCAATAGGAATGTTCAACTCTGTGAGGTGAATGCAATCATCACAAAGCAGTTTCTGAGAATGCTTCCGTTTAGTTAGGTGCAGTTATCCCGTTTCCAACGAAATCCTCAGGAGAGGTCCAAATATCCACTTGTAGATTCTACAAAAGGTGTGTCTCAAACCTGCTCCATCCAAAGGAATGTTCAGCTCTGTGAGTTAAACTCAATCATCACAAAGTATTTTCTGAGAATGCTTCTGTCTAGATTTTATGCGAAGATGTACCCGTTTCGAATGAAGGCCACAGAGTGGTCCAAATATCCACTTGCAGATCCTACAAAAAGAGTGTTTCAAACCTGAACTATCAAAGGAAGGTTCAACTCTGGGATTTGAATGCAAACATCACCAAGAAGTTTCTGAGAATGCTTCTGTTTAGTTTTTATGTGAAGATAGTCCCGTTTCCAAAGACATCTTCGGAGAGGTCCACATATCCACTTGCAGATTCCACAAAAAGAGAGTTTCAACACTGCTCTATCCATAGGAGAGTTCAACTCTGTGAGTTGAATGCAATCATCACAGAGAAGTTTCTGAGAAGGCTTCTCTCCAGTTTTTATGTGACCATAATTCGTTTTCCACCACAGTCCTGAAAGCGCTCCAAATGTCCCCTTGCAGACACTACGAAAAGCATGTTTCAGAACTACTCTATGAGAAGCAATGTGACACTCTGGGAGTTGAACACAAACATCACAGAGAAGTTTCTGAGAATGCTTCTGTTTAGCTTTTCTGTGAAGATTCTCCCGTTTCCAACGAAATCTTCAAAGCGGTCGAAATATCCACTTGCAGATTCCACAGAAAGAGTGATTGGAAACTGCTGTTTGAAAAGGAACCTTCAACTCTGTGAGTTGAATGCAATCAACACAAAGAAGTTTCTGACAATGCTTCTATCTAGCTTTTACGGGAAGATAATTCCTTTTCCACCACAGGCCTCAAAGCCCTCCAAATGTCCACTTGCAGATTCTGGAAAAAGAGTGTTTCAAAGCTTCTCTCTCGAAAGGAAAGTTCAACTCTGTGAGTTGAATGCAAGCATCACAAAGAAGTTTCTGAGAATGCTACTGTCTAGCTTTTATATGAAGCTATTTCCTTTACCACCATAGGCCTCAAAGCGGTCCATATCTCCACTTGCAGATTCTACACAAAGAGAGTTTCCAAACTGCTCTGTCAAAGGGAATGTTCAACTCTGTGACTTGAATGCAATCATCACAAAGTAGTTTCTGAGAATGCTTCTGTTTTAGTTCTGTGCGGTTTATCCCGTTTCCAACGAAATCCTCAGAGAGGCCCAAATATCCACTTGCAGATTCTACAAATAGTGTGTTTCGAAACTGCTCCATCCAAAGGAATGTTCAGCTCTGTGAGTTAAACTCAGTCGTCACCAAGAGTTTTCTGTGAATGCTTCTGTTTAGTTCTGTGCGGTTTATCCCGTTTCCAACGAAATCCTCAGAGAGGACCAAATATCCACTTGCAGTTTCTACAAGAAGAGTGTTTCAAAGCTGAACTATCAAAGAAAGGTTCAGCACTGTGAGTTGAATGCAAACATCACGAAGAGGGTTCTGAGAATGCTTCTGTCTTCTTTCTATAGGAAGTTATTTCCTTTACTACGGTAGGCCTCAAAGAAGTGCAATTATCCCCTTGCAGTTTCTACAAAAAGAGTGTTTCAAACCTGAACTATCAAAGAAAGGTTCCACACTGTGAGTTGAATGCAGACATCACGAAGAAGGTTCTGAGAATGCTTCTGTTTAGTCAGCTGAAATTATCCCGTTTCCAACGAATTCCTCAGAGAGGTCCAAATATGCACTTGCAGATTCTGCAGAAAGTGTGTTTCTAAACTGCTACATCGCAAGGAATGTTCAGCTCTGTGAGTTCCACTCAATCATCCCAAAGAATTTTCTGAGAAAGCTTCTGTCTAGATGTCGTGTGAAGTTATACCCGTTTCGAACGAAGGACACAGAGTGGTCCAAATATCCACTTGTAGATCCTGCAAAAAGAGTGTTTCAAACGTGAACTTTGAAAGGAAAGTTCAACTCTGGGATTTGAATGCAAACATCACAAAGAAGATTCTGAGACTGCTTCTGTATAGTTTTTATGTGAAGATGATTCCGTTTCCAACGAAATCTTCAAAGAGGTCTACATGTCCCCTTGCAGATGCCACAGAAAGAGAGTTTCAAAACTGCGCTCTCAAAAGGAGTGTTCAACTCCATGAGTTGAATGCAGTCATCACAGAGAAGCTTCTGAGAATGCTTCTATCTAGTATTTAGGTGAAGATATTTCCTTTTCCACCACAAACCACAAAGCCCTCCAAACGTCCACTTGCAGATTCTAGAAAAAGAGTGTTTCATAGCTGCTCTTTCCAAAGGAAAGTTCAACTCTGGGAGTTGAATACAAACATCACCAAAAAGAAGTTCCTGAGAATGCATCTGTCTAGTTTTTCTATGAAGCTATTCCCTTTACTACCACAGGCCTCAAAGCGCTCCAAATCTCCACTTGCACATTCCACAACAAGAGTGTTTCCAAACTGCTCTATCAATAGGAATGTTCAACTCTGTGAGGTGAATGCAATCATCACAAAGCAGTTTCTGAGAATGCTTCCGTTTAGTTAGGTGCAGTTATCCCGTTTCCAACGAAATCCTCAGAGAGGTCCAAATATCCACTTGTAGATTCTACAAAAAGTGTGTCTCAAACCTGCTCCATCCAAAGGAATGGTCAGCTCTGTGATTTAAACTCAATCATCACAAAGTATTTTCTGAGAATGCTTCTGTCTAGATTTTATGCGAAGATATACCCGTTTCGAACGAAGGCCACAGAGTGGTCCAAATAGCCACTTGCAGATCCTACAGAAAGAGTGTTTCAAACCTGAACTATCAAAGGAAGGTTCAACTCTGGGATTTGAATGCAAACATCACCAAGAAGTTTCTGAGAATGCTTCTGTTTAGTTTTTATGTGAAGATATTCCCGTTTCCAAAGACATCTTCGGAGAGGTCCACATATCCACTTGCAGATTCCACAAAAAGAGAGTTTCAACACTGCTCTACCCATAGGAGGGTTCAACTCTGTGAGTTGAATGCAATCATCACAGAGAAGTTTCTGAGAAGGCTTCTCTCCAGTTTTTATGTGACCATAATTCGTTTTCCACCACAGGCCTGAAAGCGCTCCAAATGTCCACTTGCAGACACTACGAAAAGCATGTTTCAGAACTACTCTATGAAAAGCAACGTGAAACTCTGGGAGTTGAACACAAACATCACAGAGAAGTTTCTGAGAATGCTTCTGTTTTAGTTCTGTGCGTTTTATCCCGTTTCCAACGAAATCCTCAGAGAGGCCCAAATATCCACTTGCAGATTCCACAGAAAGAGTGATTGGAAACTGCTGTTTGAAAAGGAACCTTCAACTCTGTGAGTTGAATGCAATCATCACAAAGAAGTTTCTGACAATGCTTCTATCTAGCTTTTACGGGAAGATAATTCCTTTTCCACCACAGGCCTCAAAGCCCTCCAAATGTCCACTTGTAGATTCTGGAAAAAGAGTGTTTCAAAGCTTCTCTCTCGAAAGGAAAGTTCAACTCTGTGAGTTGAATGCAAGCATCACAAAGAAGTTTCTGAGAATGCTACTGTCTAGCTTTTATATGAAGCTATTTCCTTTACTACCATAGTCCTCAAAGCGGTCCATATCTCCACTTGCAGATTCTACACAAAGAGAGTTTCCAAACTGCTCTGTCAAAGGGAATGTTCAACTCTGTGACTTGAATGCAATCATCACAAAGTAGTTTCTGAGAATGCTTCTGTTTAGTTCTGTGCGGTTTATCCCGTTTCCAACGAAATCCTCAGAGAGGCCCCAATATCCACTTGCACATTCTACAAATAGTGTGTTTCCAAACTGCTCCATCCAAAGGGATGTTCAGCTCTGTGAGTTAAACTCAGTCGTCACCAAGAGTTTTCTGTGAATACTTCTGTTTTAGTTCTGTGCGGTTTATCCCGTTTCCAATGAAATCCTCAGAGAGGTCCAAATATCTACTTGCAGTTTCTACAGAAAGACCGTTTCCAACCTGAACTATCAAAGAAAGGTTCAACACTGTGAGTTGAATGCAAACATCACGAAGAAGGTTCTGAGAATGCTTCTGTTTAGTTCTGTGCGGTTTATCCCGTTTCCAACGAAATCCTCAGAGAGGACCAAATATCCACTTGCAGTTTCTACAAGAAGAGTGTTTCAAAGCTGAACTATCAAAGAAAGGTTCAGCACTGTGAGTTGAATGCAAACATCACGAAGAAGATTCTGAGAATGCTTCTGTCTTCTTTCTATAGGAAGTTATTTCCTTTACTACGGTAGGCCTCAAAGAAGTGCAATTATCCCCTTGCAGTTTCTACAAAAAGAGTGTTTCAAACCTGAACTATCAAAGAAAGGTTCCACACTGTGAGTTGAATGCAGACATCACGAAGAAGGTTCTGAGAATGCTTCTGTTTAGTCAGCTGAAATTATCCCGTTTCCAACGAATTCCTCAAAGAGGTCCACATATGCACTTGCAGATTCTGCAGAAAGTGTGTTTCTAAACTGCTACATCGCAAGGAATGTTCAGATCTGTGAGTTCCACTCAATCATCCCAAAGAATTTTCTGAGAAAGCTTCTGTCTAGATGTCTTGTGAAGATATAACCGTTTCGAACGAAGGACACAGAGTGGTCCAAATATCCACTTGTAGATCCTGCAAAAAGAGTGTTTCAAACGTGAACTTTGAAAGGAAAGTTCAACTCTGGGATTTGAATGCAAACATCACAAAGAAGATTCTGAGACTGCTTCTGTATAGTTTTTATGTGAAGATGATTCCGTTTCCAACGAAATCTTCAAAGAGGTCTACATGTCCCCTTGCAGATGCCACAGAAAGAGAGTTTCAAAACTGCGCTCTCAAAAGGAGTGTTCAACTCCGTGAGTTGAATGCAGTCATCACAGAGAAGCTTCTGAGAATGCTTCTATCTAGTATTTAGGTGAAGATATTTCCTTTTCCACCACAAACCACAAAGCCCTCCAAACGTCCACTTGCAGATTCTAGAAAAAGAGTGTTTCATAGCTGCTCTTTCCAAAGGAAAGTTCAACTCTGGGAGTTGAATACAAACATCACCAAAAAGTTCCTGAGAATGCATCTGTCTAGTTTTTCTATGAAGCTATTCCCTTTACTACCATAGGCCTCAAAGCGCTCCAAATCTCCACTTGCACATTCCACAACAAGAGTGTTTCCAAACTGCTCTATCAATAGGAATGTTCAACTCTGGTGAGGTGAATGCAATCATCACAAAGCAGTTTCTGAGAATGCTTCCGTTTAGTTAGGTGCAGTTATCCCGTTTCCAACGAAATCCTCAGAGAGGTCCAAATATCCACTTGTAGATTCTACAAAAAGTGTGTCTCAAACCTGCTCCATCCAAAGGAATGGTCAGCTCTGTGATTTAAACTCAATCATCACAAAGTATTTTCTGAGAATGCTTCTGTCTAGATTTTATGCGAAGATATACCCGTTTCGAACGAAGGCCACAGAGTGGTCCAAATAGCCACTTGCAGATCCTACAGAAAGAGTGTTTCAAACCTGAACTATCAAAGGAAGGTTCAACTCTGGGATTTGAATGCAAACATCACCAAGAAGTTTCTGAGAATGCTTCTGTTTAGTTTTTATGTGAAGATATTCCCGTTTCCAAAGACATCTTCGGAGAGGTCCACATATCCACTTGCAGATTCCACAAAAAGAGAGTTTCAACACTGCTCTATCCATAGGAGGGTTCAACTCTGTGAGTTGAATGCAATCATCACAGAGAAGTTTCTGAGAAGGCTTCTCTCCAGTTTTTATGTGACCATAATTCGTTTTCCACCACAGGCCTGAAAGCGCTCCAAATGTCCACTTGCAGACACTACGAAAAGCATGTTTCAGAACTACTCTATGAAAAGCAACGTGAAACTCTGGGAGTTGAACACAAACATCACAGAGAAGTTTCTGAGAATGCTTCTGTTTTAGTTCTGTGCGTTTTATCCCGTTTCCAACGAAATCCTCAGAGAGGCCCAAATATCCACTTGCAGATTCCACAGAAAGAGTGATTGGAAACTGCTGTTTGAAAAGGAACCTTCAACTCTGTGAGTTGAATGCAATCATCACAAAGAAGTTTCTGACAATGCTTCTGTTTTAGTTCTGTGCGGTTTATCCCGTTTCCAACGAAATCCTCAGAGAGGACCAAACATCCACTTGCAGTTTCTACAAAAAGAGTGTTTCAAAGCTGCACTATCAAAGAAAGGTTCAGCACTGTGAGTTGAATGCAAACATCACGAAGAGGGCTCTGAGAATTCTTCTGTTTAGTTCTGTGCGGTTTATCCCGTTTCCAACGAAATCCTCAGAGAGGACCAAATATCCACTTGCAGTTTCTACAAGAAGAGTGTTTCAAAGCTGAACTATCAAAGAAAGGTTCAGCACTGTGAGTTGAATGCAAACATCACGAAGAGGGTTCTGAGAATGCTTCTGTCTTCTTTCTATAGGAAGTTATTTCCTTTACTACGGTAGGCCTCAAAGAAGTGCAATTATCCCCTTGCAGTTTCTACAAAAAGAGTGTTTCAAACCTGAACTATCAAAGAAAGGTTCCACACTGTGAGTTGAATGCAGACATCACGAAGAAGGTTCTGAGAATGCTTCTGTTTAGTCAGCTGAAATTATCCCGTTTCCAACGAATTCCTCAGAGAGGTCCAAATATGCACTTGCAGATTCTGCAGAAAGTGTGTTTCTAAACTGCTACATCGCAAGGAATGTTCAGCTCTGTGAGTTCCACTCAATCATCCCAAAGAATTTTCTGAGAAAGCTTCTGTCTAGATGTCGTGTGAAGATATACCCGTTTCGAACAAAGGACACAGAGTGGTCCAAATATCCACTTGTAGATCCTGCAAAAAGAGTGTTTCAAACGTGAACTTTGAAAGGAAAGTTCAACTCTGGGATTTGAATGCAAACATCACAAAGAAGATTCTGAGACTGCTTCTGTATAGTTTTTATGTGAAGATGATTCCGTTTCCAACGAAATCTTCAAAGAGGTCTACATGTCCCCTTGCAGATGCCACAGAAAGAGAGTTTCAAAACTGCGCTCTCAAAAGGAGTGTTCAACTCCGTGAGTTGAATGCAGTCATCACAGAGAAGCTTCTGAGAATGCTTCTATCTAGTATTTAGGTGAAGATATTTCCTTTTCCACCACAAACCACAAAGCCCTCCAAACGTCCACTTGCAGATTCTAGAAAAAGAGTGTTTCATAGCTGCTCTTTCCAAAGGAAAGTTCAACTCTGGGAGTTGAATACAAACATCACCAAAAAGTTCCTGAGAATGCATCTGTCTAGTTTTTCTATGAAGCTATTCCCTTTACTACCATAGGCCTCAAAGCGCTCCAAATCTCCACTTGCACATTCCACAACAAGAGTGTTTCCAAACTGCTCTATCAATAGGAATGTTCAACTCTGTGAGGTGAATGCAATCATCACAAAGCAGTTTCTGAGAATGCTTCCGTTTAGTTAGGTGCAGTTAACCCGTTTCCAACGAAATCCTCAGAGAGGTCCAAATATCCACTTGTAGATTCTACAAAAAGTGTGTCTCAAACCTGCTCCATCCAAAGGAATGTTCAGCTCTGTGAGTTAAACTCAATCATCACAAAGTATTTTCTGAGAATGCTTCTGTCTAGATTTTATGCGAAGATATACCCGTTTCGAACGAAGGCCACAGAGTGGTCCAAATATCCACTTGCAGATCCTACAAAAAGAGTGTTTCAAACCTGAACTATCAAAGGAAGGTTCGACTCTGGGATTTGAATGCAAACATCACCAAGAAGTTTCTGAGAATGCTTCTGTTTAGTTTTTATGTGAAGATATTCCCGTTTCCAAAGACATCTTCGGAGAGGTCCACATATCCACTTGCAGATTCCACAAAAAGAGAGTTTCAACACTGCTCTATCCATAGGAGGGTTCAACTCTGTGAGTTGAATGCAATCATCACAGAGAAGTTTCTGAGAAGGCTTCTCTCCAGTTTTTATGTGACCATAATTCGTTTTCCACCACAGGCCTGAAAGCGCTCCAAATGTCCACTTGTAGACACTACGAAAAGCATGTTTCAGAACTACTCTATGAAAAGCAATGTGAAACTCTGGGAGTTGAACACAAACATCACAGAGAAGTTTCTGAGAATGCTTCTGTTTAGCTTTCCTGTGAAGATTCTCCCGTTTCCAACGAAATCTTCAAAGAGGTCCAAATATCCACTTGCAGATTCCACAGAAAGAGTGATTGGAAACTGCTCTTTGAAAAGGAACCTTCAACCCTGTGAGTTGAATGCAATCATCACAAAGAAGTTTCTGACAATGCTTCTATCTAGCTTTTACGGGAAGATAATTCCTTTTCCACCACAGGCCTCAAAGCCCTCCAAATGTCCACTTGCAGATTCTGGAAAAAGAGTGTTTCAAAGCTTCTCTCTCGAAAGGAAAGTTCAACTCTGTGAGTTGAATGCAAGCATCACAAAGAAGTTTCTGAGAATGCTACTGTCTAGCTTTTATATGAAGCTATTTCCTTTACTACCATAGGCCTCAAAGCGGTCCATATCTCCACTTGCAGATTCTACACAAAGAGAGTTTCCAAACTGCTCTGTCAAAGGGAATGTTCAACTCTGTGACTTGAATGCAATCATCACAAAGTAGTTTCTGAGAATGCTTCTGTTTAGTTCTGTGCGGTTTATCCCGTTTCCAACGAAATCCTCAGAGAGGCCCAAATATCCACTTGCACATTCTACAAATAGTGTGTTTCGAAACTGCTCCATCCAAAGGAATGTTCAGCTCTGTGAGTTAAACTCAGTCGTCACCAAGAGTTTTCTGTGAATGCTTCTGTTTTAGTTCTGTGCGGGTTATCCCGTTTCCAACGAAATCCTCAGAGAGGTCCAAATATCTACTTGCAGTTTCTACAGAAAGACCGTTTCAAACCTGAACTATCAAAGAAAGGTTCAACACTGTGAGTTGAATGCAAACATCACGAAGAAGGTTCTGAGAATGCTTCTGTTTAGTTCTGTGCGGTTTATCCCGTTTCCAACGAAATCCTCAGAGAGGACCAAATATCCACTTGCAGTTTCTACAAGAAGAGTGTTTCAAAGCTGAACTATCAAAGAAAGGTTCAGCACTGTGAGTTGAATGCAAACATCACGAAGAGGGTTCTGAGAATGCTTCTGTCTTCTTTTTATAGGAAGTTATTTCCTTTACTACGGTAGGCCTCAAAGAAGTGCAATTATCCCCTTGCAGTTTCTACAAAAAGAGTGTTTCAAACCTGAACTATCAAAGAAAGGTTCCACACTGTGAGTTGAATGCAGACATCACGAAGAAGGTTCTGAGAATGCTTCTGTTTAGTCGGCTGAAATTATCCCGTTTCCAACGAATTCCTCAGAGAGGTCCAAATATGCACTTGCAGATTCTGCAGAAAGTGTGTTTCTAAACTGCTCCATCGCAAGGAAATGTTCAGCTCTGTGAGTTCAACTCAATCATCCCAAAGAATTTTCTGAGAAAGCTTCTGTCTAGATGTCATGTGAAGATATACCCGTTTCGAACGAAGGACACAGAGTGGTCCAAATATCCACTTGTAGATCCTGCAAAAAGAGTGTTTCAAACGTGAACTTTGAAAGGAAAGTTCAACTCTGGGATTTGAATGCAAACATCACAAAGAAGATTCTGAGACTGCTTCTGTATAGTTTTTATGTGAAGATGATTCCGTTTCCATCGAAATCTTCAAAGAGGTCTACATGTCCCCTTGCAGATGCCACAGAAAGAGAGTTTCAAAACTGCGCTCTCAAAAGGAGTGTTCAACTCCGTGAGTTGAATGCAGTCATCACAGAGAAGCTTCTGAGAATGCTTCTATCTAGTATTTAGGTGAAGATATTTCCTTTTCCACCACAAACCACAAAGCCCTCCAAACGTCCACTTGCAGATTCTAGAAAAAGAGTGTTTCATAGCTGCTCTTTCCAAAGGAAAGTTCAACTCTGGGAGTTGAATACAAACATCACCAAAAAGTTCCTGAGAATGCATCTGTCTAGTTTTTCTATGAAGCTATTCCCTTTACTACCATAGGCCTCAAAGCGCTCCAAATCTCCACTTGCACATTCCACAACAAGAGTGTTTCCAAACTGCTCTATCAATAGGAATGTTCAACTCTGTGAGGTGAATGCAATCATCACAAAGCAGTTTCTGAGAATGCTTCCGTTTAGTTAGGTGCAGTTATCCCGTTTCCAACGAAATCCTCAGAGAGGTCCAAATATCCACTTGTAGATTCTACAAAAAGTGTGTCTCAAACCTGCTCCATCCAAAGGAATGGTCAGCTCTGTGTTTTAAACTCAATCATCACAAAGTATTTTCTGAGAATGCTTCTGTCTAGATTTTATGCGAAGATATACCCGTTTCGAACGAAGGCCACAGAGTGGTCCAAATAGCCACTTGCAGATCCTACAGAAAGAGTGTTTCAAACCTGAACTATCAAAGGAAGGTTCAACTCTGGGATTTGAATGCAAACATCACCAAGAAGTTTCTGAGAATGCTTCTGTTTAGTTTTTATGTGAAGATATTCCCGTTTCCAAAGACATCTTCGGAGAGGTCCACATATCCACTTGCAGATTCCACAAAAAGAGAGTTTCAACACTGCTCTATCCATAGGAGGGTTCAACTCTGTGAGTTGAATGCAATCATCACAGAGAAGTTTCTGAGAAGGCTTCTCTCCAGTTTTTATGTGACCATAATTCGTTTTCCACCACAGGCCTGAAAGCGCTCCAAATGTCCACTTGCAGACACTACGAAAAGCATGTTTCAGAACTACTCTATGAAAAGCAACGTGAAACTCTGGGAGTTGAACACAAACATCACAGAGAAGTTTCTGAGAATGCTTCTGTTTTAGTTCTGTGCGTTTTATCCCGTTTCCAACGAAATCCTCAGAGAGGCCCAAATATCCACTTGCAGATTCCACAGAAAGAGTGATTGGAAACTGCTGTTTGAAAAGGAACCTTCAACTCTGTGAGTTGAATGCAATCATCACAAAGAAGTTTCTGACAATGCTTCTGTTTTAGTTCTGTGCGGTTTATCCCGTTTCCAACGAAATCCTCAGAGAGGACCAAACATCCACTTGCAGTTTCTACAAAAAGAGTGTTTCAAAGCTGCACTATCAAAGAAAGGTTCAGCACTGTGAGTTGAATGCAAACATCACGAAGAGGGCTCTGAGAATTCTTCTGTTTAGTTCTGTGCGGTTTATCCCGTTTCCAACGAAATCCTCAGAGAGGACCAAATATCCACTTGCAGTTTCTACAAGAAGAGTGTTTCAAAGCTGAACTATCAAAGAAAGGTTCACCACTGTGAGTTGAATGCAAACATCACGAAGAGGGTTCTGAGAATGCTTCTGTCTTCTTTCTATAGGAAGTTATTTCCTTTACTACGGTAGGCCTCAAAGAAGTGCAATTATCCCCTTGCAGTTTCTACAAAAAGAGTGTTTCAAACCTGAACTATCAAAGAAAGGTTCCACACTGTGAGTTGAATGCAGACATCACGAAGAAGGTTCTGAGAATGCTTCTGTTTAGTCAGCTGAAATTATCCCGTTTCCAACGAATTCCTCAGAGAGGTCCAAATATGCACTTGCAGATTCTGCAGAAAGTGTGTTTCTAAACTGCTACATCGCAAGGAATGTTCAGCTCTGTGAGTTCCACTCAATCATCCCAAAGAATTTTCTGAGAAAGCTTCTGTCTAGATGTCGTGTGAAGATATACCCGTTTCGAACGAAGGACACAGAGTGGTCCAAATATCCACTTGTAGATCCTGCAAAAAGAGTGTTTCAAACGTGAACTTTGAAAGGAAAGTTCAACTCTGGGATTTGAATGCAAACATCACAAAGAAGATTCTGAGACTGCTTCTGTATAGTTTTTATGTGAAGATGATTCCGTTTCCAACGAAATCTTCAAAGAGGTCTACATGTCCCCTTGCAGATGCCACAGAAAGAGAGTTTCAAAACTGCGCTCTCAAAAGGAGTGTTCAACTCCGTGAGTTGAATGCAGTCATCACAGAGAAGCTTCTGAGAATGCTTCTATCTAGTATTTAGGTGAAGATATTTCCTTTTCCACCACAAACCACAAAGCCCTCCAAACGTCCACTTGCAGATTCTAGAAAAAGAGTGTTTCATAGCTGCTCTTTCCAAAGGAAAGTTCAACTCTGGGAGTTGAATACAAACATCACCAAAAAGTTCCTGAGAATGCATCTGTCTAGTTTTTCTATGAAGCTATTCCCTTTACTACCACAGGCCTCAAAGCGCTCCAAATCTCCACTTGCACATTCCACAACAAGAGTGTTTCCAAACTGCTCTATCAATAGGAATGTTCAACTCTGTGAGGTGAATGCAATCATCACAAAGCAGTTTCTGAGAATGCTTCCGTTTAGTTAGGTGCAGTTATCCCGTTTCCAACGAAATCCTCAGAGAGGTCCAAATATCCACTTGTAGATTCTACAAAAAGTGTGTCTCAAACCTGCTCCATCCAAAGGAATGGTCAGCTCTGTGATTTAAACTCAATCATCACAAAGTATTTTCTGAGAATGCTTCTGTCTAGATTTTATGCGAAGATATACCCGTTTCGAACGAAGGCCACAGAGTGGTCCAAATAGCCACTTGCAGATCCTACAGAAAGAGTGTTTCAAACCTGAACTATCAAAGGAAGGTTCAACTCTGGGATTTGAATGCAAACATCACCAAGAAGTTTCTGAGAATGCTTCTGTTTAGTTTTTATGTGAAGATATTCCCGTTTCCAAAGACATCTTCGGAGAGGTCCACATATCCACTTGCAGATTCCACAAAAAGAGAGTTTCAACACTGCTCTATCCATAGGAGGGTTCAACTCTGTGAGTTGAATGCAATCATCACAGAGAAGTTTCTGAGAAGGCTTCTCTCCAGTTTTTATGTGACCATAATTCGTTTTCCACCACAGGCCTGAAAGCGCTCCAAATGTCCACTTGCAGACACTACGAAAAGCATGTTTCAGAACTACTCTATGAAAAGCAACGTGAAACTCTGGGAGTTGAACACAAACATCACAGAGAAGTTTCTGAGAATGCTTCTGTTTTAGTTCTGTGCGTTTTATCCCGTTTCCAACGAAATCCTCAGAGAGGCCCAAATATCCACTTGCAGATTCCACAGAAAGAGTGATTGGAAACTGCTGTTTGAAAAGGAACCTTCAACTACTGTGAGTTGAATGCAATCATCACAAAGAAGTTTCTGACAATGCTTCTGTTTTAGTTCTGTGCGGTTTATCCCGTTTCCAACGAAATCCTCAGAGAGGACCAAATATCCACTTGCAGTTTCTACAAAAAGAGTGTTTCAAAGCTGCACTATCAAAGAAAGGTTCAGCACTGTGAGTTGAATGCAAACATCACGAAGAGGGCTCTGAGAATGCTTCTGTTTAGTTCTGTGCGGTTTATCCCGTTTCCAACGAAATCCTCAGAGAGGACCAAATATCCACTTGCAGTTTCTACAAGAAGAGTGTTTCAAAGCTGAACTATCAAAGAAAGGTTCAGCACTGTGAGTTGAATGCAAACATCACGAAGAGGGTTCTGAGAATGCTTCTGTCTTCTTTCTATAGGAAGTTATTTCCTTTACTACGGTAGGCCTCAAAGAAGTGCAATTATCCCCTTGCAGTTTCTACAAAAAGAGTGTTTCAAACCTGAACTATCAAAGAAAGGTTCCACACTGTGAGTTGAATGCAGACATCACGAAGAAGGTTCTGAGAATGCTTCTGTTTAGTCAGCTGAAATTATCCCGTTTCCAACGAATTCCTCAGAGAGGTCCAAATATGCACTTGCAGATTCTGCAGAAAGTGTGTTTCTAAACTGCTACATCGCAAGGAATGTTCAGCTCTGTGAGCTCCACTCAATCATCCCAAAGAATTTTCTGAGAAAGCTTCTGTCTAGATGTCATGTGAAGATATACCCGTTTCGAACGAAGGACACAGAGTGGTCCAAATATCCACTTGTAGATCCTGCAAAAAGAGTGTTTCAAACGTGAACTTTGAAAGGAAAGTTCAACTCTGGGATTTGAATGCAAACATCACAAAGAAGATTCTGAGACTGCTTCTGTATAGTTTTTATGTGAAGATGATTCCGTTTCCTACGAAATCTTCAAAGAGGTCTACATGTCCCCTTGCAGATGCCACAGAAACAGAGTTTCAAAACTGCGCTCTCAAAAGGAGTGTTCAACTCCGTGAGTTGAATGCAGTCATCACAGAGAAGCTTCTGAGAATGCTTCTGTCTAGTATTTAGGTGAAGATATTTCCTTTTCCACCACAAACCACAAAGCCCTCCAAACGTCCACTTGCAGATTCTAGAAAAAGAGTGTTTCATAGCTGCTCTTTCCAAAGGAAAGTTCAACTCTGGGAGTTGAATACAAACATCACCAAAAAGTTCCTGAGAATGCATCTGTCTAGTTTTTCTATGAAGCTATTCCCTTTACTACCATAGGCCCCAAAGCGCTCCAAATCTCCACTTGCACATTCCACAAGAAGAGTGTTTCCAAACTGCTCTATCAATACGAATGTTCAACTCTGTGAGGTGAATGCAATCATCACAAAGCAGTTTCTGAGAATGCTTCCGTTTAGTTAGGTGCAGTTATCCCGTTTCCAACGAAATCCTCAGAGAGGTCCAAATATCCACTTGTAGATTCTACAAAAAGTGTGTCTCAAACCTGCTCCATCCAAAGGAATGGTCAGCTCTGTGATTTAGAACTCAATCATCACAAAGTATTTTCTGAGAATGCTTCTGTCTAGATTTTATGCGAAGATATACCAGTTTCGAACGAAGGCCACAGAGTGGTCCAAATAGCCACTTGCAGATCCTACAAAAAGAGTGTTTCAAACCTGAACTATCAAAGGAAGGTTCAACTCTGGGATTTGAATGCAAACATCACCAAGAAGTTTCTGAGAATGCTTCTGTTTAGTTTTTATGTGAAGATATTCCCGTTTCCAAAGACATCTTCGGAGAGGTCCACATATCCACTTGCAGATTCCACAAAAAGAGAGTTTCAACACTGCTCTATCCATAGGAGGGTTCAACTCTGTGAGTTGAATGCAATCATCACAGAGAAGTTTCTGAGAAGGCTTCTCTCCAGTTTTTATGTGACCATAATTCGTTTTCCACCACAGGCCTGGAGGCGCTCCAAATGTCCACTTGTAGACACTACGAAAAGCATGTTTCAGAACTACTCTATGAAAAGCAATGTGAAACTCTGGGAGTTGAACACAAACATCACAGAGAAGTTTCTGAGAATGCTTCTGTTTAGCTTTTCTGTGAAGATTATCCCGTTTCCAACAAAATCTTCAAAATAGGTCGAAATATCCACTTGCAGATTCCACAGAAAGAGTGATTGGAAACTGCTCTTTGAAAAGGAACCTTCAACTCTGTGAGTTGAATGCAATCATCACAAAGAAGTTTCTGACAATGCTTCTATCTAGCTTTTACGGGAAGATAATTCCTTTTCCACCACAGGCCTCAAAGCCCTCCAAATGTCCACTTGCAGATTCTGGAAAAAGAGTGTTTCAAAGCTTCTCTCTCGAAAGGAAAGTTCAACTCTGTGAGTTGAATGCAAGCATCACAAAGAAGTTTCTGAGAATGCTACTGTCTAGCTTTTATATGAAGCTATTTCCTTTACTACCATAGGCCTCAAAGCGGTCCATATCTCCACTTGCAGATTCTACACAAAGAGAGTTTCCAAACTGCTCTGTCAAAGGGAATGTTCAACTCTGTGACTTGAATGCAATCATCACAAAGTAGTTTCTGAGAATGCTTCTGTTTAGTTCTGTGCGGTTTATCCCGTTTCCAACGAAATCCTCAGAGAGGCCTAAATATCCACTTGCACATTCTACAAATAGTGTGTTTCGAAACTGCTCCATCCAAAGGAATGTTCAGCTCTGTGAGTTAAACTCAGTCGTCACCAAGAGTTTTCTGTGAATGCTTCTGTTTTAGTTCTGTGCGGGTTATCCCGTTTCCAACGAAATCCTCAGAGAGGTCCAAATATCTACTTGCAGTTTCTACAGAAAGACCGTTTGAAACCTGAACTATCAAAGAAAGGTTCAACACTGTGAGTTGAATGCAAACATCACGAAGAAGGTTCTGAGAATGCTTCTGTTTAGTTCTGTGCAGTTTATCCCGTTTCCAACGAAATCCTCAGAGAGGACCAAATATCCACTTGCAGTTTCTACAAAAAGAGTGTTTCAAAGCTGAACTATCAAAGAAAGGTTCAGCACTGTGAGTTGAATGCAAACATCACGAAGAGGGTTCTGAGAATGCTTCTGTCTTCTTTTTATAGGAAGTTATTTCCTTTACTACGGTACTCCTCAAAGAGTGCAATTATCCCCTTGCAGTTTCTACAAAAAGAGTGTTTCAAACCTGAACTATCAAAGAAAGGTTCCACACTGTGAGTTGAATGCAGACATCACGAAGAAGGTTCTGAGAATGCTTCTGTTTAGTCAGCTGAAATTATCCCGTTTCCAACGAATTCCTCACAGAGGTCCAAATATGCACTTGCAGATTCTGCAGAAAGTGTGTTTCTAAACTGCTACATCGCAAGGAATGCTCAGCTCTGTGAGTTCAACTCAATCATCCCAAAGAATTTTCTGAGAAAGCTTCTGTCTAGATGTCATGTGAAGATATACCCGTTTCGAACGAAGGACACAGAGTGGTCCAAATATCCACTTGTAGATCCTGCAAAAAGAGTGTTTCAAACGTGAACTTTGAAAGGAAAGTTCAACTCGGGGATTTGAATGCAAACATCACAAAGAAGATTCTGAGACTGCTTCTGTGTAGTTTTTATGTGAAGATGATTCCGTTTCCAACGAAATCTTCAAAGAGGTCTACATGTCCCCTTGCAGATGCCACAGAAAGAGAGTTTCAAAACTGCGCTCTCAAAAGGAGTGTTCAACTCCGTGAGTTGAATGCAGTCATCACAGAGAAGCTTCTGAGGATGCTTCTATCTAGTATTTAGGTGAAGATATTTCCTTTTCCACCACAAACCACAAAGCCCTCCAAACGTCCACTTGCAGATTCTAGAAAAAGAGTGTTTCATAGCTGCTCTTTCCAAAGGAAAGTTCAACTCTGGGAGTTGAATACAAACATCACCAAAAAGTTCCTGAGAATGCATCTGTCTAGTTTTTCTATGAAGCTATTCCCTTTACTACCATAGGCCTCAAAGCGCTCCAAATCTCCACTTGCACATTCCACAACAAGAGTGTTTCCAAACTGCTCTATCAATAGGAATGTTCAACTCTGTGAGGTGAATGCAATCATCACAAAGCAGTTTCTGAGAATGCTTCCGTTTAGTTAGGTGCAGTTATCCCGTTTCCAACGAAATCCTCAGAGAGGTCCAAATATCCACTTGTAGATTCTACAAAAGGTGTGTCTCAAACCTGCTCCATCCAAAGGAATGTTCAGCTCTGTGAGTTAAACTCAATCATCACAAAGTATTTTCTGAGAATGCTTCTGTCTAGATTTTATGCGAAGATATACCCGTTTCGAACGAAGGCCACAGAGTGGTCCAAATATCCACTTGCAGATCCTACAAAAAGAGTGTTTCAAACCTGAACTATCAAAGGAAGGTTCAACTCTGGGATTTGAATGCAAACATCACCAAGAAGTTTCTGAGAATGCTTCTGTTTAGTTTTTATGTGAAGATATTCCCGTTTCCAAAGACATCTTCGGAGAGGTCCACATATCCACTTGCAGATTCCACAAAAAGAGAGTTTCAACACTGCTCTATCCATAGGAGGGTTCAACTCTGTGAGTTGAATGCAATCATCACAGAGAAGTTTCTGAGAAGGCTTCTCTCCAGTTTTTATGTGACCATAATTCGTTTTCCACCACAGGCCTGAAAGCGCTCCAAATGTCCACTTGTAGACACTACGAAAAGCATGTTTCAGAACTACTCTATGAAAAGCAATGTGAAACTCTGGGAGTTGAACACAAACATCACAGAGAAGTTTCTGAGAATGCTTCTGTTTAGCTTTCCTGTGATGATTCTCCCGTTTCCAACGAAATCTTCAAAATAGGTCCAAATATCCACTTGCAGATTCCACAGAAAGAGTGATTGGAAACTGCTCTTTGAAAAGGAACCTTCAACTCTGTGAGTTGAATGCAATCATCACAAAGAAGTTTCTGACAATGCTTCTATCTAGCTTTTACGGGAAGATAATTCCTTTTCCACCACAGGCCTCAAAGCCCTCCAAATGTCCACTTGCAGATTCTGGAAAAAGAGTGTTTCAAAGCTTCTCTCTCGAAAGGAAAGTTCAACTCTGTGAGTTGAATGCAAGCATCACAAAGAAGTTTCTGAGAATGCTACTGTCTAGCTTTTATATGAAGCTATTTCCTTTACTACCATAGGCCTCAAAGCGGTCCATATCTCCACTTGCAGATTCTACACAAAGAGAGTTTCCAAACTGCTCTGTCAAAGGGAATGTTCAACTCTGTGACTTGAATGCAATCATCACAAAGTAGTTTCTGAGAATGCTTCTGTTTTAGTTCTGTGCGGTTTATCCCGTTTCCAACGAAATCCTCAGAGAGGCCCAAATATCCACTTGCAGATTCTACAAATAGTGTGTTTCGAAACTGCTCCATCCAAAGGAATGTTCAGCTCTGTGAGTTAAACTCAGTCGTCACCAAGAGTTTTCTGTGAATGCTTCTGTTTAGTTCTGTGCGGTTTATCCCGTTTCCAACGAAATCCTCAGAGAGGACCAAATATCCACTTGCAGTTTCTACAAGAAGAGTGTTTCAAAGCTGAACTATCAAAGAAAGGTTCAGCACTGTGAGTTGAATGCAAACATCACGAAGAGGGTTCTGAGAATGCTTCTGTCTTCTTTCTATAGGAAGTTATTTCCTTTACTACGGTAGGCCTCAAAGAAGTGCAATTATCCCCTTGCAGTTTCTACAAAAAGAGTGTTTCAAACCTGAACTATCAAAGAAAGGTTCCACACTGTGAGTTGAATGCAGACATCACGAAGAAGGTTCTGAGAATGCTTCTGTTTAGTCAGCTGAAATTATCCCGTTTCCAACGAATTCCTCAGAGAGGTCCAAATATGCACTTGCAGATTCTGCAGAAAGTGTGTTTCTAAACTGCTACATCGCAAGGAATGTTCAGCTCTGTGAGTTCCACTCAATCATCCCAAAGAATTTTCTGAGAAAGCTTCTGTCTAGATGTCGTGTGAAGATATACCCGTTTCGAACGAAGGACACAGAGTGGTCCAAATATCCACTTGTAGATCCTGCAAAAAGAGTGTTTCAAACGTGAACTTTGAAAGGAAAGTTCAACTCTGGGATTTGAATGCAAACATCACAAAGAAGATTCTGAGACTGCTTCTGTATAGTTTTTATGTGAAGATGATTCCGTTTCCAACGAAATCTTCAAAGAGGTCTACATGTCCCCTTGCAGATGCCACAGAAAGAGAGTTTCAAAACTGCGCTCTCAAAAGGAGTGTTCAACTCCGTGAGTTGAATGCAGTCATCACAGAGAAGCTTCTGAGAATGCTTCTATCTAGTATTTAGGTGAAGATATTTCCTTTTCCACCACAAACCACAAAGCCCTCCAAACGTCCACTTGCAGATTCTAGAAAAAGAGTGTTTCATAGCTGCTCTTTCCAAAGGAAAGTTCAACTCTGGGAGTTGAATACAAACATCACCAAAAAGTTCCTGAGAATGCATCTGTCTAGTTTTTCTATGAAGCTATTCCCTTTACTACCATAGGCCTCAAAGCGCTCCAAATCTCCACTTGCACATTCCACAACAAGAGTGTTTCCAAACTGCTCTATCAATAGGAATGTTCAACTCTGTGAGGTGAATGCAATCATCACAAAGCAGTTTCTGAGAATGCTTCCGTTTAGTTAGGTGCAGTTGTCGCGTTTCCAACGAAATCCTCAGAGAGGTCCAAATATCCACTTGTAGATTCTACAAATGTGTGTCTCAAACCTGCTCCATCCAAAGGAATGTTCAGCTCTGTGAGTTAAACTCAATCATCACAAAGTATTTTCTGAGAATGCTTCTGTCTGGATTTTATGCGAAGATATACCCGTTTCGAACGAAGGCCACAGAGTGGTCCAAATATCCACTTGCAGATCCTACAAAAAGAGTGTTTCAAACCTGAACTATCAAAGGAAGGTTCAACTCTGGGATTTGAATGCAAACATCACCAAGAAGTTTCTGAGAATGCTTCTGTTTAGTTTTTATGTGAAGATATTCCCGTTTCCAAAGACATCTTCGGAGAGGTCCACATATCCACTTGCAGATTCCACAAAAAGAGAGTTTCAACAATGCTCTATCCATAGGAGGGTTCAACTCTGTGAGTTGAATGCAATCATCACAGAGAAGTTTCTGAGAAGGCTTCTCTCCAGTTTTTATGTGACCATAATTCGTTTTCCACCACAGACCTGAAAGCGCTCCAAATGTCCACTTGCAGACACTACGAAAAGCATGTTTCAGAACTACTCTATGAGAAGCAATGTGAAACTCTGGGAGTTGAACACAAACATCACAGAGAAGTTTCTGAGAATGCTTCTGTTTAGCTTTTCTGTGAAGATTCTCCCGTTTCCAACGAAATCTTCAAAGAGGTCCAAATATCCACTTGCAGATTCCACAGAAAGAGTGATTGGAAACTGCTCTTTGAAAAGGAACCTTCAACTCTGTGAGTTGAATGCAATCATCACAAAGAAGTTTCTGACAATGCTTCTGTCTAGCTTTTACGGGAAGATAATTCCTTTTCCACCACAGGCCTCAAAGCCCTCCAAATGTCCACTTGCAGATTCTGGAAAAAGAGTGTTTCAAAGCTTCTCTCTCGAAAGGAAAGTTCAACTCTGTGAGTTGAATGCAAGCATCACAAAGAAGTTTCTGAGAATGCTACTGTCTAGCTTTTATATGAAGCTATTTCCTTTACTACCATAGGCCTCAAAGCGGTCCATATCTCCACTTGCAGATTCTACACAAAGAGAGTTTCCAAACTGCTCTGTCAAAGGGAATGTTCAACTCTGTGACTTGAATGCAATCATCACAAAGTAGTTTCTGAGAATGCTTCTGTTTTTTTTCTGTGCGGTTTATCCCGTTTCCAACGAAATCCTCAGAGAGGCCCACATATCCACTTGCACATTCTACAAATAGTGTGTTTTGAAACTGCTCCATCCAAAGGAATGTTCAGCTCTGTGAGTTAAACTCAGTCGTCACCAAGAGTTTTCTGTGAATGCTTCTGTTTAGTTCTGTGCGTTTTATCCCTTTTCCAACGAAATCCTCAGAGAGGACCAAATATCCATTTGCAGTTTCTACAAAAAGAGTGTTTCAAAGCTGAACTATCAAAGAAAGGTTCAGCACTGTGAGTTGAATGCAAACATCACGAAGAGGGTTCTGAGAATGCTTCTGTCTTCTTTCTATAGGAAGTTATTTCCTTTACTACGGTAGGCCTCAAAGAAGTGCAATTATCCCCTTGCAGTTTCTACAAAAAGAGTGTTTCAAACCTGAACTATCAAAGAAAGGTTCCACACTGTGAGTTGAATGCAGACATCACGAAGAAGGTTCTGAGAATGCTTCTGTTTAGTCAGCTGAAATTATCCCGTTTCTAATGAATTCCTCAGAGAGGTCCACATATGCACTTGCAGATTCTGCAGAAAGTGTGTTTCTAAACTGCTACATCGCAAGGAGTGTTCAGTTCTGTTTCCTCAACTCAATCATCCCAAAGAATTTTCTGAGAAAGCTTCTGTCTAGATGTCATGTGAAGATATACCCGTTTCGAACGAAGGACACAGAGTGGTCCAAATATCCACTTGTAGATCCTGCAAAAAGAGTGTTTCAAACGTGAACTTTGAAAGGAAAGTTCAACTCTGGGATTTGAATGCAAACATCACAAAGAAGATTCTGAGACTGCTTCTGTATAGTTTTGATGTGAAGATGATTCCGTTACCAACGAAATCTTCAAAGAGGTCTACATGTCCCCTTGCAGATGCCACAGAAAGAGAGTTTCAAAACTGCGCTCTCAAAAGGAGTGTTCAACTCCGTGAGTTGAATGCAGTCATCACAGAGAAGCTTCTGAGAATGCTTCTCTCTACTATTTAGGTGAAGATATTTCCTTTTCCACCACAAACCACAAAGCCCTCCAAACGTCCACTTGCAGATTCTAGAAAAAGAGTGTTTCACAGCTGCTCTTTCCAAAGGAAAGTTCAAATCTGGGAGTTGAATACAAACATCACCAAAAAGTTCCTGAGAATGCATCTGTCTAGTTTTTCTATGAAGCTATTCCCTTTACTACCATAGGCCTCAAAGCGCTCCAAATCTCCACTTGCACATTCCACAACAAGAGTGTTTCCAAACTGCTCTATCAATAGGAATGTTCAACTCTGTGAGGTGAATGCAATCATCACAAAGCAGTTTCTGAGAATGCTTCCGTTTAGTTAGGTGCAGTTATCCCGTTTCCAACGAAATCCTCAGAGAGGTCCAAATATCCACTTGTAGATTCTACAAAAAGTGTGTCTCAAACCTGCTCCATCCAAAGGAATGTTCAGCTCTGTGAGTTCAACTCAATCATCACAAAGTATTTTCTGAGAATGCTTCTGTCTAGATTTTATGCGAAGATGTACCCGTTTCGAACGAAGGCCACAGAGTGGTCCAAATATCCACTTGCAGATCCTACAAAAAGAGTGTTTCAAACCTCAACTCTCAAAGGAAGGTTCAACTCTGGGATTTGAATGCAAACATCACCAAGAAGTTTCTGAGAATGCTTCTGTTTAGTTTTTATGTGAAGATATTCCCGTTTCCAAAGACATCTTCAGAGAGGTCCACATATCCGCTTGCAGATTCCACGAAAAGAGAGTTTCAACACTGCTCTATCCATAGGAGGGTTCAACTCTGTGAGTTGAATGTAATCATCACAGAGAAGTTTCTGAGAAGGCTTCTCTCCAGTTTTTATGTGACCATAATTCGTTTTCCACCACAGGCCTGAAGGCGCTCCAAATGTCCACTTGTAGACACTACGAAAAGCATGTTTCAGAACTACTCTATGAAAAGCAATGTGAAACTCCTGGGAGTTGAACACAAACATCACAGAGAAGTTTCTGAGAATGCTTCTGTTTAGCTTTCCTGTGAAGATTCTCCCGTTTCCAACGAAATCTTCAAAATAGGTCCAAATATCCACTTGCAGATTCCACAGAAAGAGTGATTGGAAACTGCTCTTTGAAAAGGAACCTTCAACTACTGTGAGTTGAATGCAATCATCACAAAGAAGTTTCTGACAATGCTTCTATCTAGCTTTTACGGGAAGATAATTCCTTTTCCACCACAGGCCTCAAAGCCCTCCAAATGTCCACTTGCAGATTCTGGAAAAAGAGTGTTTCAAAGCTTCTCTCTCGAAAGGAAAGTTCAACTCTGTGAGTTGAATGCAAGCATCACAAAGAAGTTTCTGAGAATGCTACTGTCTAGCTTTTATATGAAGCTATTTCCTTTACTACCATAGGCCTCAAAGCGGTCCATATCTCCACTTGCAGATTCTACACAAAGAGAGTTTCCAAACTGCTCTGTCAAAGGGAATGTTCAACTCTGTGACTTGAATGCAATCATCACAAAGTAGTTTCTGAGAATGCTTCTGTTTAGTTCTGTGCGGTTTATCCCGTTTCCAACGAAATCCTCAGAGAGGCCTAAATATCCACTTGCACATTCTACAAATAGTGTGTTTCGAAACTGCTCCATCCAAAGGAATGTTCAGCTCTGTGAGTTAAACTCAGTCGTCACCAAGAGTTTTCTGTGAATGCTTCTGTTTTAGTTCTGTGCGGGTTATCCCGTTTCCAACGAAATCCTCAGAGAGGTCCAAATATCTACTTGCAGTTTCTACAGAAAGACCGTTTCAAACCTGAACTATCAAAGAAAGGTTCAACACTGTGAGTTGAATGCAAACATCACGAAGAAGGTTCTGAGAATGCTTCTGTTTAGTTCTGTGCAGTTTATCCCGTTTCCAACGAAATCCTCAGAGAGGACCAAATATCCACTTGCAGTTTCTACAAAAAGAGTGTTTCAAAGCTGAACTATCAAAGAAAGTTTCAGCACTGTGAGTTGAATGCAAACATCACGAAGAGGGTTCTGAGAATGCTTCTGTCTTCTTTTTATAGGAAGTTATTTCCTTTACTACGGTACTCCTCAAAGAGTGCAATTATCCCCTTGCAGTTTCTACAAAAAGAGTGTTTCAAACCTGAACTATCAAAGAAAGGTTCCACACTGTGAGTTGAATGCAGACATCACGAAGAAGGTTCTGAGAATGCTTCTGTTTAGTCAGCTGAAATTATCCCGTTTCCAACGAATTCCTCACAGAGGTCCAAATATGCACTTGCAGATTCTGCAGAAAGTGTGTTTCTAAACTGCTACATCGCAAGGAATGCTCAGCTCTGTGAGTTCAACTCAATCATCCCAAAGAATTTTCTGAGAAAGCTTCTGTCTAGATGTCATGTGAAGATATACCCGTTTCGAACGAAGGACACAGAGTGGTCCAAATATCCACTTGTAGATCCTGCAAAAAGAGTGTTTCAAACGTGAACTTTGAAAGGAAAGTTCAACTCGGGGATTTGAATGCAAACATCACAAAGAAGATTCTGAGACTGCTTCTGTATAGTTTTTATGTGAAGATGATTCCGTTTCCAACGAAATCTTCAAAGAGGTCTACATGTCCCCTTGCAGATGCCACAGAAAGAGAGTTTCAAAACTACGCTCTCAAAAGGAGTGTTCAACTCCGTGAGTTGAATGCAGTCATCACAGAGAAGCTTCTGAGAATGCTTCTATCTAGTATTTAGGTGAAGATATTTCCTTTTCCACCACAAACCACAAAGCCCTCCAAACGTCCACTTGCAGATTCTAGAAAAAGAGTGTTTCATAGCTGCTCTTTCCAAAGGAAAGTTCAACTCTGGGAGTTGAATACAAACATCACCAAAAAGTTCCTGAGAATGCATCTGTCTAGTTTTTCTATGAAGCTATTCCCTTTACTACCACAGGCCTCAAAGCGCTCCAAATCTCCACTTGCACATTCCACAACAAGAGTGTTTCCAAACTGCTCTATCAATAGGAATGTTCAACTCTGTGAGGTGAATGCAATCATCACAAAGCAGTTTCTGAGAATGCTTCCGTTTAGTTAGGTGCAGTTATCCCGTTTCCAACGAAATCCTCAGAGAGGTCCAAATATCCACTTGTAGATTCTACAAAAAGTGTGTCTCAAACCTGCTCCATCCAAAGGAATGGTCAGCTCTGTGATTTAAACTCAATCATCACAAAGTATTTTCTGAGAATGCTTCTGTCTAGATTTTATGCGAAGATATACCCGTTTCGAACGAAGGCCACAGAGTGGTCCAAATAGCCACTTGCAGATCCTACAGAAAGAGTGTTTCAAACCTGAACTATCAAAGGAAGGTTCAACTCTGGGATTTGAATGCAAACATCACCAAGAAGTTTCTGAGAATGCTTCTGTTTAGTTTTTATGTGAAGATATTCCCGTTTCCAAAGACATCTTCGGAGAGGTCCACATATCCACTTGCAGATTCCACAAAAAGAGAGTTTCAACACTGCTCTATCCATAGGAGGGTTCAACTCTGTGAGTTGAATGCAATCATCACAGAGAAGTTTCTGAGAAGGCTTCTCTCCAGTTTTTATGTGACCATAATTCGTTTTCCACCACAGGCCTGAAAGCGCTCCAAATGTCCACTTGCAGACACTACGAAAAGCATGTTTCAGAACTACTCTATGAAAAGCAACGTGAAACTCTGGGAGTTGAACACAAACATCACAGAGAAGTTTCTGAGAATGCTTCTGTTTTAGTTCTGTGCGTTTTATCCCGTTTCCAACGAAATCCTCAGAGAGGCCCAAATATCCACTTGCAGATTCCACAGAAAGAGTGATTGGAAACTGCTGTTTGAAAAGGAACCTTCAACTCTGTGAGTTGAATGCAATCATCACAAAGAAGTTTCTGACAATGCTTCTGTTTTAGTTCTGTGCGGTTTATCCCGTTTCCAACGAAATCCTCAGAGAGGACCAAACATCCACTTGCAGTTTCTACAAAAAGAGTGTTTCAAAGCTGCACTATCAAAGAAAGGTTCAGCACTGTGAGTTGAATGCAAACATCACGAAGAGGGCTCTGAGAATTCTTCTGTTTAGTTCTGTGCGGTTTATCCCGTTTCCAACGAAATCCTCAGAGAGGACCAAATATCCACTTGCAGTTTCTACAAGAAGAGTGTTTCAAAGCTGAACTATCAAAGAAAGGTTCAGCACTGTGAGTTGAATGCAAACATCACGAAGAGGGTTCTGAGAATGCTTCTGTCTTCTTTCTATAGGAAGTTATTTCCTTTACTACGGTAGGCCTCAAAGAAGTGCAATTATCCCCTTGCAGTTTCTACAAAAAGAGTGTTTCAAACCTGAACTATCAAAGAAAGGTTCCACACTGTGAGTTGAATGCAGACATCACGAAGAAGGTTCTGAGAATGCTTCTGTTTAGTCAGCTGAAATTATCCCGTTTCCAACGAATTCCTCAGAGAGGTCCAAATATGCACTTGCAGATTCTGCAGAAAGTGTGTTTCTAAACTGCTACATCGCAAGGAATGTTCAGCTCTGTGAGTTCCACTCAATCATCCCAAAGAATTTTCTGAGAAAGCTTCTGTCTAGATGTCGTGTGAAGATATACCCGTTTCGAACGAAGGACACAGAGTGGTCCAAATATCCACTTGTAGATCCTGCAAAAAGAGTGTTTCAAACGTGAACTTTGAAAGGAAAGTTCAACTCTGGGATTTGAATGCAAACATCACAAAGAAGATTCTGAGACTGCTTCTGTATAGTTTTTATGTGACGATGATTCCGTTTCCAACGAAATCTTCAAAGAGGTCTACATGTCCCCTTGCAGATGCCACAGAAAGAGAGTTTCAAAACTGCGCTCTCAAAAGGAGTGTTCAACTCCGTGAGTTGAATGCAGTCATCACAGAGAAGCTTCTGAGAATGCTTCTATCTAGTATTTAGGTGAAGATATTTCCTTTTCCACCACAAACCACAAAGCCCTCCAAACGTCCACTTGCAGATTCTAGAAAAAGAGTGTTTCATAGCTGCTCTTTCCAAAGGAAAGTTCAACTCTGGGAGTTGAATACAAACATCACCAAAAAGTTCCTGAGAATGCATCTGTCTAGTTTTTCTATGAAGCTATTCCCTTTACTACCACAGGCCTCAAAGCGCTCCAAATCTCCACTTGCACATTCCACAACAAGAGTGTTTCCAAACTGCTCTATCAATAGGAATGTTCAACTCTGTGAGGTGAATGCAATCATCACAAAGCAGTTTCTGAGAATGCTTCCGTTTAGTTAGGTGCAGTTATCCCGTTTCCAACGAAATCCTCAGAGAGGTCCAAATATCCACTTGTAGATTCTACAAAAAGTGTGTCTCAAACCTGCTCCATCCAAAGGAATGGTCAGCTCTGTGATTTAAACTCAATCATCACAAAGTATTTTCTGAGAATGCTTCTGTCTAGATTTTATGCGAAGATATACCCGTTTCGAACGAAGGCCACAGAGTGGTCCAAATAGCCACTTGCAGATCCTACAGAAAGAGTGTTTCAAACCTGAACTATCAAAGGAAGGTTCAACTCTGGGATTTGAATGCAAACATCACCAAGAAGTTTCTGAGAATGCTTCTGTTTAGTTTTTATGTGAAGATATTCCCGTTTCCAAAGACATCTTCGGAGAGGTCCACATATCCACTTGCAGGTTCCACAAAAAGAGAGTTTCAACACTGCTCTATCCATAGGAGGGTTCAACTCTGTGAGTTGAATGCAATCATCACAGAGAAGTTTCTGAGAAGGCTTCTCTCCAGTTTTTATGTGACCATAATTCGTTTTCCACCACAGGCCTGAAAGCGCTCCAAATGTCCACTTGCAGACACTACGAAAAGCATGTTTCAGAACTACTCTATGAAAAGCAACGTGAAACTCTGGGAGTTGAACACAAACATCACAGAGAAGTTTCTGAGAATGCTTCTGTTTTAGTTCTGTGCGTTTTATCCCGTTTCCAACGAAATCCTCAGAGAGGCCCAAATATCCACTTGCAGATTCCACAGAAAGAGTGATTGGAAACTGCTGTTTGAAAAGGAACCTTCAACTCTGTGAGTTGAATGCAATCATCACAAAGAAGTTTCTGACAATGCTTCTGTTTTAGTTCTGTGCGGTTTATCCCGTTTCCAACGAAATCCTCAGAGAGGACCAAACATCCACTTGCAGTTTCTACAAAAAGAGTGTTTCAAAGCTGCACTATCAAAGAAAGGTTCAGCACTGTGAGTTGAATGCAAACATCACGAAGAGGGCTCTGAGAATTCTTCTGTTTAGTTCTGTGCGGTTTATCCCGTTTCCAACGAAATCCTCAGAGAGGACCAAATATCCACTTGCAGTTTCTACAAGAAGAGTGTTTCAAAGCTGAACTATCAAAGAAAGGTTCAGCACTGTGAGTTGAATGCAAACATCACGAAGAGGGTTCTGAGAATGCTTCTGTCTTCTTTCTATAGGAAGTTATTTCCTTTACTACGGTAGGCCTCAAAGAAGTGCAATTATCCCCTTGCAGTTTCTACAAAAAGAGTGTTTCAAACCTGAACTATCAAAGAAAGGTTCCACACTGTGAGTTGAATGCAGACATCACGAAGAAGGTTCTGAGAATGCTTCTGTTTAGTCAGCTGAAATTATCCCGTTTCCAACGAATTCCTCAGAGAGGTCCAAATATGCACTTGCAGATTCTGCAGAAAGTGTGTTTCTAAACTGCTACATCGCAAGGAATGTTCAGCTCTGTGAGTTCCACTCAATCATCCCAAAGAATTTTCTGAGAAAGCTTCTGTCTAGATGTCGTGTGAAGATATACCCGTTTCGAACGAAGGACACAGAGTGGTCCAAATATCCACTTGTAGATCCTGCAAAAAGAGTGTTTCAAACGTGAACTTTGAAAGGAAAGTTCAACTCTGGGATTTGAATGCAAACATCACAAAGAAGATTCTGAGACTGCTTCTGTATAGTTTTTATGTGAAGATGATTCCGTTTCCAACGAAATCTTCAAAGAGGTCTACATGTCCCCTTGCAGATGCCACAGAAAGAGAGTTTCAAAACTGCGCTCTCAAAAGGAGTGTTCAACTCCGTGAGTTGAATGCAGTCATCACAGAGAAGCTTCTGAGAATGCTTCTATCTAGTATTTAGGTGAAGATATTTCCTTTTCCACCACAAACCACAAAGCCCTCCAAACGTCCACTTGCAGATTCTAGAAAAAGAGTGTTTCATAGCTGCTCTTTCCAAAGGAAAGTTCAACTCTGGGAGTTGAATACAAACATCACCAAAAAGTTCCTGAGAATGCATCTGTCTAGTTTTTCTATGAAGCTATTCCCTTTACTACCATAGGCCTCAAAGCACTCCAAATCTCCACTTGCACATTCCACAACAAGAGTGTTTCCAAACTGCTCTATCAATAGGAATGTTCAACTCTGTGAGGTGAATGCAATCATCACAAAGCAGTTTCTGAGAATGCTTCCGTTTAGTTAGGTGCAGTTATCCCGTTTCCAACGAAATCCTCAGAGAGGTGCAAATATCCACTTGTAGATTCTACAAAAAGTGTGTCTCAAACCTGCTCCATCCAAAGGAATGTTCAGCTCTGTGAGTTAAACTCAATCATCACAAAGTATTTTCTGAGAATGCTTCTGTCTAGATTTTATGCGAAGATATACCCGTTTCGAACGAAGGCCACAGAGTGGTCCAAATAGCCACTTGCAGATCCTACAAAAAGAGTGTTTCAAACCTGAACTATCAAAGGAAGGTTCAACTCTGGGATTTGAATGCAAACATCACCAAGAAGTTTCTGAGAATGCTTCTGTTTAGTTTTTATGTGAAGATATTCCCGTTTCCAAAGACATCTTCGGAGAGGTCCACATATCCACTTGCAGATTCCACAAAAAGAGAGTTTCAACACTGCTCTATCCATAGGAGGGTTCAACTCTGTGAGTTGAATGCAATCATCACAGAGAAGTTTCTGAGAAGGCTTCTCTCCAGTTTTTATGTGACCATAATTCGTTTTCCACCACAGGCCTGAAAGCGCTCCAAATGTCCACTTGCAGACACTACGAAAAGCATGTTTCAGAACTACTCTATGAAAAGCAACGTGAAACTCTGGGAGTTGAACACAAACATCACAGAGAAGTTTCTGAGAATGCTTCTGTTTTAGTTCTGTGCGTTTTATCCCGTTTCCAACGAAATCCTCAGAGAGGCCCAAATATCCACTTGCAGATTCCACAGAAAGAGTGATTGGAAACTGCTGTTTGAAAAGGAACCTTCAACTCTGTGAGTTGAATGCAATCATCACAAAGAAGTTTCTGACAATGCTTCTGTTTTAGTTCTGTGCGGTTTATCCCGTTTCCAACGAAATCCTCAGAGAGGACCAAACATCCACTTGCAGTTTCTACAAAAAGAGTGTTTCAAAGCTGCACTATCAAAGAAAGGTTCAGCACTGTGAGTTGAATGCAAACATCACGAAGAGGGCTCTGAGAATTCTTCTGTTTAGTTCTGTGCGGTTTATCCCGTTTCCAACGAAATCCTCAGAGAGGACCAAATATCCACTTGCAGTTTCTACAAGAAGAGTGTTTCAAAGCTGAACTATCAAAGAAAGGTTCAGCACTGTGAGTTGAATGCAAACATCACGAAGAGGGTTCTGAGAATGCTTCTGTCTTCTTTCTATAGGAAGTTATTTCCTTTACTACGGTAGGCCTCAAAGAAGTGCAATTATCCCCTTGCAGTTTCTACAAAAAGAGTGTTTCAAACCTGAACTATCAAAGAAAGGTTCCACACTGTGAGTTGAATGCAGACATCACGAAGAAGGTTCTGAGAATGCTTCTGTTTAGTCAGCTGAAATTATCCCGTTTCCAACGAATTCCTCAGAGAGGTCCAAATATGCACTTGCAGATTCTGCAGAAAGTGTGTTTCTAAACTGCTACATCGCAAGGAATGTTCAGCTCTGTGAGTTCCACTCAATCATCCCAAAGAATTTTCTGAGAAAGCTTCTGTCTAGATGTCGTGTGAAGATATACCCGTTTCGAACGAAGGACACAGAGTGGTCCAAATATCCACTTGTAGATCCTGCAAAAAGAGTGTTTCAAACGTGAACTTTGAAAGGAAAGTTCAACTCTGGGATTTGAATGCAAACATCACAAAGAAGATTCTGAGACTGCTTCTGTATAGTTTTTATGTGAAGATGATTCCGTTTCCAACGAAATCTTCAAAGAGGTCTACATGTCCCCTTGCAGATGCCACAGAAAGAGAGTTTCAAAACTGCGCTCTCAAAGGGAGTGTTCAACTCCGTGAGTTGAATGCAGTCATCACAGAGAAGCTTCTGAGAATGCTTCTATCTAGTATTTAGGTGAAGATATTTCCTTTTCCACCACAAACCACAAAGCCCTCCAAACGTCCACTTGCAGATTCTAGAAAAAGAGTGTTTCATAGCTGCTCTTTCCAAAGGAAAGTTCAACTCTGGGAGTTGAATACAAACATCACCAAAAGGTTCCTGAGAATGCATCTGTCTAGTTTTTCTATGAAGCTATTCCCTTTACTACCATAGGCCTCAAAGCGCTCCAAATCTCCACTTGCACATTCCACAACAAGAGTGTTTCCAAACTGCTCTATCAATAGGAATGTTCAACTCTGTGAGGTGAATGCAATCATCACAAAGCAGTTTCTGAGAATGCTTCCGTTTAGTTAGGTGCAGTTATCCCGTTTCCAACGAAATCCTCAGAGAGGTCCAAATATCCACTTGTAGATTCTACAAAAAGTGTGTCTCAAACCTGCTCCATCCAAAGGAATGTTCAGCTCTGTGATTTCAACTCAATCATCACAAAGTATTTTCTGAGAATGCTTCTGTCTAGATTTTATGTGAAGATGTACCGTTTCGAACGAAGGCCACAGAGTGGTCCAAATATCCACTTGCAGATCCTACAAAAAGAGTGTTTCAAACCTGAACTATCACAGGAAGGTTCAACTCTGGGATTTGAATGCAAACATCACCAAGAAGTTTCTGAGAATGCTTCTGTTTAGTTTTTATGTGAAGATATTCCCGTTTCCAAAGACATCTTCGGAGAGGTCCACATATCCACTTGCAGATTCCACAAAAAGAGAGTTTCAACAATGCTCTATCCATAGGAGGGTTCAAATCTGTGAGTTGAATGCAATCATCACAGAGAAGTTTCTGAGAAGGCTTCTCTCCAGTTTTTATGGGACCATAATTCGTTTTGCACCACAGGCCTGAAAGCGCTCCAAATGTCCACTTGCAGACACTACGAAAAGCATGTTTCAGAACTACTCTATGAAAAGCAATGTGAAACTCTGGGAGTTGAACACAAACATCACAGAGAAGTTTCTGAGAATGCTTCTGTTTAGCTTTTCTGTGAAGATTCTCCCGTTTCCAACGAAATCTTCAAAGAGGTCCAAATATCCACTTGCAGATTCCACAGAAAGAGTGTTTGGAAACTGCTGTTTGTAAAGGAACCTTCATCTCTGTGAGTTGAATGCAATCATCACAAAGAAGTTTCTGACAATGCTTCTATCTAGCTTTTACGGGAAGTTAATTCCTTTTCCACCACAGGCCTCAAAGCCCTCCAAATGTCCACTTGCAGATTCTGGAAAAAGAGTGTTTCAAAGCTTCTCTCTCGAAAGGAAAGTTCAACTCTGTGAGTTGAATGCAAGCATCACAAAGAAGTTTCTGAGAATGCTACTGTCTAGCTTTTATATGAAGCTATTTCCTTTACTACCATAGGCCTCAAAGCGGTCCATATCTCCACTTGGAGATTCTACACAAAGAGAGTTTCCAAACTGCTCTGTCAAAGGGAATGTTCAACTCTGTGACTTGAATGCAATCATCACAAAGTAGTTTCTGAGAATGCTTCTGTTTAGTTCTGTGCGGTTTATCCCGTTTCCAACGAAATCCTCAGAGAGGCCCAAATATCCACTTGCACATTCTACAAATAGTGTGTTTCGAAACTGCTCCATCCAAAGGAATGTTCAGCTCTGTGAGTTAAACTCAGTCGTCACCAAGAGTTTTCTGTGAATGCTTCTGTTTTAGTTCTGTGCGGTTTATCCCGTTTCCAACGAAATCCTCAGAGAGGTCCAAATATCTACTTGCAGTTACTACAGAAAGACCGCTTCCAACCTGAACTATCAAAGAAAGGTTCAACACTGTGAGTTGAATGCAAACATCACGAAGAAGGTTCTGAGAATGCTTCTGTTTAGTTCTGTGCGGTTTATCCCGTTTCCAACGAAATCCTCAGAGAGGACCAAATATCCACTTGCAGTTTCTACAAGAAGAGTGTTTCAAAGCTGAACTATCAAAGAAAGGTTCAGCACTGTGAGTTGAATGCAAACATCACGAAGAGGGTTCTGAGAATGCTTCTGTCTTCTTTCTATAGGAAGTTATTTCCTTTACTACGGTAGGCCTCAAAGAAGTGCAATTATCCCCTTGCAGTTTCTACAAAAAGAGTGTTTCAAACCTGAACTATCAAAGAAAGGTTCCACACTGTGAGTTGAATGCAGACACCACGAAGAAGGTTCTGAGAATGCTTCTGTTTAGTCAGCTGAAATTATCCCGTTTCCAACGAATTCCTCAGAGAGGTCCAAATATGCACTTGCAGATTCTGCAGAAAGTGTGTTTCTAAACTGCTACATCGCAAGGAATGTTCAGCTCTGTGAGTTCCACTCAATCATCCCAAAGAATTTTCTGAGAAAGCTTCTGTCTAGATGTCGTGTGAAGATATACCCGTTTCGAACGAAGGACACAGAGTGGTCCAAATATCCACTTGTAGATCCTGCAAAAAGAGTGTTTCAAACGTGAACTTTGAAAGGAAAGTTCAACTCTGGGATTTGAATGCAAACATCACAAAGAAGATTCTGAGACTGCTTCTGTATAGTTTTTATGTGAAGATGATTCCGTTTCCAACGAAATCTTCAAAGAGGTCTACATGTCCCCTTGCAGATGCCACAGAAAGAGAGTTTCAAAACTGCGCTCTCAAAAGGAGTGTTCAACTCCGTGAGTTGAATGCAGTCATCACAGAGAAGCTTCTGAGAATGCTTCTATCTAGTATTTAGGTGAAGATATTTCCTTTTCCACCACAAACCACAAAGCCCTCCAAACGTCCACTTGCAGATTCTAGAAAAAGAGTGTTTCATAGCTGCTCTTTCCAAAGGAAAGTTCAACTCCGGGAGTTGAATACAAACATCACCAAAAAGTTCCTGACAATGCATCTGTCTAGTTTTTCTATGAAGCTATTCCCTTTACTACCATAGGCCTCAAAGCGCTCCGAATCTCCACTTGCACATTCCACAACAAGAGTGTTTCCAAACTGCTCTATCAATAGGAATGTTCAACTCTGTGAGGTGAATGCAATCATCACAAAGCAGTTTCTGAGAATGCTTCCGTTTAGTTAGGTGCAGTTATCCCGTTTCCAACGAAATCCTCAGAGAGGTCCAAATATCCACGTGTAGATTCTACAAAAAGTGTGTCTCAAACCTGCTCCATCCAAAGGAATGTTCAGCTCTGTGAGTTCAACTCAATCATCACAAAGTATTTTCTGAGAATGCTTCTGTCTAGATTTTATGCGAAGATGTACCCGTTTCGAACGAAGGCCACAGAGTGGTCCAAATATCCACTTGCAGATCCTACAAAAAGAGTGTTTCAAACCTGAACTATCAAAGGGAAGGTTCAACTCTGGGATTTGAATGCAAACATCACCAAGATGTTTCTGAGAATGCTTCTGTTTAGTTTTTATGTGAAGATATTCCCGTTTCCAAAGACATCTTCGGAGACGTCCACATATCCACTTGCAGATTCCACAAAAAGAGAGTTTCAACACTGCTCTATCCATAGGAGGGTTCAACTCTGTGAGTTGAATGCAATCATCACAGAGAAGTTTCTGAGAAGGCTTCTCTCCAGTTTTTATGTGACCATAATTCGTTTTCCACCACAGGCCTGAAAGCGCTCCAAATGACCACTTGCAGACACTACGAAAAGCATGTTTCAGAACTACTCTATGAGAAGCAATGTGAAACTCTGGGAGTTGAACACAAACATCACAGAGAAGTTTCTGAGAATGCTTCTGTTTAGCGTTTCTGTGAAGATTCTCCCGTTTCCAACGAAATCTTCAAAGAGGTCCAAATATCCACTTGCAGATTCCACAGAAAGAGTGTTTGGAAACTGCTGTTTGGAAAGGAACCTTCAACTCTGTGAGTTGAATGCAATCATCACAAAGAAGTTTCTGACAATGCTTCTATCTAGTTTTTACGGGAAGTTAATTCCTTTTCCACCACAGGCCTCAAAGCCCTCCAAATATCCACTTGCAGATTCTAGAGAAAGAGTGTTTCAAAGCTTCTCTCTCAAAAGGAAAGTTCAACTCTGTGAGTAGAATGCAAACATCACAAAGAAGTTTCTGACAATGCTACTGTCTAGTTTTTATATGAAGCTATTTCCTTTACTACCATAGGCCTCAAAGCGGTCCATATCTCCACTTGCAGATTCTACACAACCAGAGTTTCCAAAGTGTTCTGTCAAAGGGAATGTTCAACTCTGTGACTTGAATGCAATCATCACCAAGTAGTTTCTGAGAATGCTTCTGTTTTAGTTCTGTGCGGTTTATCCCGTTTCCAAAGAAATCCTCAGAGAGGCCCACATATCCACTTGCAGATTCTACAAATAGTGTGTTTCGAAACTGCTCCATCCAAAGGAATGTTCAGCTCTGTGAGTTAAACTCAGTCGTCACCAAGAGTTTTCTGTGAATGCTTCTGTTTTAGTTCTGTGCGGTTTATCCCGTTTCCAACGAAATCCTCAGAGAGGTCCAAATATCTACTTGCAGTTTCTACAGAAAGACCGTTTCCAACCTGAACTATCAAAGAAAGGTTCAACACTGTGTGTTGAATGCAAACATCACGAAGAAGGTTCTGAGAATGCTTCTGTTTAGTTCTGTGCGGTTTATCCCGTTTACAAAGAAATCCTCAGAGAGGACCAAATATCCACTTGCAGTTTCTACAAGAAGAGTGTTTCAAAGCTGAACTATCAAAGAAAGGTTCAGCACTGTGAGTTGAATGCAAACATCACGAAGAGGGTTCTGAGAATGCTTCTGTCTTCTTTCTATAGGAAGTTATTTCCTTTACTACGGTAGGCCTCAAAGAAGTGCAATTATCCCCTTGCAGTTTCTACAAAAAGAGTGTTTCAAACCTCAACTACCAAAGAAAGGTTCCACACTGTGAGTTGAATGCAGACATCACGAAGAAGGTTCTGAGAATGCTTCTGTTTAGTCAGCTGAAATTATCCCGTTTCCAACGAATTCCTCAGAGAGGTCCAAATATGCACTTGCAGATTCTGCAGAAAGTGTGTTTCTAAACTGCTACATCGCAAGGAATGTTCAGCTCTGTGAGTTCCACTCAATCATCCCAAAGAATTTTCTGAGAAAGCTTCTGTCTAGATGTCATGTGAAGATATACCCGTTTCGAACGAAGGACACAGAGTGGTCCAAATATCCACTTGTAGATCCAGCAAAAAGAGTGTTTCAAACGTGAACTTTGAAAGGAAAGTTCAACTCTGGGATTTGAATGCAAACATCACAAAGAAGATTCTGAGACTGCTTCTGTATAGTTTTTATGTGAAGATGATTCCGTTTCCAACGAAATCTTCAAAGAGGTCTACATGTCCCCTTGCAGATGCCACAGAAAGAGAGTTTAAAAACTGCGCTCTCAAAAGGAGTGTTCAACTCCGTGAGTTGAATGCAGTCATCACAGAGAAGCTTCTGAGAATGCTTCTATCTAGTATTTAGGTGAAGATATTTCCTTTTCCACCACAAACCACAAAGCCCTCCAAACGTCCACTTGCAGATTCTAGAAAAAGAGTGTTTCATAGCTGCTCTTTCCAAAGGAAAGTTCAACTCTGGGAGTTGAATACAAACATCACCAAAAAGTTCCTGAGAATGCATCTGTCTAGTTTTTCTATGAAGCTATTCCCTTTACTACCACAGGCCTCAAAGCGCTCCAAATCTCCACTTGCACATTCCACAACAAGAGTGTTTCCAAACTGCTCTATCAATAGGAATGTTCAACTCTGTGAGGTGAATGCAATCATCACAAAGCAGTTTCTGAGAATGCTGCTTCCGTTTAGTTAGGTGCAGTTATCCCGTTTCCAACGAAATCCTCAGAGAGGTCCAAATATCCACTTGTAGATTCTACAAAAAGTGTGTCTCAAACCTGCTCCATCCAAAGGAATGGTCAGCTCTGTGATTTAAACTCAATCATCACAAAGTATTTTCTGAGAATGCTTCTGTCTAGATTTTATGCGAAGATATACCCGTTTCGAACGAAGGCCACAGAGTGGTCCAAATAGCCACTTGCAGATCCTACAGAAAGAGTGTTTCAAACCTGAACTATCAAAGGAAGGTTCAACTGCTGGGATTTGAATGCAAACATCACCAAGAAGTTTCTGAGAATGCTTCTGTTTAGTTTTTATGTGAAGATATTCCCGTTTCCAAAGACATCTTCGGAGAGGTCCACATATCCACTTGCAGATTCCACAAAAAGAGAGTTTCAACACTGCTCTATCCATAGGAGGGTTCAACTCTGTGAGTTGAATGCAATCATCACAGAGAAGTTTCTGAGAAGGCTTCTCTCCAGTTTTTATGTGACCATAATTCGTTTTCCACCACAGGCCTGAAAGCGCTCCAAATGTCCACTTGCAGACACTACGAAAAGCATGTTTCAGAACTACTCTATGAAAAGCAACGTGAAACTCTGGGAGTTGAACACAAACATCACAGAGAAGTTTCTGAGAATGCTTCTGTTTAGCTTTTCTGTGAAGATTCTCCCGTTTCCAACGAAATCTTCAAAGAGGTCGAAATATCCACTTGCAGATTCCACAGAAAGAGTGATTGGAAACTGCTGTTTGAAAAGGAACCTTCAACTCCTGTGAGTTGAATGCAATCATCACAAAGAAGTTTCTGACAATGCTTCTATCTAGCTTTTACGGGAAGATAATTCCTTTTCCACCACAGGCCTCAAAGCCCTCCAAATGTCCACTTGCAGATTCTGGAAAAAGAGTGTTTCAAAGCTTCTCTCTCGAAAGGAAAGTTCAACTCTGTGAGTTGAATGCAAGCATCACAAAGAAGTTTCTGAGAATGCTACTGTCTAGCTTTTATATGAAGCTATTTCCTTTACTACCATAGGCCTCAAAGCGGTCCATATCTCCACTTGCAGATTCTACACAAAGAGAGTTTCCAAACTGCTCTGTCAAAGGGAATGTTCAACTCTGTGACTTGAATGCAATCATCACAAAGTAGTTTCTGAGAATGCTTCTGTTTAGTTCTGTGCGGTTTATCCCGTTTCCAACGAAATCCTCAGAGAGGCCCAAATATCCACTTGCACATTCTACAAATAGTGTGTTTCGAAACTACTCCATCCAAAGGGATGTTCAGCTCTGTGAGTTAAACTCAGTCGTCACCAAGAGTTTTCTGTGAATGCTTCTGTTTTAGTTCTGTGCGGGTTATCCCGTTTCCAACGAAATCCTCAGAGAGGTCCAAATATCTACTTGCAGTTTCTACAGAAAGACCGTTTCAAACCTGAACTATCAAAGAAAGGTTCAACACTGTGAGTTGAATGCAAACATCACGAAGAAGGTTCTGAGAATGCTTCTGTTTAGTTCTGTGCGGTTTATCCCGTTTCCAACGAAATCCTCAGAGAGGACCAAATATCCACTTGCAGTTTCTACAAGAAGAGTGTTTCAAAGCTGAACTATCAAAGAAAGGTTCAGCTCTGTGAGTTGAATGCAAACATCACAAAGAGGGTTTTGAGAATGCTTCTGTCTTCTTTCTATAGGAAGTTATTTCCTTTACTACGGTAGGCCTCAAAGAAGTGCAATTATCCCCTTGCAGTTTCTACAAAAAGAGTGTTTCAAACCTGAACTATCAAAGAAAGGTTCCACACTGTGAGTTGAATGCAGACATCACGAAGAAGGTTCTGAGAATGCTTCTGTTTAGTCAGCTGAAATTATCCCGTTTCCAACGAATTCCTCAGAGAGGTCCAAATATGCACTTGCAGATTCTGCAGAAAGTGTGTTTCTAAACTGCTACATCGCAAGGAATGTTCAGCTCTGTGAGTTCCACTCAATCATCCCAAAGAATTTTCTGAGAAAGCTTCTGTCTAGATGTCGTGTGAAGATATACCCGTTTCGAACGAAGGACACAGAGTGGTCCAAATATCCACTTGTAGATCCTGCAAAAAGAGTGTTTCAAACGTGAACTTTGAAAGGAAAGTTCAACTCTGGGATTTGAATGCAAACATCACAAAGAAGATTCTGAGACTGCTTCTGTATAGTTTTTATGTGAAGATGATTCCGTTTCCAACGAAATCTTCAAAGAGGTCTACATGTCCCCTTGCAGATGCCACAGAAAGAGAGTTTCAAAACTGCGCTCTCAAAAGGAGTGTTCAACTCCGTGAGTTGAATGCAGTCATCACAGAGAAGCTTCTGAGAATGCTTCTATCTAGTATTTAGGTGAAGATATTTCCTTTTCCACCACAAACCACAAAGCCCTCCAAACGTCCACTTGCAGATTCTAGAAAAAGAGTGTTTCATAGCTGCTCTTTCCAAAGGAAAGTTCAACTCTGGGAGTTGAATACAAACATCACCAAAAGGTTCCTGAGAATGCATCTGTCTAGTTTTTCTATGAAGCTATTCCCTTTACTACCATAGGCCTCAAAGCGCTCCAAATCTCCACTTGCACATTCCACAACAAGAGTGTTTCCAAACTGCTCTATCAATAGGAATGTTCAACTCTGTGAGGTGAATGCAATCATCACAAAGCAGTTTCTGAGAATGCTTCCGTTTAGTTAGGTGCAGTTATCCCGTTTCCAACGAAATCCTCAGAGAGGTCCAAATATCCACTTGTAGATTCTACAAAAAGTGTGTCTCAAACCTGCTCCATCCAAAGGAATGGTCAGCTCTGTGATTTAAACTCAATCATCACAAAGTATTTTCTGAGAATGCTTCTGTCTAGATTTTATGCGAAGATATACCCGTTTCGAACGAAGGCCACAGAGTGGTCCAAATAGCCACTTGCAGATCCTACAGAAAGAGTGTTTCAAACCTGAACTATCAAAGGAAGGTTCAACTCTGGGATTTGAATGCAAACATCACCAAGAAGTTTCTGAGAATGCTTCTGTTTAGTTTTTATGTGAAGATATTCCCGTTTCCAAAGACATCTTCGGAGAGGTCCACATATCCACTTGCAGATTCCACAAAAAGAGAGTTTCAACACTGCTCTATCCATAGGAGGGTTCAACTCTGTGAGTTGAATGCAATCATCACAGAGAAGTTTCTGAGAAGGCTTCTCTCCAGTTTTTATGTGACCATAATTCGTTTTCCACCACAGGCCTGAAAGCGCTCCAAATGTCCACTTGCAGACACTACGAAAAGCATGTTTCAGAACTACTCTATGAAAAGCAACGTGAAACTCTGGGAGTTGAACACAAACATCACAGAGAAGTTTCTGAGAATGCTTCTGTTTTAGTTCTGTGCGTTTTATCCCGTTTCCAACGAAATCCTCAGAGAGGCCCAAATATCCACTTGCAGATTCCACAGAAAGAGTGATTGGAAACTGCTGTTTGAAAAGGAACCTTCAACTCTGTGAGTTGAATGCAATCATCACAAAGAAGTTTCTGACAATGCTTCTGTTTTAGTTCTGTGCGGTTTATCCCGTTTCCAACGAAATCCTCAGAGAGGACCAAACATCCACTTGCAGTTTCTACAAAAAGAGTGTTTCAAAGCTGCACTATCAAAGAAAGGTTCAGCACTGTGAGTTGAATGCAAACATCACGAAGAGGGCTCTGAGAATTCTTCTGTTTAGTTCTGTGCGGTTTATCCCGTTTCCAACGAAATCCTCAGAGAGGACCAAATATCCACTTGCAGTTTCTACAAGAAGAGTGTTTCAAAGCTGAACTATCAAAGAAAGGTTCAGCACTGTGAGTTGAATGCAAACATCACGAAGAGGGTTCTGAGAATGCTTCTGTCTTCTTTCTATAGGAAGTTATTTCCTTTACTACGGTAGGCCTCAAAGAAGTGCAATTATCCCCTTGCAGTTTCTACAAAAAGAGTGTTTCAAACCTGAACTATCAAAGAAAGGTTCCACACTGTGAGTTGAATGCAGACATCACGAAGAAGGTTCTGAGAATGCTTCTGTTTAGTCAGCTGAAATTATCCCGTTTCCAACGAATTCCTCAGAGAGGTCCAAATATGCACTTGCAGATTCTGCAGAAAGTGTGTTTCTAAACTGCTCCATCGCAAGGAATGTTCAGCTCTGTGAGTTCCACTCAATCATCCCAAAGAATTTTCTGAGAAAGCTTCTGTCTAGATGTCGTGTGAAGATATACCCGTTTCGAACGAAGGACACAGAGTGGTCCAAATATCCACTTGTAGATCCTGCAAAAAGAGTGTTTCAAACGTGAACTTTGAAAGGAAAGTTCAACTCTGGGATTTGAATGCAAACATCACAAAGAAGATTCTGAGACTGCTTCTGTATAGTTTTTATGTGAAGATGATTCCGTTTCCAACGAAATCTTCAAAGAGGTCTACATGTCCCCTTGCAGATGCCACAGAAAGAGAGTTTCAAAACTGCGCTCTCAAAAGGAGTGTTCAACTCCGTGAGTTGAATGCAGTCATCACAGAGAAGCTTCTGAGAATGCTTCTATCTAGTATTTAGGTGAAGATATTTCCTTTTCCACCACAAACCACAAAGCCCTCCAAACGTCCACTTGCAGATTCTAGAAAAAGAGTGTTTCATAGCTGCTCTTTCCAAAGGAAAGTTCAACTCTGGGAGTTGAATACAAACATCACCAAAAAGTTCCTGAGAATGCATCTGTCTAGTTTTTCTATGAAGCTATTCCCTTTACTACCATAGGCCTCAAAGCGCTCCAAATCTCCACTTGCACATTCCACAACAAGAGTGTTTCCAAACTGCTCTATCAATAGGAATGTTCAACTCTGTGAGGTGAATGCAATCATCACAAAGCAGTTTCTGAGAATGCTTCCGTTTAGTTAGGTGCAGTTATCCCGTTTCCAACGAAATCCTCAGAGAGGTCCAAATATCCACTTGTAGATTCTACAAAAAGTGTGTCTCAAACCTGCTCCATCCAAAGGAATGGTCAGCTCTGTGATTTAAACTCAATCATCACAAAGTATTTTCTGAGAATGCTTCTGTCTAGATTTTATGCGAAGATATAGCCGTTTCGAACGAAGGCCACAGAGTGGTCCAAATATCCACTTGCAGATCCTACAAAAAGAGTGTTTCAAACCTGAACTATCAAAGGAAGGTTCAACTTCTGGGATTTGAATGCAAACATCACCAAGAAGTTTCTGAGAATGCTTCTGTTTAGTTTTTATGTGAAGATATTCCCGTTTCCAAAGACATCTTCGGAGAGGTCCACATATCCACTTGCAGATTCCACAAAAAGAGAGTTTCAACACTGCTCTATCCATAGGAGGGTTCAACTCTGTGAGTTGAATGCAATCATCACAGAGAAGTTTCTGAGAAGGCTTCTCTCCAGTTTTTATGTGACCATAATTCGTTTTCCACCACAGGCCTGAAAGCGCTCCAAATGTCCACTTGTAGACACTACGAAAAGCATGTTTCAGAACTACTCTATGAAAAGCAATGTGAAACTCTGGGAGTTGAACACAAACATCACAGAGAAGTTTCTGAGAATGCTTCTGTTTAGCTTTCCTGTGAAGATTCTCCCGTTTCCAACGAAATCTTCAAAATAGGTCCAAATATCCACTTGCAGATTCCACACAAAGAGTGATTGGAAACTGCTCTTTGAAAAGGAACCTTCAACTCTGTGAGTTGAATGCAATCATCACAAAGAAGTTTCTGACAATGCTTCTATCTAGCTTTTACGGGAAGATAATTCCTTTTCCACCACAGGCCTCAAAGCCCTCCAAATGTCCACTTGCAGATTCTGGAAAAAGAGTGTTTCAAAGCTTCTCTCTCGAAAGGAAAGTTCAACTCTGTGAGTTGAATGCAAGCATCACAAAGAAGTTTCTGAGAATGCTACTGTCTAGCTTTTATATGAAGCTATTTCCTTTACTACCATAGGCCTCAAAGCGGTCCATATCTCCACTTGCAGATTCTACACAAAGAGAGTTTCCAAACTGCTCTGTCAAAGGGAATGTTCAACTCTGTGACTTGAATGCAATCATCACAAAGTAGTTTCTGAGAATGCTTCTGTTTTAGTTCTGTGCGGTTTATCCCGTTTCCAACGAAATCCTCAGAGAGGCCCAAATATCCACTTGCAGATTCTACCAATAGTGTGTTTCGAAACTGCTCCATCCAAAGGAATGTTCAGCTCTGTGAGTTAAACTCAGTCGTCACCAAGTGTTTTCTGTGAATGCTTCTGTTTTAGTTCTGTGCGGGTTATCCCGTTTCCAACGAAATCCTCAGCAGAGGTCCAAATATCTACTTGCAGTTTCTACAGAAAGACCGTTTCAAACCTGAACTATCAAAGAAAGGTTCAACACTGTGAGTTGAATGCAAACATCACGAAGAAGGTTCTGAGAATGCTTCTGTTTTAGTTCTGTGCGGTTTATCCCGTTTCCAACGAAATCCTCAGAGAGGACCAAACATCCACTTGCAGTTTCTACAAAAAGAGTGTTTCAAAGCTGCACTATCAAAGAAAGGTTCAGCACTGTGAGTTGAATGCAAACATCACGAAGAGGGCTCCTGAGAATTCTTCTGTTTAGTTCTGTGCGGTTTATCCCGTTTCCAACGAAATCCTCAGAGAGGACCAAATATCCACTTGCAGTTTCTACAAGAAGAGTGTTTCAAAGCTGAACTATCAAAGAAAGGTTCAGCACTGTGAGTTGAATGCAAACATCACGAAGAGGGTTCTGAGAATGCTTCTGTCTTCTTTCTATAGGAAGTTATTTCCTTTACTACGGTAGGCCTCAAAGAAGTGCAATTATCCCCTTGCAGTTTCTACAAAAAGAGTGTTTCAAACCTGAACTATCAAAGAAAGGTTCCACACTGTGAGTTGAATGCAGACATCACGAAGAAGGTTCTGAGAATGCTTCTGTTTAGTCAGCTGAAATTATCCCGTTTCCAACGAATTCCTCAGAGAGGTCCACATATGCACTTGCAGATTCTGCAGAACGTGTGTTTCTAAACTGCTACATCACAAGGAGTGTTCAGCTCTGTTTGCTCAACTCAATCATCCCAAAGAATTTTCTGAGAAAGCTTCTGTCTAGATGTCGTGTGAAGATATACCCGTTTCGAACGAAGGACACAGAGTGGTCCAAATATCCACTTGTAGATCCTGCAAAAAGAGTGTTTCAAACGTGAACTTTGAAAGGAAAGTTCAACTCTGGGATTTGAATGCAAACATCACAAAGAAGATTCTGAGACTGCTTCTGTATAGTTTTTATGTGAAGATGATTCCGTTTCCAACGAAATCTTCAAAGAGGTCTACATGTCCCCTTGCAGATGCCACAGAAAGAGAGTTTCAAAACTGCGCTCTCAAAAGGAGTGTTCAACTCCGTGAGTTGAATGCAGTCATCACAGAGAAGCTTCTGAGAATGCTTCTATCTAGTATTTAGGTGAAGATATTTCCTTTTCCACCACAAACCACAAAGCCCTCCAAACGTCCACTTGCAGATTCTAGAAAAAGAGTGTTTCATAGCTGCTCTTTCCAAAGGAAAGTTCAACTCTGGGAGTTGAATACAAACATCACCAAAAAGTTCCTGAGAATGCATCTGTCTAGTTTTTCTATGAAGCTATTCCCTTTACTACCGTAGGCCTCAAAGCGCTCCAAATCTCCACTTGCACATTCCACAACAAGAGTGTTTCCAAACTGCTCTATCAATAGGAATGTTCAACTCTGTGAGGTGAATGCAATCATCACAAAGCAGTTTCTGAGAATGCTTCGTTTAGTTAGGTGCAGTTATCCCGTTTCCAACGAAATCCTCAGAGAGGTCCAAATATCCACTTGTAGATTCTACAAAAAGTGTGTCTCAAACCTGCTCCATCCAAAGGAATGTTCAGCTCTGTGATTTAAACTCAATCATCACAAAGTATTTTCTGAGAATGCTTCTGTCTAGATTTTATGCGAAGATATACCCGTTTCGAACGAAGGCCACAGAGTGGTCCAAATAGCCACTTGCAGATCCTACAAAAAGAGTGTTTCAAACCTGAACTATCAAAGGAAGGTTCAACTCTGGGATTTGAATGCAAACATCACCAAGAAGTTTCTGAGAATGCTTCTGTTTAGTTTTTATGTGAAGATATTCCCGTTTCCAAAGACATCTTCGGAGAGGTCCACATATCCACTTGCAGATTCCACAAAAAGAGAGTTTCAACACTGCTCTATCCATAGGAGGGTTCAACTCTGTGAGTTGAATGCAATCATCACAGAGAAGTTTCTGAGAAGGCTTCTCTCCAGTTTTTATGTGACCATAATTCGTTTTCCACCACAGGCCTGAAAGCGCTCCAAATGTCCACTTGCAGACACTACGAAAAGCATGTTTCAGAACTACTCTATGAGAAGCAACGTGAAACTCTGGGAGTTGAACACAAACATCACAGAGAAGTTTCTGAGAATGCTTCTGTTTAGCTTTTCTGTGAAGATTCTCCCGTTTCCAACGAAATCTTCAAAGAGGTCCAAATATCCACTTGCAGATTCCACAGAAAGAGTGATTGGAAACTGCTCTTTGAAAAGGAACCTTCAACTCTGTGACTTGTATGCAATCATCACAAAGAAGTTTCTGACAATGCTTCTATCTAGCTTTTACGGGAAGATAATTCCTTTTCCACCACAGGCCTCAAAGCCCTCCAAATGTCCACTTGCAGATTCTGGAAAAAGAGTGTTTCAAAGCTTCTCTCTCGAAAGGAAAGTTCAACTCTGTGAGTTGAATGCAAGCATCACAAAGAAGTTTCTGAGAATGCTACTGTCTAGCTTTTATATGAAGCTATTTCCTTTACTACCATAGGCCTCAAAGCGGTCCATATCTCCACTTGCAGATTCTACACAAAGAGAGTTTCCAAACTGCTCTGTCAAAGGGAATGTTCAACTCTGTGACTTGAATGCAATCATCACAAAGTAGTTTCTGAGAATGCTTCTGTTTAGTTCTGTGCGGTTTATCCCGTTTCCAACGAAATCCTCAGAGAGGCCTAAATATCCACTTGCACATTCTACAAATAGTGTGTTTCGAAACTGCTCCATCCAAAGGAATGTTCAGCTCTGTGAGTTAAACTCAGTCGTCACCAAGAGTTTTCTGTGAATGCTTCTGTTTTAGTTCTGTGCGGGTTATCCCGTTTCCAACGAAATCCTCAGAGAGGTCCAAATATCTACTTGCAGTTTCTACAGAAAGACCGTTTCAAACCTGAACTATCAAAGAAAGGTTCAACACTGTGAGTTGAATGCAAACATCACGAAGAAGGTTCTGAGAATGCTTCTGTTTAGTTCTGTGCAGTTTATCCCGTTTCCAACGAAATGCTCAGAGAGGACCAAATATCCACTTGCAGTTTCTACAAAAAGAGTGTTTCAAAGCTGAACTATCAAAGAAAGGTTCAGCACTGTGAGTTGAATGCAAACATCACGAAGAGGGTTCTGAGAATGCTTCTGTCTTCTTTTTATAGGAAGTTATTTCCTTTACTACGGTACTCCTCAAAGAGTGCAATTATCCCCTTGCAGTTTCTACAAAAAGAGTGTTTCAAACCTGAACTATCAAAGAAAGGTTCCACACTGTGAGTTGAATGCAGACATCACGAAGAAGGTTCTGAGAATGCTTCTGTTTAGTCAGCTGAAATTATCCCGTTTCCAACGAATTCCTCAGAGAGGTCCAAATATGCACTTGCAGATTCTGCAGAAAGTGTGTTTCTAAACTGCTACATCGCAAGGAATGCTCAGCTCTGTGAGTTCAAGTCAATCATCCCAAACAATTTTCTGAGAAAGCTTCTGTCTAGATGTCATGTGAAGATATACCCGTTTCGAACGAAGGACACAGAGTGGTCCAAATATCCACTTGTAGATCCTGCAAAAAGAGTGTTTCAAACGTGAACTTTGAAAGGAAAGTTCAACTCGGGGATTTGAATGCAAACATCACAAAGAAGATTCTGAGACTGCTTCTGTATAGTTTTTATGTGAAGATGATTCCGTTTCCAACGAAATCTTCAAAGAGGTCTACATGTCCCCTTGCAGATGCCACAGAAAGAGAGTTTCAAAACTGCGCTCTCAAAAGGAGTGTTCAACTCCGTGAGTTGAATGCAGTCATCACAGAGAAGCTTCTGAGGATGCTTCTATCTAGTATTTAGGTGAAGATATTTCCTTTTCCACCACAAACCACAAAGCCCTCCAAACGTCCACTTGCAGATTCTAGAAAAAGAGTGTTTCATAGCTGCTCTTTCCAAAGGAAAGTTCAACTCTGGGAGTTGAATACAAACATCACCAAAAAGTTCCTGAGAATGCATCTGTCTAGTTTTTCTATGAAGCTATTCCCTTTACTACCATAGGCCTCAAAGCGCTCCAAATCTCCACTTGCACATTCCACAACAAGAGTGTTTCCAAACTGCTCTATCAATAGGAATGTTCAACTCTGTGAGGTGAATGCAATCATCACAAAGCAGTTTCTGAGAATGCTTCCGTTTAGTTAGGTGCAGTTATCCCGTTTCCAACGAAATCCTCCGAGAGGTCCAAATATCCACTTGTAGATTCTACAAAAAGTGTGTCTCAAACCTGCTCCATCCAAAGGAATGTTCAGCTCTGTGATTTAAACTCAATCATCACAAAGTATTTTCTGAGAATGCTTCTGTCTAGATTTTATGCGAAGATATACCCGTTTCGAACGAAGGCCACAGAGTGGTCCAAATATCCACTTGCAGATCCTACAAAAAGAGTGTTTCAAACCTGAACTATCAAAGGAAGGTTCAACTCTGGGATTTGAATGCAAACATCACCAAGAAGTTTCTGAGAATGCTTCTGTTTAGTTTTTATGTGAAGATATTCCCGTTTCCAAAGACATCTTCGGAGAGGTCCACATATCCACTTGCAGATTCCACAAAAAGAGAGTTTCAACACTGCTCTATCCATAGGAGGGTTCAACTCTGTGAGTTGAATGCAATCATCACAGAGAAGTTTCTGAGAAGGCTTCTCTCCAGTTTTTATGTGACCATAATTCGTTTTCCACCACAGGCCTGAAAGCGCTCCAAATGTCCACTTGTAGACACTACGAAAAGCATGTTTCAGAACTACTCTATGAAAAGCAATGTGAAACTCTGGGAGTTGAACACAAACATCACAGAGAAGTTTCTGAGAATGCTTCTGTTTAGCTTTCCTGTGAAGATTCTCCCGTTTCCAACGAAATCTTCAAAATAGGTCCAAATATCCACTTGCAGATTCCACACAAAGAGTGATTGGAAACTGCTCTTTGAAAAGGAACCTTCAACTCTGTGAGTTGAATGCAATCATCACAAAGAAGTTTCTGACAATGCTTCTATCTAGCTTTTACGGGAAGATAATTCCTTTTCCACCACAGGCCTCAAAGCCCTCCAAATGTCCACTTGCAGATTCTGGAAAAAGAGTGTTTCAAAGCTTCTCTCTCGAAAGGAAAGTTCAACTCTGTGAGTTGAATGCAAGCATCACAAAGAAGTTTCTGAGAATGCTACTGTCTAGCTTTTATATGAAGCTATTTCCTTTACTACCATAGGCCTCAAAGCGGTCCATATCTCCACTTGCAGATTCTACACAAAGAGAGTTTCCAAACTGCTCTGTCAAAGGGAATGTTCAACTCTGTGACTTGAATGCAATCATCACAAAGTAGTTTCTGAGAATGCTTCTGTTTAGTTCTGTGCGGTTTATCCCGTTTCCAACGAAATCCTCAGAGAGGCCTAAATATCCACTTGCACATTCTACAAATAGTGTGTTTCGAAACTGCTCCATCCAAAGGAATGTTCAGCTCTGTGAGTTAAACTCAGTCGTCACCAAGAGTTTTCTGTGAATGCTTCTGTTTTAGTTCTGTGCGGGTTATCCCGTTTCCAACGAAATCCTCAGAGAGGTCCAAATATCTACTTGCAGTTTCTACAGAAAGACCGTTTCAAACCTGAACTATCAAAGAAAGGTTCAACACTGTGAGTTGAATGCAAACATCACGAAGAAGGTTCTGAGAATGCTTCTGTTTAGTTCTGTGTGGTTTATCCCGTTTCCAAAGAAATCCTCAGAGAGGACCAAATATCCACTTGCAGTTTCTACAAGAAGAGTGTTTCAAAGCTGAACTATCAAAGAAAGGTTCAGCACTGTGAGTTGAATGCAAACATCACGAAGAGGGTTCTGAGAATGCTTCTGTCTTCTTTTTATAGGAAGTTATTTCCTTTACTACGGTACTCCTCAAAGAGTGCAATGATCCCCTTGCAGTTTCTACAAAAAGAGTGTTTCAAACCTGAACTATCAAAGAAAGGTTCCACACTGTGAGTTGAATGCAGACATCACGAAGAAGGTTCTGAGAATGCTTCTGTTTAGTCAGCTGAAATTATCCCGTTTCCAACGAATTCCTCACAGAGGTCCAAATATGCACTTGCAGATTCTGCAGAAAGTGTGTTTCTAAACTGCTACATCGCAAGGAATGCTCAGCTCTGTGAGTTCAACTCAATCATCCCAAAGAATTTTCTGAGAAAGCTTCTGTCTAGATGTCATGTGAAGATATACCCGTTTCGAACGAAGGACACAGAGTGGTCCAAATATCCACTTGTAGATCCTGCAAAAAGAGTGTTTCAAACGTGAACTTTGAAAGGAAAGTTCAACTCGGGGATTTGAATGCAAACATCACAAAGAAGATTCTGAGACTGCTTCTGTGTAGTTTTTATGTGAAGATGATTCCGTTTCCAACGAAATCTTCAAAGACGTCTACATGTCCCCTTGCAGATGCCACAGAAAGAGAGTTTCAAAACTGCGCTCTCAAAAGGAGTGTTCAACTCCGTGAGTTGAATGCAGTCATCACAGAGAAGCTTCTGAGGATGCTTCTATCTAGTATTTAGGTGAAGATATTTCCTTTTCCACCACAAACCACAAAGCCCTCCAAACGTCCACTTGCAGATTCTAGAAAAAGAGTGTTTCATAGCTGCTCTTTCCAAAGGAAAGTTCAACTCTGGGAGTTGAATACAAACATCACCAAAAAGTTCCTGAGAATGCATCTGTCTAGTTTTTCTATGAAGCTATTCCCTTTACTACCATAGGCCTCAAAGCGCTCCAAATCTCCACTTGCACATTCCACAACAAGAGTGTTTCCAAACTGCTCTATCAATAGGAATGTTCAACTCTGTGAGGTGAATGCAATCATCACAAAGCAGTTTCTGAGAATGCTTCCGTTTAGTTAGGTGCAGTTATCCCGTTTCCAACGAATCCTCAGAGAGGTCCAAATATCCACTTGTAGATTCTACAAAAAGTGTGTCTCAAACCTGCTCCATCCAAAGGAATGGTCAGCTCTGTGATTTAAACTCAATCATCACAAAGTATTTTCTGAGAATGCTTCTGTCTAGATTTTATGCGAAGATATACCCGTTTCGAACGAAGGCCACAGAGTGGTCCAAATAGCCACTTGCAGATCCTACAAAAAGAGTGTTTCAAACCTGAACTATCAAAGGAAGGTTCAACTCTGGGATTTGAATGCAAACATCACCAAGAAGTTTCCTGAGAATGCTTCTGTTTAGTTTTTATGTGAAGATATTCCCGTTTCCAAAGACATCTTCGGAGAGGTCCACATATCCACTTGCAGATTCCACAAAAAGAGAGTTTCAACACTGCTCTATCCATAGGAGGGTTCAACTCTGTGAGTTGAATGCAATCATCACAGAGAAGTTTCTGAGAAGGCTTCTCTCCAGTTTTTATGTGACCATAATTCGTTTTCCACCACAGGCCTGAAAGCGCTCCAAATGTCCACTTGCAGACACTACGAAAAGCATGTTTCAGAACTACTCTATGAAAAGCAACGTGAAACTCTGGGAGTTGAACACAAACATCACAGAGAAGTTTCTGAGAATGCTTCTGTTTAGCTTTTCTGTGAAGATTCTCCCGTTTCCAACGAAATCTTCAAAGAGGTCGAAATATCCACTTGCAGATTCCACAGAAAGAGTGATTGGAAACTGCTGTTTGAAAAGGAACCTTCAACTCTGTGAGTTGAATGCAATCATCACAAAGAAGTTTCTGACAATGCTTCTATCTAGCTTTTACGGGAAGATAATTCCTTTTCCACCACAGGCCTCAAAGCCCTGCAAATATCCACTTGAACATTCTGGAAAAAGAGTGTTTCAAAGCTTCTCTCTCAAAAGGAAATTTCAACTCTGTGAGTTGAATGCAAGCATCACAAAGAAGTTTCTGAGAATGCTACTGTCTAGCTTTTATATGAAGCTATTTCCTTTACTACCATAGTCCTCAAAGCATTCCATATCTCCACTTACAGATTCTACACAAAGAGAGTTTCCAAACTGCTCTGTCAAAGGGAATGTTCAGCTCTGTGACTTGAATGCAATCATCACAAAGTAGTTTCTCAGAGTGCTTCTGTTTTAGTTCTGTGCGGTTTATCCCGTTTCCAACGAAATCCTCAGAGAGGCCCAAATATCCACTTGCACATTCTACAAAGAGTGTGTTTCGAAACTGCTCCATCCAAAGGAATGTTCAGCTCTGTGAGTTAAAATCAGTCGTCACCAAGAGTTTTCTGTGAATGCTTCTGTTTAGTTCTGTGCGGTTTATCCCGTTTCCAACGAAATCCTCAGAGAGGACCAAATATCCACTTGCAGTTTCTACAAAAAGAGTGTTTCAAAGCTGAACTATCAAAGAAAGGTTCAGCACTTGTGAGTTGAATGCAAACATCACGAAGAAGGTTCTGAGAATGCTTCTGTCTTCTTTTTATAGGAAGTTATTTCCATTACTACGGTAGGCCTCAAAGAAGTGCAATTATCCCCTTGCAGTTTCCACAAAAACAGTGTTTCAAACCTGAACTATCAAAGAAAGGTTCCACACTGTGAGTTGAATGCAGACATCACGAAGAAGGTTCTGAGAATGCTTCTGTTTAGTCAGCTGAAATTATCCCGTTTCCAACGAATTCCTCAGAGAGGTCCAAATATGCACTTGCAGATTCTGCAGAAAGTGTGTTTCTAAACTGCTACATCGCAAGGAATGTTCAGCTCTGTGAGTTCCACTCAATCATCCCAAAGAATTTTCTGAGAAAGCTTCTGTCTAGATGTCGTGTGAAGATATACCCGTTTCGAACGAAGGACACAGAGTGGTCCAAATATCCACTTGTAGATCCTGCAAAAAGAGTGTTTCAAACGTGAACTTTGAAAGGAAAGTTCAACTCTGGGATTTGAATGCAAACATCACAAAGAAGATTCTGAGACTGCTTCTGTATAGTTTTTATGTGAAGATGATTCCGTTTCCAACGAAATCTTCAAAGAGGTCTACATGTCCCCTTGCAGATGCCACAGAAAGAGAGTTTCAAAACTGCGCTCTCAAAAGGAGTGTTCAACTCCGTGAGTTGAATGCAGTCATCACAGAGAAGCTTCTGAGAATGCTTCTATCTAGTATTTAGGTGAAGATATTTCCTTTTCCACCACAAACCACAAAGCCCTCCAAACGTCCACTTGCAGATTCTAGAAAAAGAGTGTTTCATAGCTGCTCTTTCCAAAGGAAAGTTCAACTCTGGGAGTTGAATACAAACATCACCAAAAAGTTCCTGAGAATGCATCTGTCTAGTTTTTCTATGAAGCTATTCCCTTTACTACCATAGGCCTCAAAGCGCTCCAAATCTCCACTTGCACATTCCACAACAAGAGTGTTTCCAAACTGCTCTATCAATAGGAATGTTCAACTCTGTGAGGTGAATGCAATCATCACAAAGCAGTTTCTGAGAATGCTTCCGTTTAGTTAGGTGCAGTTATCCCGTTTCCAACGAAATCCTCAGAGAGGTCCAAATATCCACTTGTAGATTCTACAAAAAGTGTGTCTCAAACCTGCTCCATCCAAAGGAATGGTCAGCTCTGTGATTTAAACTCAATCATCACAAAGTATTTTCTGAGAATGCTTCTGTCTAGATTTTATGCGAAGATATACCCGTTTCGAACGAAGGCCACAGAGTGGTCCAAATAGCCACTTGCAGATCCTACAGAAAGAGTGTTTCAAACCTGAACTATCAAAGGAAGGTTCAACTCTGGGATTTGAATGCAAACATCACCAAGAAGTTTCTGAGAATGCTTCTGTTTAGTTTTTATGTGAAGATATTCCCGTTTCCAAAGACATCTTCGGAGAGGTCCACATATCCACTTGCAGATTCCACAAAAAGAGAGTTTCAACACTGCTCTATCCATAGGAGGGTTCAACTCCTGTGAGTTGAATGCAATCATCACAGAGAAGTTTCTGAGAAGGCTTCTCTCCAGTTTTTATGTGACCATAATTCGTTTTCCACCACAGGCCTGAAAGCGCTCCAAATGTCCACTTGCAGACACTACGAAAAGCATGTTTCAGAACTACTCTATGAAAAGCAACGTGAAACTCTGGGAGTTGAACACAAACATCACAGAGAAGTTTCTGAGAATGCTTCTGTTTAGCTTTTCTGTGAAGATTCTCCCGTTTCCAACGAAATCTTCAAAGAGGTCGAAATATCCACTTGCAGATTCCACAGAAAGAGTGATTGGAAACTGCTGTTTGAAAAGGAACCTTCAACTCTGTGAGTTGAATGCAATCATCACAAAGAAGTTTCTGACAATGCTTCTATCTAGCTTTTACGGGAAGATAATTCCTTTTCCACCACAGGCCTCAAAGCTCCCCAAATGTCCACTTGCACATTCTGGAAAAAGAGTGTTTCAAAGCTTCTCTCTCGAAAGGAAAGTTCAACTCTGTGAGTTGAATGCAAGCATCACAAAGAAGTTTCTGAGAATGCTACTGACTAGCTTTTATATGAAGCTATTTCCTTTACTACCATAGGCCTCAAAGCGGTCCATATCTCCACTTGCAGATTCTACACAAAGAGAGTTTCCAAACTGCTCTGTCAAAGGGAATGTTCAACTCTGTGACTTGAATGCAATCATCACAAAGTAGTTTCTGAGAATGCTTCTGTTTAGTTCTGTGCGGTTTATCCCGTTTCCAACGAAATCCTCACAGAGGCCCACATATCCACTTGCACATTCTACAAATAGTGTGTTTCGAAACTGCTCCATCCAAAGGAATGTTCAGCTCTGTGAGTTAAACTCAGTCGTCACCAAGAGTTTTCTGTGAATGCTTCTGTTTTAGTTCTGTGCTGTTTATCCCGTTTCCAACGAAATCCTCAGAGAGGTCTAAATATCTACTTGCAGTTTCTACAGAAAGACCGTTTCAAACCTGAACTATCAAAGAAAGGTTCAACACTGTGAGTTGAATGCAAACATCACGAAGAAGGTTCTGAGAATGCTTCTGTTTAGTTCTGTGCGGTTTATCCCGTTTCCAACGAAATCCTCAGAGAGGACCAAATATCCACTTGCAGTTTCTACAAAAAGAGTGTTTCAAAGCTGAACTATCAAAGAAAGGTTCAGCACCGTGAGTTGAATGCAAACATCACGAAGAGTGTTCTGAGAATGCTTCTGTCTTCTTTTTATAGCAAGTTATCTCCTTTACTACGGTAGGCCTCAAAGAAGTGCAATGATCCCCTTGCAGTTTCTACAAAAAGAGTGTTTCAAACCTGAACTATCAAAGAAAGGTTCCACACTGTGAGTTGAACGCAGACATCACGAAGAAGGTTCTGAGAATGCTTCTGTTTAGTCAGCTGAAATTATCCCGTTTCCAACGAATTCCTCAGAGAGGTCCACATATGCACTTGCAGATTCTGCAGAAAGTGTGTTTCTAAACTGCTACATCACAAGGAGTGTTCAGCTCTGTTTGCTCAACTCAATCATCCCAAAGAATTTTCTGAGAAAGCTTCTGTCTAGATGTCATGTGAAGATATACCCGTTTCGAACGAAGGACACAGAGTGGTCCAAATATCCACTTGTAGATCCTGCAAAAAGAGTGTTTCAAACGTGAACTTGGAAAGGAAAGTTCAACTCAGGGATTTGAATGCAAACATCACAAAGAAGATTCTGAGACTGCTTCTGTATAGTTTTTATGTGAAGATGATTCCGTTTCCAACGAAATCTTCAAAGAGGTCTACATGTCCCCTTGCAGATGCCACAGAAAGAGAGTTTCAAAACTGCGCTCTCAAAAGGAGTGTTCAACTCCGTGAGTTGAATGCAGTCATCACAGAGAAGCTTCTGAGAATGCTTCTATCTAGTATTTAGGTGAAGATATTTCCTTTTCCACCACAAACCACAAAGCCCTCCAAACGTCCACTTGCAGATTCTAGAAAAAGAGTGTTTCATAGCTGCTCTTTCCAAAGGAAAAGTTCAACTCTGGGAGTTGAATACAAACATCACCAAAAGGTTCCTGAGAATGCATCTGTCTAGTTTTTCTATGAAGCTATTCCCTTTACTACCACAGGCCTCAAAGCGCTCCAAATCTCCACTTGCACATTCCACAACAAGAGTGTTTCCAAACTGCTCTATCAATAGGAATGTTCAACTCTGTGAGGTGAATGCAATCATCACAAAGCAGTTTCTGAGAATGCTTCCGTTTAGTTAGGTGCAGTTATCCCGTTTCCAACGAAATCCTCAGAGAGGTCCAAATATCCACTTGTAGATTCTACAAAAAGTGTGTCTCAAACCTGCTCCATCCAAAGGAATGGTCAGCTCTGTGATTTAAACTCAATCATCACAAAGTATTTTCTGAGAATGCTTCTGTCTAGATTTTATGCGAAGATATACCCGTTTCGAACGAAGGCCACAGAGTGGTCCAAATAGCCACTTGCAGATCCTACAGAAAGAGTGTTTCAAACCTGAACTATCAAAGGAAGGTTCAACTCTGGGATTTGAATGCAAACATCACCAAGAAGTTTCTGAGAATGCTTCTGTTTAGTTTTTATGTGAAGATATTCCCGTTTCCAAAGACATCTTCGGAGAGGTCCACATATCCACTTGCAGATTCCACAAAAAGAGAGTTTCAACACTGCTCTATCCATAGGAGGGTTCAACTCTGTGAGTTGAATGCAATCATCACAGAGAAGTTTCTGAGAAGGCTTCTCTCCAGTTTTTATGTGACCATAATTCGTTTTCCACCACAGGCCTGAAAGCGCTCCAAATGTCCACTTGCAGACACTACGAAAAGCATGTTTCAGAACTACTCTATGAAAAGCAACGTGAAACTCTGGGAGTTGAACACAAACATCACAGAGAAGTTTCTGAGAATGCTTCTGTTTTAGTTCTGTGCGTTTTATCCCGTTTCCAACGAAATCCTCAGAGAGGCCCAAATATCCACTTGCAGATTCCACAGAAAGAGTGATTGGAAACTGCTGTTTGAAAAGGAACCTTCAACTCTGTGAGTTGAATGCAATCATCACAAAGAAGTTTCTGACAATGCTTCTGTTTTAGTTCTGTGCGGTTTATCCCGTTTCCAACGAAATCCTCAGAGAGGACCAAACATCCACTTGCAGTTTCTACAAAAAGAGTGTTTCAAAGCTGCACTATCAAAGAAAGGTTCAGCACTGTGAGTTGAATGCAAACATCACGAAGAGGGCTCTGAGAATTCTTCTGTTTAGTTCTGTGCGGTTTATCCCGTTTCCAACGAAATCCTCAGAGAGGACCAAATATCCACTTGCAGTTTCTACAAGAAGAGTGTTTCAAAGCTGAACTATCAAAGAAAGGTTCAGCACTGTGAGTTGAATGCAAACATCACGAAGAGGGTTCTGAGAATGCTTCTGTCTTCTTTCTATAGGAAGTTATTTCCTTTACTACGGTAGGCCTCAAAGAAGTGCAATTATCCCCTTGCAGTTTCTACAAAAAGAGTGTTTCAAACCTGAACTATCAAAGAAAGGTTCCACACTGTGAGTTGAATGCAGACATCACGAAGAAGGTTCTGAGAATGCTTCTGTTTAGTCAGCTGAAATTATCCCGTTTCCAACGAATTCCTCAGAGAGGTCCAAATATGCACTTGCAGATTCTGCAGAAAGTGTGTTTCTAAACTGCTACATCGCAAGGAATGTTCAGCTCTGTGAGTTCCACTCAATCATCCCAAAGAATTTTCTGAGAAAGCTTCTGTCTAGATGTCGTGTGAAGATATACCCGTTTCGAACGAAGGACACAGAGTGGTCCAAATATCCACTTGTAGATCCTGCAAAAAGAGTGTTTCAAACGTGAACTTTGAAAGGAAAGTTCAACTCTGGGATTTGAATGCAAACATCACAAAGAAGATTCTGAGACTGCTTCTGTATAGTTTTTATGTGAAGATGATTCCGTTTCCAACGAAATCTTCAAAGAGGTCTACATGTCCCCTTGCAGATGCCACAGAAAGAGAGTTTCAAAACTGCGCTCTCAAAAGGAGTGTTCAACTCCGTGAGTTGAATGCAGTCATCACAGAGAAGCTTCTGAGAATGCTTCTATCTAGTATTTAGGTGAAGATATTTCCTTTTCCACCACAAACCACAAAGCCCTCCAAACGTCCACTTGCAGATTCTAGAAAAAGAGTGTTTCATAGCTGCTCTTTCCAAAGGAAAGTTCAACTCTGGGAGTTGAATACAAACATCACCAAAAAGTTCCTGAGAATGCATCTGTCTAGTTTTTCTATGAAGCTATTCCCTTTACTACCATAGGCCTCAAAGCGCTCCAAATCTCCACTTGCACATTCCACAACAAGAGTGTTTCCAAACTGCTCTATCAATAGGAATGTTCAACTCTGTGAGGTGAATGCAATCATCACAAAGCAGTTTCTGAGAATGCTTCCGTTTAGTTAGGTGCAGTTATCCCGTTTCCAACGAAATCCTCAGAGAGGTCCAAATATCCACTTGTAGATTCTACAAAAAGTGTGTCTCAAACCTGCTCCATCCAAAGGAATGTTCAGCTCTGTGATTTAAACTCAATCATCACAAAGTATTTTCTGAGAATGCTTCTGTCTAGATTTTATGCGAAGATATACCCGTTTCGAACGAAGGCCACAGAGTGGTCCAAATAGCCACTTGCAGATCCTACAAAAAGAGTGTTTCAAACCTGAACTATCAAAGGAAGGTTCAACTCTGGGATTTGAATGCAAACATCACCAAGAAGTTTCTGAGAATGCTTCTGTTTAGTTTTTATGTGAAGATATTCCCGTTTCCAAAGACATCTTCGGAGAGGTCCACATATCCACTTGCAGATTCCACAAAAAGAGATTTTCAACACTGCTCTATCCATAGGAGGGTTCAACTCTGTGAGTTGAATGCAATCACCACAGAGAAGTTTCTGAGAAGGCTTCTCTCCAGTTTTTATGTGACCATAATTCGTTTTCCACCACAGGCCTGAAAGCGCTCCAAATGTCCACTTGCAGACACTACGAAAAGCATGTTTCAGAACTACTCTATGAAAAGCAACGTGAAACTCTGGGAGTTGAACACAAACATCACAGAGAAGTTTCTGAGAATGCTTCTGTTTTAGTTCTGTGCGTTTTATCCCGTTTCCAACGAAATCCTCAGAGAGGCCCAAATATCCACTTGCAGATTCCACAGAAAGAGTGATTGGAAACTGCTGTTTGAAAAGGAACCTTCAACTCTGTGAGTTGAATGCAATCATCACAAAGAAGTTTCTGACAATGCTTCTGTTTTAGTTCTGTGCGGTTTATCCCGTTTCCAACGAAATCCTCAGAGAGGACCAAACATCCACTTGCAGTTTCTACAAAAAGAGTGTTTCAAAGCTGCACTATCAAAGAAAGGTTCAGCACTGTGAGTTGAATGCAAACATCACGAAGAGGGCTCTGAGAATTCTTCTGTTTAGTTCTGTGCGGTTTATCCCGTTTCCAACGAAATCCTCAGAGAGGACCAAATATCCACTTGCAGTTTCTACAAGAAGAGTGTTTCAAAGCTGAACTATCAAAGAAAGGTTCAGCACTGTGAGTTGAATGCAAACATCACGAAGAGGGTTCTGAGAATGCTTCTGTCTTCTTTTTATAGGAAGTTATTTCCTTTACTACGGTACTCCTCAAAGAGTGCAATTATCCCCTTGCAGTTTCTACAAAAAGAGTTTTTAAAACCTGAACTATCAAAGAAAGGTTCCACACTTTGTGTTGAATGCAGACATCACGAAGAAGGTTCTGAGAATGCTTCTGTTTAGTCAGCTGAAATTATCCCGTTTCCAACGAATTCCTCAGAGAGGTCCAAATATGCACTTGCAGATTCTGCAGAAAGTGTGTTTCTAAACTGCTACATCGCAAGGAATGCTCAGCTCTGTGAGTTCAACTCAATCATCCCAAAGAATTTTCTGAGAAAGCTTCTGTCTAGATGTCATGTGAAGATATACCCGTTTCGAACGAAGGACACAGAGTGGTCCAAATATCCACTTGTAGATCCTGCAAAAAGAGTGTTTCAAACGTGAACTTTGAAAGGAAAGTTCAACTCGGGGATTTGAATGCAAACATCACAAAGAAGATTCTGAGACTGCTTCTGTATAGTTTTTATGTGAAGATGATTCCGTTTCCAACGAAATCTTCAAAGAGGTCTACATGTCCCCTTGCAGATGCCACAGAAAGAGAGTTTCAAAACTGCGCTCTCAAAAGGAGTGTTCAACTCCGTGAGTTGAATGCAGTCATCACAGAGAAGCTTCTGAGGATGCTTCTATCTAGTATTTAGGTGAAGATATTTCCTTTTCCACCACAAACCACAAAGCCCTCCAAACGTCCACTTGCAGATTCTAGAAAAACAGTGTTTCATAGCTGCTCTTTCCAAAGGAAAGTTCAACTCTGGGAGTTGAATACAAACATCACCAAAAAGTTCCTGAGAATGCATCTGTCTAGTTTTTCTATGAAGCTATTCCCTTTACTACCATAGGCCTCAAAGCGCTCCAAATCTCCACTTGCACATTCCACAACAAGAGTGTTTCCAAACTGCTCTATCAATAGGAATGTTCAACTCTGTGAGGTGAATGCAATCATCACAAAGCAGTTTCTGAGAATGCTTCCGTTTAGTTAGGTGCAGTTATCGCGTTTCCAACGAAATCCTCAGAGAGGTCCAAATATCCACTTGTAGATTCTACAAAAAGTGTGTCTCAAACCTGCTCCATCCAAAGGAATGTTCAGCTCTGTGAGTTAAACTCAATCATCACAAAGTATTTTCTGAGAATGCTTCTGTCTAGATTTTATGTGAAGATGTACCCGTTTCGAACGAAGGCCACAGAGTGGTCCAAATATCCACTTGCAGATCCTACAAAAAGAGTGTTTCAAACCTGAACTATCACAGGAAGGTTCAACTCTGGGATTTGAATGCAAACATCACCAAGAAGTTTCTGAGAATGCTTCTGTTTAGTTTTTATGTGAAGATATTCCCGTTTCCAAAGACATCTTCGGAGAGGTCCACATATCCACTTGCAGATTCCACAAAAAGAGAGTTTCAACAATGCTCTATCCATAGGAGGGTTCAAATCTGTGAGTTGAATGCAATCATCACAGAGAAGTTTCTGAGAAGGCTTCTCTCCAGTTTTTATGGGACCATAATTCGTTTTCCACCACAGGCCTGAAAGCGCTCCAAATGTCCACTTGCAGACACTACGAAAAGCATGTTTCAGAACTACTCTATGAAAAGCAATGTGAAACTCTGGGAGTTGAACACAAACATCACAGAGAAGTTTCTGAGAATGCTTCTGTTTAGCTTTTCTGTGAAGATTCTCCCGTTTCCAACGAAATCTTCAAAGAGGTCCAAATATCCACTTGCAGATTCCACAGAAAGAGTGTTTGGAAACTGCTGTTTGTAAAGGAACCTTCATCTCTGTGAGTTGAATGCAATCATCACAAAGAAGTTTCTGACAATGCTTCTATCTAGCTTTTACGGGAAGTTAATTCCTTTTCCACCACAGGCCTCAAAGCCCTCCAAATGTCCACTTGCAGATTCTGGAAAAAGAGTGTTTCAAAGCTTCTCTCTCGAAAGGAAAGTTCAACTCTGTGAGTTGAATGCAAGCATCACAAAGAAGTTTCTGAGAATGCTACTGTCTAGCTTTTATATAAAGCTATTTCCTTTACTACCATAGGCCTCAAAGCGGTCCATATCTCCACTTGCAGATTCTACAGAAAGAGAGTTTCCAAACTGCTCTGTGAAAGGGAATGTTCAACTCTGAGACTTGAATGCAATCATCACAAAGTAGTTTCTGAGAATGCTTCTGTTTAGTTCTGTGCGGTTTATCCCGTTTCCAACGAAATCCTCAGAGAGGCCCAAATATCCACTTGCACATTCTACAAATAGTGTGTTTCGAAACTGCTCCATCCAAAGGAATGTTCAGCTCTGTGAGTTAAACTCAGTCGTCACCAAGAGTTTTCTGTGAATGCTTCTGTTTTAGTTCTGTGCGGGTTATCCCGTTTCCAACGAAATCCTCAGAGAGGTCCAAATATCTACTTGCAGTTTCTACAGAAAGACCGTTTCAAACCTGAACTATCAAAGAAAGGTTCAACACTGTGAGTTGAATGCAAACATCACGAAGAAGGTTCTGAGAATGCTTCTGTTTAGTTCTGTGCGGTTTATCCCGTTTCCAACGAAATCCTCAGAGAGGACCAAATATCCACTTGCAGTTTCTACAAGAAGAGTGTTTCAAAGCTGAACTATCAAAGAAAGGTTCAGCACTGTGTGTTGAATGCAAACATCACGAAGAGGGTTCTGAGAATGCTTCTGTCTTCTTTCTATAGGAAGTTATTTCCTTTACTACGGTAGGCCTCAAAGAAGTGCAATTATCCCCTTGCAGTTTCTACAAAAAGAGTGTTTCAAACCTGAACTATCAAAGAAAGGTTCCACACTGTGAGTTGAATGCAGACATCACGAAGAAGGTTCTGAGAATGCTTCTGTTTAGTCAGCTGAAATTATCCCGTTTCCAACGAATTCCTCAGAGAGGTCCAAATATGCACTTGCAGATTCTGCAGAAAGTGTGTTTCTAAACTGCTACATCGCAAGGAATGTTCAGCTCTGTGAGTTCCACTCAATCATCCCAAAGAATTTTCTGAGAAAGCTTCTGTCTAGATGTCGTGTGAAGATATACCCGTTTCGAACGAAGGACACAGAGTGGTCCAAATATCCACTTGTAGATCCTGCAAAAAGAGTGTTTCAAACGTGAACTTTGAAAGGAAAGTTCAACTCTGGGATTTGAATGCAAACATCACAAAGAAGATTCTGAGACTGCTTCTGTATAGTTTTTATGTGAAGATGATTCCGTTTCCAACGAAATCTTCAAAGAGGTCTACATGTCCCCTTGCAGATGCCACAGAAAGAGAGTTTCAAAACTGCGCTCTCAAAAGGAGTGTTCAACTCCGTGAGTTGAATGCAGTCATCACAGAGAAGCTTCTGAGAATGCTTCTATCTAGTATTTAGGTGAAGATATTTCCTTTTCCACCACAAACCACAAAGCCCTCCAAACGTCCACTTGCAGATTCTAGAAAAAGAGTGTTTCATAGCTGCTCTTTCCAAAGGAAAGTTCAACTCTGGGAGTTGAATACAAACATCACCAAAAGGTTCCTGAGAATGCATCTGTCTAGTTTTTCTATGAAGCTATTCCCTTTACTACCATAGGCCTCAAAGCGCTCCAAATCTCCACTTGCACATTCCACAACAAGAGTGTTTCCAAACTGCTCTATCAATAGGAATGGTCAACTCTGTGAGGTGAATGCAATCATCACAAAGCAGTTTCTGAGAATGCTTCCGTTTAGTTCGGTGCAGTTATCCCGTTTCCAACGAAATCCTCAGAGAGGTCCAAATATCCACTTGTGGATTCTACAAAAAGTGTGTCTCGAACCTGCTCCATCCAAAGGAATGTTCAGCTCTGTGAGTTAAACTCAATCATCACAAAGTATTTTCTGAGAATGCTTCTGTCTAGATTTTATGCGAAGATATACCCGTTTCGAACGAAGGCCACAGAGTGGTCCAAATAGCCACTTGCAGATCCTACAGAAAGAGTGTTTCAAACCTGAACTATCAAAGGAAGGTTCAACTCTGGGATTTGAATGCAAACATCACCAAGAAGTTTCTGAGAATGCTTCTGTTTAGTTTTTATGTGAAGATATTCCCGTTTCCAAAGACATCTTCGGAGAGGTCCACATATCCACTTGCAGATTCCACAAAAAGAGAGTTTCAACACTGCTCTATCCATAGGAGGGTTCAACTCTGTGAGTTGAATGCAATCATCACAGAGAAGTTTCTGAGAAGGCTTCTCTCCAGTTTTTATGTGACCATAATTCGTTTTCCACCACAGGCCTGAAAGCGCTCCAAATGTCCACTTGCAGACACTACGAAAAGCATGTTTCAGAACTACTCTATGAAAAGCAACGTGAAACTCTGGGAGTTGAACACAAACATCACAGAGAAGTTTCTGAGAATGCTTCTGTTTTAGTTCTGTGCGTTTTATCCCGTTTCCAACGAAATCCTCAGAGAGGCCCAAATATCCACTTGCAGATTCCACAGAAAGAGTGATTGGAAACTGCTGTTTGAAAAGGAACCTTCAACTCTGTGAGTTGAATGCAATCATCACAAAGAAGTTTCTGACAATGCTTCTGTTTTAGTTCTGTGCGGTTTATCCCGTTTCCAACGAAATCCTCAGAGAGGACCAAACATCCACTTGCAGTTTCTACAAAAAGAGTGTTTCAAAGCTGCACTATCAAAGAAAGGTTCAGCACTGTGAGTTGAATGCAAACATCACGAAGAGGGCTCTGAGAATTCTTCTGTTTAGTTCTGTGCGGTTTATCCCGTTTCCAACGAAATCCTCAGAGAGGACCAAATATCCACTTGCAGTTTCTACAAGAAGAGTGTTTCAAAGCTGAACTATCAAAGAAAGGTTCAGCACTGTGAGTTGAATGCAAACATCACGAAGAGGGTTCTGAGAATGCTTCTGTCTTCTTTCTATAGGAAGTTATTTCCTTTACTACGGTAGGCCTCAAAGAAGTGCAATTATCCCCTTGCAGTTTCTACAAAAAGAGTGTTTCAAACCTGAACTATCAAAGAAAGGTTCCACACTGTGAGTTGAATGCAGACATCACGAAGAAGGTTCTGAGAATGCTTCTGTTTAGTCAGCTGAAATTATCCCGTTTCCAACGAATTCCTCAGAGAGGTCCAAATATGCACTTGCAGATTCTGCAGAAAGTGTGTTTCTAAACTGCTACATCGCAAGGAATGTTCAGCTCTGTGAGTTCCACTCAATCATCCCAAAGAATTTTCTGAGAAAGCTTCTGTCTAGATGTCGTGTGAAGATATACCCGTTTCGAACGAAGGACACAGAGTGGTCCAAATATCCACTTGTAGATCCTGCAAAAAGAGTGTTTCAAACGTGAACTTTGAAAGGAAAGTTCAACTCTGGGATTTGAATGCAAACATCACAAAGAAGATTCTGAGACTGCTTCTGTATAGTTTTTATGTGAAGATGATTCCGTTTCCAACGAAATCTTCAAAGAGGTCTACATGTCCCCTTGCAGATGCCACAGAAAGAGAGTTTCAAAACTGCGCTCTCAAAAGGAGTGTTCAACTCCGTGAGTTGAATGCAGTCATCACAGAGAAGCTTCTGAGAATGCTTCTATCTAGTATTTAGGTGAAGATATTTCCTTTTCCACCACAAACCACAAAGCCCTCCAAACGTCCACTTGCAGATTCTAGAAAAAGAGTGTTTCATAGCTGCTCTTTCCAAAGGAAAGTTCAACTCTGGGAGTTGAATACAAACATCACCAAAAGGTTCCTGAGAATGCATCTGTCTAGTTTTTCTATGAAGCTATTCCCTTTACTACCATAGGCCTCAAAGCGCTCCAAATCTCCACTTGCACATTCCACAACAAGAGTGTTTCCAAACTGCTCTATCAATAGGAATGTTCAACTCTGTGAGGTGAATGCAATCATCACAAAGCAGTTTCTGAGAATGCTTCCGTTTAGTTAGGTGCAGTTATCCCGTTTCCAACGAAATCCTCAGAGAGGTCCAAATATCCACTTGTAGATTCTACAAAAAGTGTGTCTCAAACCTGCTCCATCCAAAGGAATGGTCAGCTCTGTGATTTAAACTCAATCATCACAAAGTATTTTCTGAGAATGCTTCTCTCCAGTTTTTATGTGACCATAATTCGTTTTCCACCACAGGCCTGAAAGCGCTCCAAATGTCCACTTGCAGACACTACGAAAAGCATGTTTCAGAACTACTCTATGAAAAGCAACGTGAAACTCTGGGAGTTGAACACAAACATCACAGAGAAGTTTCTGAGAATGCTTCTGTTTTAGTTCTGTGCGTTTTATCCCGTTTCCAACGAAATCCTCAGAGAGGCCCAAATATCCACTTGCAGATTCCACAGAAAGAGTGATTGGAAACTGCTGTTTGAAAAGGAACCTTCAACTCTGTGAGTTGAATGCAATCATCACAAAGAAGTTTCTGACAATGCTTCTGTTTTAGTTCTGTGCGGTTTATCCCGTTTCCAACGAAATCCTCAGAGAGGACCAAACATCCACTTGCAGTTTCTACAAAAAGAGTGTTTCAAAGCTGCACTATCAAAGAAAGGTTCAGCACTGTGAGTTGAATGCAAACATCACGAAGAGGGCTCTGAGAATTCTTCTGTTTAGTTCTGTGCGGTTTATCCCGTTTCCAACGAAATCCTCAGAGAGGACCAAATATCCACTTGCAGTTTCTACAAGAAGAGTGTTTCAAAGCTGAACTATCAAAGAAAGGTTCAGCACTGTGAGTTGAATGCAAACATCACGAAGAGGGTTCTGAGAATGCTTCTGTCTTCTTTTTATAGGAAGTTATTTCCTTTATTACGGTAGGCCTCAAAGCAGTGCAATTATCCCCTTGCAGTTTCTACAAAAAGAGTGTTTCAAACCTGAACTATCAAAGAAAGGTTCCACACTGTGAGTTGAATGCAGACATCACGAAGAACGTTCTGAGAATGCTTCTGTTTAGTCAGCTGAAATTATCCCGTTTCCAACGAATTCCTCAGAGAGGTCCAAATATGCACTTGCAGATTCTGCAGAAAGTGTGTTTCTAAACTGCTACATCGCAAGGAATGTTCAGCTCTGTGAGTTCCACTCAATCATCCCAAAGAATTTTCTGAGAAAGCTTCTGTCTAGATGTCATGTGAAGATATACCCGTTTCGAACGAAGGACACAGAGTGGTCCAAATATCCACTTGTAGATCCTGCAAAAAGAGTGTTTCAAACGTGAACTTTGAAAGGAAAGTTCAACTCTGGGATTTGAATGCAAACATCACAAAGAAGATTCTGAGACTGCTTCTGTATAGTTTTTATGTGAAGATGATTCCGTTTCCAACGAAATCTTCAAAGTAGGTCTACATGTCCCCTTGCAGATGCCACAGAAAGAGAGTTTCAAAACTGCGCTCTCAAAAGGAGTGTTCAACTCCGTGAGTTGAATGCAGTCATCACAGAGAAGCTTCTGAGAATGCTTCTATCTAGTATTTAGGTGAAGATATTTCCTTTTCCACCACAAACCACAAAGCCCTCCAAACGTCCACTTGCAGATTCTAGAAAAAGAGTGTTTCATAGCTGCTCTTTCCAAAGGAAAGTTCAACTCTGGGAGTTGAATACAAACATCACCAAAAAGTTCCTGAGAATGCATTCTGTCTAGTTTTTCTATGAAGCTATTCCCTTTACTACCATAGACCTCAAAGCGCTCCAAATCTCCACTTGCACATTCCACAACAAGAGTGTTTCCAAACTGCTCTATCAATAGGAATGTTCAACTCTGTGAGGTGAATGCAATCATCACAAAGCAGTTTCTGAGAATGCTTCCGTTTAGTTAGGTGCAGTTATCCCGTTTCCAACGAAATCCTCAGAGAGGTCCAAATATCCACTTGTAGATTCTACAAAAAGTGTGTCTCAAACCTGCTCCATCCAAAGGAATGGTCAGCTCTGTGATTTAAACTCAATCATCACAAAGTATTTTCTGAGAATGCTTCTGTCTAGATTTTATGCGAAGATATACCCGTTTCGAACGAAGGCCACAGAGTGGTCCAAATAGCCACTTGCAGATCCTACAGAAAGAGTGTTTCAAACCTGAACTATCAAAGGAAGGTTCAACTCTGGGATTTGAATGCAAACATCACCAAGAAGTTTCTGAGAATGCTTCTGTTTAGTTTTTATGTGAAGATATTCCCGTTTCCAAAGACATCTTCGGAGAGGTCCACATATCCACTTGCAGATTCCACAAAAAGAGAGTTTCAACACTGCTCTATCCATAGGAGGGTTCAACTCTGTGAGTTGAATGCAATCATCACAGAGAAGTTTCTGAGAAGGCTTCTCTCCAGTTTTTATGTGACCATAATTCGTTTTCCACCACAGGCCTGAAAGCGCTCCAAATGTCCACTTGCAGACACTACGAAAAGCATGTTTCAGAACTACTCTATGAAAAGCAACGTGAAACTCTGGGAGTTGAACACAAACATCACAGAGAAGTTTCTGAGAATGCTTCTGTTTTAGTTCTGTGCGTTTTATCCCGTTTCCAACGAAATCCTCAGAGAGGCCCAAATATCCACTTGCAGATTCCACAGAAAGAGTGATTGGAAACTGCTGTTTGAAAAGGAACCTTCAACTCTGTGAGTTGAATGCAATCATCACAAAGAAGTTTCTGACAATGCTTCTGTTTAGTTCTGTGCGGTTTATCCCGTTTCCAACGAAATCCTCAGAGAGGACCAAATATCCACTTGCAGTTTCTACAAGAAGAGTGTTTCAAAGCTGCACTATCAAAGAAAGGTTCAGCACTGTGAGTTGAATGCAAACATCACGAAGAGGGCTCTGAGAATTCTTCTGTCTTCTTTCTATAGGAAGTTATTTCCTTTACTACGGTAGGCCTCAAAGAAGTGCAATTATCCCCTTGCAGTTTCTACAAAAAGAGTGTTTCAAACCTGAACTATCAAAGAAAGGTTCCACACTGTGAGTTGAATGCAGACATCACGAAGAAGGTTCTGAGAATGCTTCTGTTTAGTCAGCTGAAATTATCCCGTTTCCAACGAATTCCTCAGAGAGGTCCAAATATGCACTTGCAGATTCTGCAGAAAGTGTGTTTCTAAACTGCTACATCGCAAGGAATGTTCAGCTCTGTGAGTTCCACTCAATCATCCCAAAGAATTTTCTGAGAAAGCTTCTGTCTAGATGTCGTGTGAAGATATACCCGTTTCGAACGAAGGACACAGAGTGGTCCAAATATCCACTTGTAGATCCTGCAAAAAGAGTGTTTCAAACGTGAACTTTGAAAGGAAAGTTCAACTCTGGGATTTGAATGCAAACATCACAAAGAAGATTCTGAGACTGCTTCTGTATAGTTTTTATGTGAAGATGATTCCGTTTCCAACGAAATCTTCAAAGAGGTCTACATGTCCCCTTGCAGATGCCACAGAAAGAGAGTTTCAAAACTGCGCTCTCAAAAGGAGTGTTCAACTCCGTGAGTTGAATGCAGTCATCACAGAGAAGCTTCTGAGAATGCTTCTGTCTAGTATTTAGGTGAAGATATTTCCTTTTCCACCACAAACCACAAAGCCCTCCAAACGTCCACTTGCAGATTCTAGAAAAAGAGTGTTTCATAGCTGCTCTTTCCAAAGGAAAGTTCAACTCTGGGAGTTGAATACAAACATCACCAAAAAGTTCCTGAGAATGCATCTGTCTAGTTTTTCTATGAAGCTATTCCCTTTACTACCATAGGCCTCAAAGCGCTCCAAATCTCCACTTGCACATTCCACAACAAGAGTGTTTCCAAACTGCTCTATCAATAGGAATGTTCAACTCTGTGAGGTGAATGCAATCATCACAAAGCAGTTTCTGAGAATGCTTCCGTTTAGTTAGGTGCAGTTATCCCGTTTCCAACGAAATCCTCAGAGAGGTCCAAATATCCACTTGTAGATTCTACAAAAAGTGTGTCTCAAACCTGCTCCATCCAAAGGAATGGTCAGCTCTGTGATTTAAACTCAATCATCACAAAGTATTTTCTGAGAATGCTTCTGTCTAGATTTTATGCGAAGATATACCCGTTTCGAACGAAGGCCACAGAGTGGTCCAAATAGCCACTTGCAGATCCTACAGAAAGAGTGTTTCAAACCTGAACTATCAAAGGAAGGTTCAACTCTGGGATTTGAATGCAAACATCACCAAGAAGTTTCTGAGAATGCTTCTGTTTAGTTTTTATGTGAAGATATTCCCGTTTCCAAAGACATCTTCGGAGAGGTCCACATATCCACTTGCAGATTCCACAAAAAGAGAGTTTCAACACTGCTCTATCCATAGGAGGGTTCAACTCTGTGAGTTGAATGCAATCATCACAGAGAAGTTTCTGAGAAGGCTTCTCTCCAGTTTTTATGTGACCATAATTCGTTTTCCACCACAGGCCTGAAAGCGCTCCAAATGTCCACTTGCAGACACTACGAAAAGCATGTTTCAGAACTACTCTATGAAAAGCAACGTGAAACTCTGGGAGTTGAACACAAACATCACAGAGAAGTTTCTGAGAATGCTTCTGTTTTAGTTCTGTGCGTTTTATCCCGTTTCCAACGAAATCCTCAGAGAGGCCCAAATATCCACTTGCAGATTCCACAGAAAGAGTGATTGGAAACTGCTGTTTGAAAAGGAACCTTCAACTCTGTGAGTTGAATGCAATCATCACAAAGAAGTTTCTGACAATGCTTCTGTTTTAGTTCTGTGCGGTTTATCCCGTTTCCAACGAAATCCTCAGAGAGGACCAAACATCCACTTGCAGTTTCTACAAAAAGAGTGTTTCAAAGCTGCACTATCAAAGAAAGGTTCAGCACTGTGAGTTGAATGCAAACATCACGAAGAGGGCTCTGAGAATTCTTCTGTTTAGTTCTGTGCGGTTTATCCCGTTTCCAACGAAATCCTCAGAGAGGACCAAATATCCACTTGCAGTTTCTACAAGAAGAGTGTTTCAAAGCTGAACTATCAAAGAAAGGTTCAGCACTGTGAGTTGAATGCAAACATCACGAAGAGGGTTCTGAGAATGCTTCTGTCTTCTTTCTATAGGAAGTTATTTCCTTTACTACGGTAGGCCTCAAAGAAGTGCAATTATCCCCTTGCAGTTTCTACAAAAAGAGTGTTTCAAACCTGAACTATCAAAGAAAGGTTCCACACTGTGAGTTGAATGCAGACATCACGAAGAAGGTTCTGAGAATGCTTCTGTTTAGTCAGCTGAAATTATCCCGTTTCCAACGAATTCCTCAGAGAGGTCCAAATATGCACTTGCAGATTCTGCAGAAAGTGTGTTTCTAAACTGCTACATCGCAAGGAATGTTCAGCTCTGTGAGTTCCACTCAATCATCCCAAAGAATTTTCTGAGAAAGCTTCTGTCTAGATGTCCTGTGAAGATATACCCGTTTCGAACGAAGGACACAGAGTGGTCCAAATATCCACTTGTAGATCCTGCAAAAAGAGTGTTTCAAACGTGAACTTTGAAAGGAAAGTTCAACTCTGGGATTTGAATGCAAACATCACAAAGAAGATTCTGAGACTGCTTCTGTATAGTTTTTATGTGAAGATGATTCCGTTTCCAACGAAATCTTCAAAGAGGTCCACATGTCCCCTTGCGGATGCCACAGAAAGAGAGTTTCAAAACTGCGCTCCCAAAAGGAGTGTTCAACTCCGTGAGTTGAATGCAGTCATCACAGAGAAGCTTCTGAGAATGCTTCTCTCTAGTATTTAGGTGAAGATATTTCCTTTTCCACCACAAACCACAAAGCCCTCCAAACGTCCACTTGCAGATTCTAGAAAAAGAGTGTTTCATAGCTGCTCTTTCCAAAGGAAAGTTCAACTCTGGGAGTTGAATACAAACATCACCAAAAAGTTCCTGAGAATTCATCTGTCTAGTTTTTCTATGAAGCTATTCCCTTTACTACCATAGGCCTCAAAGCGCTCCAAATCTCCACTTGCACATTCCACAACAAGAGTGTTTCCAAACTGCTCTATCAATAGGAATGTTCAACTCTGTGAGGTGAATGCAATCATCACAAAGCAGTTTCTGAGAATGCTTCCGTTTAGTTAGGTGCAGTTATCCCGTTTCCAACGAAATCCTCAGAGAGGTCCAAATATCCACTTGTAGATTCTACAAAAAGTGTGTCTCAAACCTGCTCCATCCAAAGGAATGTTCAGCTCTGTGATTTTAACTCAATCATCACAAAGTATTTTCTGAGAATGCTTCTGTCTAGATTTTATGCGAAGATGTACCCGTTTCGAACGAAGGCCACAGAGTGGTCCAAATATCCACTTGCAGATCCTACAAAAAGAGTGTTTCAAACCTGAACTCTCAAAGGAAGGTTCAACTCTGGGATTTGAATGCAAACATCACCAAGAAGTTTCTGAGAATGCTTCTGTTTAGTTTTTATGTGAAGATATTCCCGTTTCCAAAGACATCTTCGGAGAGGTCCACATATCCGCTTGCAGATTCCACAAAAAGAGAGTTTCAACACTGCTCTATCCATAGGAGGGTTCAACTCTGTGAGTTGAATGCAATCATCACAGAGAAGTTTCTGAGAAGGCTTCTGTTCAGTTTTTATGTGACCATAATTCGTTTTCCACCACAGGCCTGAAAGCGCTCCAAATGTCCCCTTGCAGACACTACGAAAAGCATGTTTCAGAACTACTCTATGAGAAGCAATGTGACACTCTGGGAGTTGAACACAAACATCACAGAGAAGTTTCTGAGAATGCTTCTGTTTAGCTTTTCTGTGAAGATTCTCCCGTTTCCAACGAAATCTTCAAAGAGGTCCAAATATCCACTTGCAGATTCCACAGAAAGAGTGATTGGAAACTGCTCTTTGAAAAGGAACCTTCAACTCTGTGACTTGTATGCAATCATCACAAAGAAGTTTCTGACAATGCTTCTATCTAGCTTTTACGGGAAGATAATTCCTTTTCCACCACAGGCCTCAAAGCCCTCCAAATGTCCACTTGCAGATTCTGGAAAAAGAGTGTTTCAAAGCTTCTCTCTCGAAAGGAAAGTTCAACATCTGTGAGTTGAATGCAAGCATCACAAAGAAGTTTCTGAGAATGCTACTGTCTAGCTTTTATATGAAGCTATTTCCTTTACTACCATAGGCCTCAAAGCGGTCCATATCTCCACTTGCAGATTCTACACAAAGAGAGTTTCCAAACTGCTCCATCAAAGGGAATGTTCAACTCTGTGACTTGAATGCAATCATCACAAAGTAGTTTCTGAGAATGCTTCTGTTTAGTTCTGTGCGGTTTATCCCGTTTCCAACGAAATCCTCAGAGAGTCCCAAATATCCACTTGCAGATTCTACAAATAGTGTGTTTCGAAACTGCTCCATCCAAAGGAATGTTCAGCTCTGTGAGTTAAACTCAGTCGTCACCAAGAGTTTTCTGTGAATGCTTCTGTTTTAGTTCTGTGCGGGTTATCCCGTTTCCAACGAAATCCTCAGAGAGGTCCAAATATCTACTTGCAGTTTCTACAGAAAGACCGTTTCAAACCTGAACTATCAAAGAAAGGTTCAACACTGTGAGTTGAATGCAAACATCACGAAGAAGGTTCTGAGAATGCTTCTGTTTAGTTCTGTGCAGTTTATCCCGTTTCCAACGAATTCCTCAGAGAGGACCAAATATCCACTTGCAGTTTCTACAAAAAGAGTGTTTCAAAGCTGAACTATCAAAGAAAGGTTCAGCACTGTGAGTTGAATGCAAACATCACGAAGAGGGTTCTGAGAATGCTTCTGTCTTCTTTTTATAGGAAGTTATTTCCTTTACTACGGTACTCCTCAAAGAGTGCAATTATCCCCTTGCAGTTTCTACAAAAAGAGTGTTTCAAACCTGAACTATCAAAGAAAGGTTCCACACTGTGAGTTGAATGCAGACATCACGAAGAAGGTTCTGAGAATGCTTCTGTTTAGTCAGCTGAAATTATCCCGTTTCCAACGAATTCCTCACAGAGGTCCAAATATGCACTTGCAGATTCTGCAGAAAGTGTGTTTCTAAACTGCTACATCGCAAGGAATGCTCAGCTCTGTGAGTTCAACTCAATCATCCCAAAGAATTTTCTGAGAAAGCTTCTGTCTAGATGTCATGTGAAGATATACCCGTTTCGATCGAAGGACACAGAGTGGTCCAAATATCCACTTGTAGATCCTGCAAAAAGAGTGTTTCAAACGTGAACTTTGAAAGGAAAGTTCAACTCGGGGATTTGAATGCAAACATCACAAAGAAGATTCTGAGACTGCTTCTGTGTAGTTTTTATGTGAAGATGATTCCGTTTCGAACGAAATCTTCAAAGAGGTCTACATGTCCCCTTGCAGATGCCACAGAAAGAGAGTTTCAAAACTGCGCTCTCAAAAGGAGTGTTCAACTCCGTGAGTTGAATGCAGTAATCACAGAGAAGCTTCTGAGGATGCTTCTATCTAGTATTTAGGTGAAGATATTTCCTTTTCCACCACAAACCACAAAGCCCTCCAAACGTCCACTTGCAGATTCTAGAAAAACAGTGTTTCATAGCTGCTCTTTCCAAAGGAAAGTTCAACTCTGGGAGTTGAATACAAACATCACCAAAAAGTTCCTGAGAATGCATCTGTCTAGTTTTTCTATGAAGCTATTCCCTTTACTACCTTAGGCCTCAAAGCGCTCCAAATCTCCACTTGCACATTCCACAACAAGAGTGTTTCCAAACTGCTCTATCAATAGGAATGTTCAACTCTGTGAGGTGAATGCAATCATCACAAAGCAGTTTTTGAGAATGCTTCCGTTTAGTTAGGTGCAGTTATCCCGTTTCCAACGAAATCCTCAGAGAGGTCCAAATATCCACTTGTAGATTCTACAAAAAGTGTGTCTCAAACCTGCTCCATCCAAAGGAATGTTCAGCTCTGTGAGTTAAACTCAATCATCACAAAGTATTTTCTGAGAATGCTTCTGTCTAGATTTTATGCGAAGATATAGCCGTTTCGAACGAAGGCCACAGAGTGGTCCAAATATCCACTTGCAGATCCTACAAAAAGAGTGTTTCAAACCTGAACTATCAAAGGAAGGTTCAACTCTGGGATTTCAATGCAAACATCACCAAGAAGTTTCTGAGAATGCTTCTGTTTAGTTTTTATGTGAAGATATTCCCGTTTCCAAAGACATCTTCGGAGAGGTCCACATATCCACTTGCAGATTCCACAAAAAGAGAGTTTCAACACTGCTCTATCCATAGGAGGGTTCAACTCTGTGAGTTGAATGCAATCATCACAGAGAAGTTTCTGAGAAGGCTTCTCTCCAGTTTTTATGTGACCATAATTCGTTTTCCACCACAGGCCTGAAAGCGCTCCAAATGTCCACTTGTAGACACTACGAAAAGCATGTTTCAGAACTACTCTATGAAAAGCAATGTGAAACTCTGGGAGTTGAACACAAACATCACAGAGAAGTTTCTGAGAATGCTTCTGTTTAGCTTTCCTGTGAAGATTCTCCCGTTTCCAACGAAATCTTCAAAATAGGTCCAAATATCCACTTGCAGATTCCACAGAAAGAGTGATTGGAAACTGCTCTTTGAAAAGGAACCTTCAACTCTGTGAGTTGAATGCAATCATCACAAAGAAGTTTCTGACAATGCTTCTATCTAGCTTTTACGGGAAGATAATTCCTTTTCCACCACAGGCCTCAAAGCCCTCCAAATGTCCACTTGCAGATTCTGGAAAAAGAGTGTTTCAAAGCTTCTCTCTCGAAAGGAAAGTTCAACTCTGTGAGTTGAATGCAAGCATCACAAAGAAGTTTCTGAGAATGCTACTGTCTAGCTTTTATATGAAGCTATTTCCTTTACTACCATAGGCCTCAAAGCGGTCCATATCTCCACTTGCAGATTCTACACAAAGAGAGTTTCCAAACTGCTCTGTCAAAGGGAATGTTCAACTCTGTGACTTGAATGCAATCATCACAAAGTAGTTTCTGAGAATGCTTCTGTTTTAGTTCTGTGCGGTTTATCCCATTTCCAACGAAATCCTCAGAGAGGCCCAAATATCCACTTGCAGATTCTACAAAGAGTGTGTTTCGAAACTGCTCCATCCAAAGGAATGTTCAGCTCTGTGAGTTAAACTCAGTCGTCACCAAGAGTTTTCTGTGAATGCTTCTGTTTAGTTCTGTGCGGTTTATCCCGTTTCCAACGAAATCCTCAGAGAGGACCAAATATCCAGTTGCAATTTCTACAAAAAGAGTGTTTCAAAGCTGAACTATCAAAGAAAGGTTCAGCACTGTGTGTTGAATGCAATCATCACGAAGAGGGTTCTGAGAATGCTTCTGTCTTCTTTTTATAGGAAGTTATTTCCTTTACTACGGTAGGCCTCAAAGAAGTGCAATTATCCCCTTGCAGTTTCCACAAAAAGAGTGTTTCAAACCTGAACTATCAAAGAAAGGTTCCACACTGTGAGTTGAATGCAGACATCACGAAGAAGGTTCTGAGAATGCTTCTGTTTAGTCAGCTGAAATTATCACGTTTCCAACGAATTCCTCAGAGAGGTCCAAATATGCACTTGCAGATTCTGCAGAAAGTGTGTTTCTAAACTGCTCCATCGCAAGGAATGTTCAGCTCTGTGAGTTCAACTCAATCATCCCAAAGAATTTTCTGAGAAAGCTTCTGCCTAGATGTCATGTGAAGATATACCCGTTTCGAACGAAGGACACAGAGTGGTCCAAATATCCAGTTGTAGATCCTGCAAAAAGAGTGTTTCAAACGTGAACTTTGAAAGGAAAGTTCAACTCTGGGATTTGAATGCAAACATCACAAAGAAGATTCTGAGACTGCTTCTGTATAGTTTTTATGTGAAGATGATTCCGTTTCCAAAGAAATCTTCAAAGAGGTCTACATGTCCCCTTGCAGATGCCACAGAAAGAGAGTTTCAAAACTGCGCTCTCAAAAGGAGTGTTCAACTCCGTGAGTTGAATGCAGTCATCACAGAGAAGCTTCTGAGAATGCTTCTATCTAGTATTTAGGTGAAGATATTTCCTTTTCCACCACAAACCACAAAGCCCTCCAAACGTCCACTTGCAGATTCTAGAAAAAGAGTGTTTCATAGCTGCTCTTTCCAAAGGAAAGTTCAACTCTGGGAGTTGAATACAAACATCACCAAAAAGTTCCTGAGAATGCATCTGTCTAGTTTTTCTATGAAGCTATTCCCTTTACTACCATAGGCCTCAAAGCGCTCCAAATCTCCACTTGCACATTCCACAACAAGAGTGTTTCCAAACTGCTCTATCAATAGGAATGTTCAACTCTGTGAGGTGAATGCAATCATCACAAAGCAGTTTCTGAGAATGCTTCCGTTTAGTTAGGTGCAGTTATCCCGTTTCCAACGAAATCCTCAGAGAGGTCCAAATATCCACTTGTAGATTCTACAAAAGGTGTGTCTCAAACCTGCTCCATCCAAAGGAATGTTCAGCTCTGTGAGTTAAACTCAATCATCACAAAGTATTTTCTGAGAATGCTTCTGTCTAGATTTTATGCGAAGATATACCCGTTTCGAACGAAGGCCACAGAGTGGTCCAAATAGCCACTTGCAGATCCTACAGAAAGAGTGTTTCAAACCTGAACTATCAAAGGAAGGTTCAACTCTGGGATTTGAATGCAAACATCACCAAGAAGTTTCTGAGAATGCTTCTGTTTAGTTTTTATGTGAAGATATTCCCGTTTCCAAAGACATCTTCGGAGAGGTCCACATATCCACTTGCAGATTCCACAAAAAGAGAGTTTCAACACTGCTCTATCCATAGGAGGGTTCAAATCTGTGAGTTGAATGCAATCATCACAGAGAAGTTTCTGAGAAGGCTTCTCTCCAGTTTTTATGTGACCATAATTCGTTTTCCACCACAGGCCTGAAAGCGCTCCAAATGTCCACTTGCAGACACTACGAAAAGCATGTTTCAGAACTACTCTATGAAAAGCAACGTGAAACTCTGGGAGTTGAAAACAAACATCACAGAGAAGTTTCTGAGAATGCTTCTGTTTAGCTTTTCTGTGAAGATTCTCCCGTTTCCAACGAAATCTTCAAAGAGGTCGAAATATCCACTTGCAGATTCCACAGAAAGAGTGATTGGAAACTGCTGTTTGAAAAGGAACCTTCAACTCTGTGAGTTGAATGCAATCATCACAAAGAAGTTTCTGACAATGCTTCTATCTAGCTTTTACGGGAAGATAATTCCTTTTCCACCACAGGCCTCAAAGCTCCCCAAATGTCCACTTGCACATTCTGGAAAAAGAGTGTTTCAAAGCTTCTCTCTCGAAAGGAAAGTTCAACTCTGTGAGTTGAATGCAAGCATCACAAAGAAGTTTCTGAGAATGCTACTGTCTAGCTTTTATATGAAGCTATTTCCTTTACTACCATAGGCCTCAAAGCGGTCCATATCTCCACTTGCAGATTCTACACAAAGAGAGTTTCCAAACTGCTCTGTCAAAGGGAATGTTCAACTCTGTGACTTGAATGCAATCATCACAAAGTAGTTTCTGAGAATGCTTCTGTTTTAGTTCTGTGCGTTTTATCCCGTTTCCAACGAAATCCTCAGAGAGGCCCAAATATCCACTTGCAGATTCTACAAATAGTGTGTTTCGAAACTGCTCCATCCAAAGGAATGTTCAGCTCTGTGAGTTAAACTCAGTCGTCACCAAGAGTTTTCTGTGAATGCTTCTGTTTTAGTTCTGTGCGGTTTATCCCGTTTCCAACGAAATCCTCAGAGAGGACCAAATATCAACTTGCAGTTTCTACAAAAATAGTGTTTCAAAGCTGCACTATCAAAGAAAGGTTCAGCACTGTGAGTTGAATGCAAACACCACGAAGAGGGCTCTGAGAATTCTTCTGTTTAGTTCTGTGCGGTTTATCCCGTTTCCAACGAAATCCTCAGAGAGGACCAAATATCCACTTGCAGTTTCTACAAGAAGAGTGTTTCAAAGCTGAACTATCAAAGAAAGGTTCAGCACTGTGAGTTGAATGCAAACATCACGAAGAGGGTTCTGAGAATGCTTCTGTCTTCTTTCTATAGGAAGTTATTTCCTTTACTACGGTAGGCCTCAAAGAAGTGCAATTATCCCCTTGCAGTTTCTACAAAAAGAGTGTTTCAAACCTGAACTATCAAAGAAAGGTTCCACACTGTGAGTTGAATGCAGACATCACGAAGAAGGTTCTGAGAATGCTTCTGTTTAGTCAGCTGAAATTATCCCGTTTCCAACGAATTCCTCAGAGAGGTCCAAATATGCACTTGCAGATTCTGCAGAAAGTGTGTTTCTAAACTGCTACATCGCAAGGAATGTTCAGCTCTGTGAGTTCCACTCAATCATCCCAAAGAATTTTCTGAGAAAGCTTCTGTCTAGATGTCGTGTGAAGATATACCCGTTTCGAACGAAGGACACAGAGTGGTCCAAATATCCACTTGTAGATCCTGCAAAAAGAGTGTTTCAAACGTGAACTTTGAAAGGAAAGTTCAACTCTGGGATTTGAATGCAAACATCACAAAGAAGATTCTGAGACTGCTTCTGTATAGTTTTTATGTGAAGATGATTCCGTTTCCAACGAAATCTTCAAAGAGGTCTACATGTCCCCTTGCAGATGCCACAGAAAGAGAGTTTCAAAACTGCGCTCTCAAAAGGAGTGTTCAACTCCGTGAGTTGAATGCAGTCATCACAGAGAAGCTTCTGAGAATGCTTCTATCTAGTATTTAGGTGAAGATATTTCCTTTTCCACCACAAACCACAAAGCCCTCCAAACGTCCACTTGCAGATTCTAGAAAAAGAGTGTTTCATAGCTGCTCTTTCCAAAGGAAAGTTCAACTCTGGGAGTTGAATACAAACATCACCAAAAAGTTCCTGAGAATGCATCTGTCTAGTTTTTCTATGAAGCTATTCCCTTTACTACCATAGGCCTCAAAGCGCTCCAAATCTCCACTTGCACATTCCACAACAAGAGTGTTTCCAAACTGCTCTATCAATAGGAATGTTCAACTCTGTGAGGTGAATGCAATCATCACAAAGCAGTTTCTGAGAATGCTTCCGTTTAGTTAGGTGCAGTTATCCCGTTTCCAACGAAATCCTCAGAGAGGTCCAAATATCCACTTGTAGATTCTACAAAAAGTGTGTCTCAAACCTGCTCCATCCAAAGGAATGGTCAGCTCTGTGATTTAAACTCAATCATCACAAAGTATTTTCTGAGAATGCTTCTGTCTAGATTTTATGCGAAGATATACCCGTTTCGAACGAAGGCCACAGAGTGGTCCAAATAGCCACTTGCAGATCCTACAGAAAGAGTGTTTCAAACCTGAACTATCAAAGGAAGGTTCAACTCTGGGATTTGAATGCAAACATCACCAAGAAGTTTCTGAGAATGCTTCTGTTTAGTTTTTATGTGAAGATATTCCCGTTTCCAAAGACATCTTCGGAGAGGTCCACATATCCACTTGCAGATTCCACAAAAAGAGAGTTTCAACACTGCTCTATCCATAGGAGGGTTCAACTCTGTGAGTTGAATGCAATCATCACAGAGAAGTTTCTGAGAAGGCTTCTCTCCAGTTTTTATGTGACCATAATTCGTTTTCCACCACAGGCCTGAAAGCGCTCCAAATGTCCACTTGCAGACACTACGAAAAGCATGTTTCAGAACTACTCTATGAAAAGCAACGTGAAACTCTGGGAGTTGAACACAAACATCACAGAGAAGTTTCTGAGAATGCTTCTGTTTTAGTTCTGTGCGTTTTATCCCGTTTCCAACGAAATCCTCAGAGAGGCCCAAATATCCACTTGCAGATTCCACAGAAAGAGTGATTGGAAACTGCTGTTTGAAAAGGAACCTTCAACTCTGTGAGTTGAATGCAATCATCACAAAGAAGTTTCTGACAATGCTTCTGTTTTAGTTCTGTGCGGTTTATCCCGTTTCCAACGAAATCCTCAGAGAGGACCAAACATCCACTTGCAGTTTCTACAAAAAGAGTGTTTCAAAGCTGCACTATCAAAGAAAGGTTCAGCACTGTGAGTTGAATGCAAACATCACGAAGAGGGCTCTGAGAATTCTTCTGTTTAGTTCTGTGCGGTTTATCCCGTTTCCAACGAAATCCTCAGAGAGGACCAAATATCCACTTGCAGTTTCTACAAGAAGAGTGTTTCAAAGCTGAACTATCAAAGAAAGGTTCAGCACTGTGAGTTGAATGCAAACATCACGAAGAGGGTTCTGAGAATGCTTCTGTCTTCTTTCTATAGGAAGTTATTTCCTTTACTACGGTAGGCCTCAAAGAAGTGCAATTATCCCCTTGCAGTTTCTACAAAAAGAGTGTTTCAAACCTGAACTATCAAAGAAAGGTTCCACACTGTGAGTTGAATGCAGACATCACGAAGAAGGTTCTGAGAATGCTTCTGTTTAGTCAGCTGAAATTATCCCGTTTCCAACGAATTCCTCAGAGAGGTCCAAATATGCACTTGCAGATTCTGCAGAAAGTGTGTTTCTAAACTGCTACATCGCAAGGAATGTTCAGCTCTGTGAGTTCCACTCAATCATCCCAAAGAATTTTCTGAGAAAGCTTCTGTCTAGATGTCATGTGAAGATATACCCGTTTCGAACGAAGGACACAGTAGTGGTCCAAATATCCACTTGTAGATCCTGCAAAAAGAGTGTTTCAAACGTGAACTTTGAAAGGAAAGTTCAACTCGGGGATTTGAATGCAAACATCACAAAGAAGATTCTGAGACTGCTTCTGTATAGTTTCTATGTGAAGATGATTCCGTTTCCAACGAAATCTTCAAAGAGGTCTACATGTCCCCTTGCAGATGCCACAGAAAGAGAGTTTCAAAACTGCGCTCTCAAAAGGAGTGTTCAACTCCGTGAGTTGAATGCAGTCATCACAGAGAAGCTTCTGAGAATGCTTCTCTCTAGTATTTAGCTGAAGATATTTCCTTTTCCACCACAAACCACAAAGCCCTCCAAACGTCCACTTGCAGATTCTAGAAAAAGAGTGTTTCATAGCTGCTCTTTCCAAAGGAAAGTTCAACTCTGGGAGTTGAATACAAACATCACCAAAAAGTTCCTGAGAATGCATCTGTCTAGTTTTTCTATGAAGCTATTCCCTTTACTACCATAGGCCTCAAAGCGCTCCAAATCTCCACTTGCACATTCCACAACAAGAGTGTTTCCAAACTGCTCTATCAATAGGAATGTTCAACTCTGTGAGGTGAATGCAATCATCACAAAGCAGTTTCTGAGAATGCTTCCGTTTAGTTAGGTGCAGTTATCCCGTTTCCAACGAAATCCTCAGAGAGGTCCAAATATCCACTTGTAGATTCTACAAAAAGTGTGTCTCAAACCTGCTCCATCCAAAGGAATGTTCAGCTCTGTGAGTTCAACTCAATCATCACAAAGTATTTTCTGAGAATGCTTCTGTCTAGATTTTATGCGAAGATGTACCCGTTTCGAACGAAGGCCACAGAGTGGTCCAAATATCCACTTGCAGATCCTACAAAAAGAGTGTTTCAAACCTGAACTCTCAAAGGAAGGTTCAACTCTGGGATTTGAATGCAAACATCACCAAGAAGTTTCTGAGAATGCTTCTGTTTAGTTTTTATGTGAAGATATTCCCGTTTCCAAAGACATCTTCGGAGAGGTCCACATATCCACTTGCAGATTCCACAAAAAGAGAGTTTCAACACTGCTCTATCCATAGGAGGGTTCAACTCTGTGAGTTGAATGCAATCATCACAGAGAAGTTTCTGAGAAGGCTTCTCTCCAGTTTTTATGTGACCATAATTCGTTTTCCACCACAGGCCTGAAAGCGCTCCAAATGTCCACTTGTAGACACTACGAAAAGCATGTTTCAGAACTACTCTATGAAAAGCAATGTGAAACTCTGGGAGTTGAACACAAACATCACAGAGAAGTTTCTGAGAATGCTTCTGTTTAGCTTTCCTGTGAAGATTCTCCCGTTTCCAACGAAATCTTCAAAATAGGTCCAAATATCCACTTGCAGATTCCACAGAAAGAGTGATTGGAAACTGCTCTTTGAAAAGGAACCTTCAACTCTGTGAGTTGAATGCAATCATCACAAAGAAGTTTCTGACAATGCTTCTATCTAGCTTTTACGGGAAGATAATTCCTTTTCCACCACAGGCCTCAAAGCCCTCCAAATGTCCACTTGCAGATTCTGGAAAAAGAGTGTTTCAAAGCTTCTCTCTCGAAAGGAAAGTTCAACTCTGTGAGTTGAATGCAAGCATCACAAAGAAGTTTCTGAGAATGCTACTGTCTAGCTTTTATATGAAGCTATTTCCTTTACTACCATAGGCCTCAAAGCGGTCCATATCTCCACTTGCAGATTCTACACAAAGAGAGTTTCCAAACTGCTCTGTCAAAGGGAATGTTCAACTCTGTGACTTGAATGCAATCATCACAAAGTAGTTTCTGAGAATGCTTCTGTTTAGTTCTGTGCGGTTTATCCCGTTTCCAACGAAATCCTCAGAGAGGCCCAAATATCCACTTGCACATTCTACAAATAGTGTGTTTCGAAACTGCTCCATCCAAAGGAATGTTCAGCTCTGTGAGTTAAACTCAGTCGTCACCAAGAGTTTTCTGTGAATGCTTCTGTTTTAGTTCTGTGCGGTTTACCCTGTTTCCAACGAAATCCTCAGAGAGGCCCCCATATCCACTTGCAGATTCTACAAATAGTGTGTTTCGAAACTGCTCCATCCAAAGGAATGTTCAGCTCTGTGAGTTAAACTCAGTCGTCACCAAGAGTTTTCTGTGAATGCTTCTGTTTAGTTCTGTGCGGTTTATCCCGTTTCCAACGAAATCCTCAGAGAGGACCAAATATCCACTTGCAGTTTCTACAAAAAGAGTGTTTCAAAGCTGAACTATCAAAGAAAGGTTCAGCACTGTGAGTTGAATGCAAACATCACGAAGAGGGTTCTGAGAATGCTTCTGTCTTCTTTTTATAGGAAGTTATTTCCTTTACTACGGTACTCCTCAAAGAGTGCAATTATCCCCTTGCAGTTTCTACAGAAAGAGTGTTTCAAAGCTGAACTATCAAAGAAAGGTTCAGCACTGTGAGTTGAATGCAAACATCACGAAGAGGGTTCTGAGAATGCTTCTGTTTAGTCAGCTGAAATTATCCCGTTTCCAACGAATTCCTCACAGAGGTCCAAATATGCACTTGCAGATTCTGCAGAAAGTGTGTTTCTAAACTGCTACATCGCAAGGAATGCTCAGCTCTGTGAGTTCAACTCAATCATCCCAAAGAATTTTCTGAGAAAGCTTCTGTCTAGATGTCATGTGAAGATATACCCGTTTGGAACGAAGGACACAGAGTGGTCCAAATATCCACTTGTAGAACCTGCAAAAAGAGTGTTTCAAACGTGAACTTTGAAAGGAAAGTTCAACTCGGGGATTTGAATGCAAACATCACAAAGAAGATTCTGAGACTGCTTCTGTATAGTTTTTATGTGAAGATGATTCCGTTTCCAACGAAATCTTCAAAGAGGTCTACATGTCCCCTTGCAGATGCCACAGAAAGAGAGTTTCAAAACTGCGCTCTCAAAAGGAGTGTTCAACTCCGTGAGTTGAATGCAGTCATCACAGAGAAGCTTCTGAGGATGCTTCTATCTAGTATTTAGGTGAAGATATTTCCTTTTCCACCACAAACCACAAAGCCCTCCAAACGTCCACTTGCAGATTCTAGAAAAAGAGTGTTTCATAGCTGCTCTTTCCAAAGGAAAGTTCAACTCTGGGAGTTGAATACAAACATCACCAAAAAGTTCCTGAGAATGCATCTGTCTAGTTTTTCTATGAAGCTATTCCCTTTACTACCATAGGCCTCAAAGCGCTCCAAATCTCCACTTGCACATTCCACAACAAGAGTGTTTCCAAACTGCTCTATCAATAGGAATGTTCAACTCTGTGAGGTGAATGCAATCATCACAAAGCAGTTTCTGAGAATGCTTCCGTTTAGTTAGGTGCAGTTATCCCGTTTCCAACGAAATCCTCAGAGAGGTCCAAATATCCACTTGTAGATTCTACAAAAAGTGTGTCTCAAACCTGCTCCATCCAAAGGAATGTTCAGCTCTGTGAGTTAAACTCAATCATCACAAAGTATATTCTGAGAATGCTTCTGTCTAGATTTTATGCGAAGATATACCCGTTTCGAACGAAGGCCACAGAGTGGTCCAAATATCCACTTGCAGATCCTACAAAAAGAGTGTTTCAAACCTGAACTATCAAAGGAAGGTTCAACTCTGGGATTTGAATGCAAACATCACCAAGAAGTTTCTGAGAATGCTTCTGTTTAGTTTTTATGTGAAGATATTCCCGTTTCCAAAGACATCTTCGGAGAGGGCCACATATCCACTTGCAGATTCCACAAAAAGACAGTTTCAACACTGCTCTATCCATAGGAGGGTTCAACTCTGTGAGTTGAATGCAATCATCACAGAGAAGTTTCTGAGAAGGCTTCTCTCCAGTTTTTATGTGACCCTAATTCGTTTTCCACCACAGGCCTGAAAGCGCTCCAAATGTCCACTTGCAGACACTACGAAAAGCATGTTTCAGAACTACTCTATGAAAAGCAACGTGAAACTCTGGGAGATGAACACAAACATCACAGAGAAGTTTCTGAGAATGCTTCTGTTTAGCTTTTCTGTGAAGATTCTCCCGTTTCCAACGAAATCTTCAAAATAGGTCCAAATATCCACTTGCAGATTCCACAGAAAGAGTGATTGGAAACTGCTGTTTGAAAAGGAACCTTCAACTCTGTGAGTTGAATGCAATCATCACAAAGAAGTTTCTGACAATGCTTCTATCTAGCTTTTACGGGAAGATAATTCCTTTTCCACCACAGGCCTCAAAGCCCTCCAAATGTCCACTTGCAGATTCTGGAAAAAGAGTGTTTCAAAGCTTCTCTCTCGAAAGGAAAGTTCAACTCTGTGAGTTGAATGCAAGCATCACAAAGAAGTTTCTGAGAATGCTACTGTCTAGCTTTTATATGAAGCTATTTCCTTTACTACCATAGGCCTCAAAGCGGTCCATATCTCCACTTGCAGATTCTACACAAAGAGAGTTTCCAAACTGCTCTGTCAAAGGGAATGTTCAACTCTGTGACTTGAATGCAATCATCACAAAGTAGTTTCTGAGAATGCTTCTGTTTAGTTCTGTGCGGTTTATCCCGTTTCCAACGAAATCCTCAGAGAGGCCCACATATCCACTTGCACATTCTACAAATACTGTGTTTCGAAACTGCTCCATCCAAAGGAATGTTCAGCTCTGTGAGTTAAACTCAGTCGTCACCAAGAGTTTTCTGTGAATGCTTCTGTTTTAGTTCTGTGCGGTTTATCCCGTTTCCAACGAAATCCTCAGAGAGGTCCAAATATCTACTTGCAGTTTCTACAGAAAGACCGTTTCAAACCTGAACTATCAAAGAAAGGTTCAACACTGTGAGTTGAATGCAAACATCACGAAGAAGGTTCTGAGAATGCTTCTGTTTAGTTCTGTGCGGTTTATCCCGTTTCCAACGAAATCCTCAGAGAGGACCAAATATCCACTTGCAGTTTCTACAAGAAGAGTGTTTCAAAGCTGAACTATCAAAGAAAGGTTCAGCACTGTGAGTTGAATGCAAACATCACGAAGAGGGTTCTGAGAATGCTTCTGTCTTCTTTCTATAGGAAGTTATTTCCTTTACTACGGTAGGCCTCAAAGAAGTGCAATTATCCCCTTGCAGTTTCTACAAAAAGAGTGTTTCAAACCTGAACTATCAAAGAAAGGTTCCACACTGTGAGTTGAATGCAGACATCACGAAGAAGGTTCTGAGAATGCTTCTGTTTAGTCAGCTGAAATTATCCCATTTCCAACGAATTCCTCAGAGAGGTCCAAATATGCACTTGCAGATTCTGCAGAAAGTGTGTTTCTAAACTGCTACATCGCAAGGAATGTTCAGCTCTGTGAGTTCCACTCAATCATCCCAAAGAATTTTCTGAGAAAGCTTCTGTCTAGATGTCGTGTGAAGATATACCCGTTTCGAACGAAGGACACAGAGTGGTCCAAATATCCACTTGTAGATCCTGCAAAAAGAGTGTTTCAAACGTGAACTTTGAAAGGAAAGTTCAACTCTGGGATTTGAATGCAAACATCACAAAGAAGATTCTGAGACTGCTTCTGTATAGTTTTTATGTGAAGATGATTCCGTTTCCAACGAAATCTTCAAAGAGGTCTACATGTCCCCTTGCAGATGCCACAGAAAGAGAGTTTCAAAACTGCGCTCTCAAAAGGAGTGTTCAACTCCGTGAGTTGAATGCAGTCATCACAGAGAAGCTTCTGAGAATGCTTCTATCTAGTATTTAGGTGAAGATATTTCCTTTTCCACCACAAACCACAAAGCCCTCCAAACGTCCACTTGCAGATTCTAGAAAAAGAGTGTTTCATAGCTGCTCTTTCCAAAGGAAAGTTCAACTCTGGGAGTTGAATACAAACATCACCAAAAAGTTCCTGAGAATGCATCTGTCTAGTTTTTCTATGAAGCTATTCCCTTTACTACCATAGGCCTCAAAGCGCTCCAAATCTCCACTTGCACATTCCACAACAAGAGTGTTTCCAAACTGCTCTATCAATAGGAATGTTCAACTCTGTGAGGTGAATGCAATCATCACAAAGCAGTTTCTGAGAATGCTTCCGTTTAGTTAGGTGCAGTTATCCCGTTTCCAACGAAATCCTCAGAGAGGTCCAAATATCCACTTGTAGATTCTACAAAAAGTGTGTCTCAAACCTGCTCCATCCAAAGGAATGTTCAGCTCTGTGAGTTAAACTCAATCATCACAAAGTATTTTCTGAGAATGCTTCTGTCTAGATTTTATGCGAAGATATACCCGTTTCAAACGAAGGCCACAGAGTGGTCCAAATATCCACTTGCAGATCCTACAAAAAGAGTGTTTCAAACCTGAACTATCAAAGGAAGGTTCAACTCTGGGATTTGAATGCAAACATCACCAAGAAGTTTCTGAGAATGCTTCTGTTTAGTTTTTATGTGAAGATATTCCCGTTTCCAAAGACATCTTCGGAGAGGTCCACATATCCACTTGCAGATTCCACAAAAAGAGAGTTTCAACACTGCTCTATCCATAGGAGGGTTCAACTCTGTGAGTTGAATGCAATCATCACAGAGAAGTTTCTGAGAAGGCTTCTCTCCAGTTTTTATGTGACCATAATTCGTTTTCCACCACAGGCCTGAAAGCGCTCCAAATGTCCACTTGTAGACACTACGAAAAGCATGTTTCAGAACTACTCTATGAAAAGCAATGTGAAACTCTGGGAGTTGAACACAAACATCACAGAGAAGTTTCTGAGAATGCTTCTGTTTAGCTTTCCTGTGAAGATTCTCCCGTTTCCAACGAAATCTTCAAAATAGGTCCAAATATCCACTTGCAGATTCCACACAAAGAGTGATTGGAAACTGCTCTTTGAAAAGGAACCTTCAACTCTGTGAGTTGAATGCAATCATCACAAAGAAGTTTCTGACAATGCTTCTATCTAGCTTTTACGGGAAGATAATTCCTTTTCCACCACAGGCCTCAAAGCCCTCCAAATGTCCACTTGCAGATTCTGGAAAAAGAGTGTTTCAAAGCTTCTCTCTCGAAAGGAAAGTTCAACTCTGTGAGTTGAATGCAAGCATCACAAAGAAGTTTCTGAGAATGCTACTGTCTAGCTTTTATATGAAGCTATTTCCTTTACTACCATAGGCCTCAAAGCGGTCCATATCTCCACTTGCAGATTCTACACAAAGAGAGTTTCCAAACTGCTCTGTCAAAGGGAATGTTCAACTCTGTGACTTGAATGCAATCATCACAAAGTAGTTTCTGAGAATGCTTCTGTTTAGTTCTGTGCGGTTTATCCCGTTTCCAACGAAATCCTCAGAGAGGCCTAAATATCCACTTGCACATTCTACAAATAGTGTGTTTCGAAACTGCTCCATCCAAAGGAATGTTCAGCTCTGTGAGTTAAACTCAGTCGTCACCAAGAGTTTTCTGTGAATGCTTCTGTTTTAGTTCTGTGCGGGTTATCCCGTTTCCAACGAAATCCTCAGAGAGGTCCAAATATCTACTTGCAGTTTCTACAGAAAGACCGTTTCAAACCTGAACTATCAAAGAAAGGTTCAACACTGTGAGTTGAATGCAAACATCACGAAGAAGGTTCTGAGAATGCTTCTGTTTAGTTCTGTGCAGTTTATCCCGTTTCCAACGAAATCCTCAGAGAGGACCAAATATCCACTCGCAGTTTCTACAAAAAGAGTGTTTCAAAGCTGAACTATCAAAGAAAGGTTCAGCACTGTGAGTTGAATGCAAACATCACGAAGAGGGTTCTGAGAATGCTTCTGTCTTCTTTTTATAGGAAGTTATTTCCTTTACTACGGTACTCCTCAAAGAGTGCAATTATCCCCTTGCAGTTTCTACAGAAAGAGTGTTTCAAACCTGAACTATCAAAGAAAGGTTCCACACTGTGAGTTGAATGCAGACATCACGAAGAAGGTTCTGAGAATGCTTCTGTTTAGTCAGCTGAAATTATCCCGTTTCCAACGAATTCCTCACAGAGGTCCAAATATGCACTTGCAGATTCTGCAGAAAGTGTGTTTCTAAACTGCTACATCGCAAGGAATGCTCAGCTCTGTGAGTTCAACTCAATCATCCCAAAGAATTTTCTGAGAAAGCTTCTGTCTAGATGTCATGTGAAGATATACCCGTTTCGAACGAAGGACACAGAGTGGTCCAAATATCCACTTGTAGATCCTGCAAAAAGAGTGTTTCAAACGTGAACTTTGAAAGGAAAGTTCAACTCGGGGATTTGAATGCAAACATCACAAAGAAGATTCTGAGACTGCTTCTGTGTAGTTTTTATGTGAAGATGATTCCGTTTCCAACGAAATCTTCAAAGAGGTCTACATGTCCCCTTGCAGATGCCACAGAAAGAGAGTTTCAAAACTGCGCTCTCAAAAGGAGTGTTCAACTCCGTGAGTTGAATGCAGTCATCACAGAGAAGCTTCTGAGGATGCTTCTATCTAGTATTTAGGTGAAGATATTTCCTTTTCCACCACAAACCACAAAGCCCTCCAAACGTCCACTTGCAGATTCTAGAAAAACAGTGTTTCATAGCTGCTCTTTCCAAAGGAAAGTTCAACTCTGGGAGTTGAATACAAACATCACCAAAAAGTTCCTGAGAATGCATCTGTCTAGTTTTTCTATGAAGCTATTCCCTTTACTACCATAGGCCTCAAAGCGCTCCAAATCTCCACTTGCACATTCCACAACAAGAGTGTTTCCAAACTGCTCTATCAATAGGAATGTTCAACTCTGTGAGGTGAATGCAATCATCACAAAGCAGTTTCTGAGAATGCTTCCGTTTAGTTAGGTGCAGTTATCCCGTTTCCAACGAAATCCTCAGAGAGGTCCAAATATCCACTTGTAGATTCTACAAAAGGTGTGTCTCAAACCTGCTCCATCCAAAGGAATGTTCAGCTCTGTGAGTTAAACTCAATCATCACAAAGTATTTTCTGAGAATGCTTCTGTCTAGATTTTATGCGAAGATATACCCGTTTCGAACGAAGGCCACAGAGTGGTCCAAATATCCACTTGCAGATCCTACAAAAAGAGTGTTTCAAACCTGAACTATCAAAGGAAGGTTCAACTCTGGGATTTGAATGCAAACATCACCAAGAAGTTTCTGAGAATGCTTCTGTTAAGTTTTTATGTGAAGATATTCCCGTTTCCAAAGACATCTTCGGAGAGGTCCACATATCCACTTGCAGATTCCACAAAAAGAGAGTTTCAACACTGCTCTATCCATAGGAGGGTTCAACTCTGTGAGTTGAATGCAATCATCACAGAGAAGTTTCTGAGAAGGCTTCTCTCCAGTTTTTATGTGACCATAATTCGTTTTCCACCACAGGCCTGAAAGCGCTCCAAATGTCCACTTGTAGACACTACGAAAAGCATGTTTCAGAACTACTCTATGAAAAGCAATGTGAAACTCTGGGAGTTGAACACAAACATCACAGAGAAGTTTCTGAGAATGCTTCTGTTTAGCTTTCCTGTGAAGATTCTCCCGTTTCCAACGAAATCTTCAAAATAGGTCCAAATATCCACTTGCAGATTCCACAGAAAGAGTGATTGGAAACTGCTCTTTGAAAAGGAACCTTCAACTCTGTGAGTTGAATGCAATCATCACAAAGAAGTTTCTGACAATGCTTCTATCTAGCTTTTACGGGAAGATAATTCCTTTTCCACCACAGGCCTCAAAGCCCTCCAAATGTCCACTTGCAGATTCTGGAAAAAGAGTGTTTCAAAGCTTCTCTCTCGAAAGGAAAGTTCAACTCTGTGAGTTGAATGCAAGCATCACAAAGAAGTTTCTGAGAATGCTACTGTCTAGCTTTTATATGAAGCTATTTCCTTTACTACCATAGGCCTCAAAGCGGTCCATATCTCCACTTGCAGATTCTACACAAAGAGAGTTTCCAAACTGCTCTGTCAAAGGGAATGTTCAACTCTGTGACTTGAATGCAATCATCACAAAGTAGTTTCTGAGAATGCTTCTGTTTAGTTCTGTGCGGTATATCCCATTTCCAACGAAATCCTCAGAGAGGCCCAAATATCCACTTGCACATTCTACAAATAGTGTGTTTCGAAACTGCTCCATCCAAAGGAATGTTCAGCTCTGTGAGTTAAACTCTGTCGTCACCAAGAGTTTTCTGTGAATGCTTCTGTTTTAGTTCTGTGCGGTTTATCCCGTTTCCAACGAAATCCTCAGAGAGGTCCAAATATCTACTTGCAGTTTCTACAGAAAGACCGTTTCCAACCTGAACTATCAAAGAAAGGTTCAACACTGTGAGTTGAATGCAAACATCACGAAGAAGGTTCTGAGAATGCTTCTGTTTAGTTCTGTGCGGTTTATCCCGTTTCCAACGAAATCCTCAGAGAGGACCAAATATCCACTTGCAGTTTCTACAAAAAGAGTGTTTCAAAGCTGAACTATCAAAGAAAGGTTCAGCACCGTGAGTTGAATGCAAACATCACGAAGAGGGTTCTGAGAATGCTTCTGTCTTCTTTTTATAGGAAGTTATTTCCTTTACTACGGTAGGCCTCAAAGAAGTGCAATGATCCCCTTGCAGTTTCTACAAAAAGAGTGTTTCAAACCTGAACTATCAAAGAAAGGTTCCACACTGTGAGTTGAATGCAGACATCACGAAGAAGGTTCTGAGAATGCTTCTGTTTAGTCAGCTGAAATTATCCCGTTTCCAACGAATTCCTCAGAGAGGTCCACATATGCACTTGCAGATTCTGCAGAAAGGGTGTTTCTAAACTGCTACATCGCAAGGAGTGTTCAGCTCTGTTTGCTCAACTCAATCATCCCAAAGAATTTTCTGAGAAAGCTTCTGTCTAGATGTCATGTGAAGATATACCCGTTTCGAACGAAGGACACAGAGTGGTCCAAATATCCACTTGTAGATCCTGCCAAAAGAGTGTTTCAAACGTGAACTTTGAAAGGCAAGTTCAACTCTGGGATTTGAATGCAAACATCACAAAGAAGATTCTGAGACTGCTTCTGTATAGTTTTGATGTGAAGATGATTCCGTTTCCAACGAAATCTTCAAAGAGGTCTACATGTCCCCTTGCAGATGCCACAGAAAGAGAGTTTCAAAACTGCGCTCTCAAAAGGAGTGTTCAACTCCGTGAGTTGAATGCAGTCATCACAGAGAAGCTTCTGAGAATGCTTCTATCTAGTATTTAGGTGAAGATATTTCCTTTTCCACCACAAACCACAAAGCCCTCCAAACGTCCACTTGCAGATTCTAGAAAAAGAGTGTTTCATAGCTGCTCTTTCCAAAGGAAAGTTCAACTCTGGGAGTTGAATACAAACATCACCAAAAAGTTCCTGAGAATGCATCTGTCTAGTTTTTCTATGAAGCTATTCCCTTTACTACCATAGGCCTCAAAGCGCTCCAAATCTCCACTTGCACATTCCACAACAAGAGTGTTTCCAAACTGCTCTATCAATAGGAATGTTCAACTCTGTGAGGTGAATGCAATCATCACAAAGCAGTTTCTGAGAATGCTTCCGTTTAGTTAGGTGCAGTTATCGCGTTTCCAACGAAATCCTCAGAGAGGTCCAAATATCCACTTGTAGATTCTACAAAAAGTGTGTCTCAAACCTGCTCCATCCAAAGGAATGTTCAGCTCTGTGAGTTAAACTCAATCATCACAAAGTATTTTCTGAGAATGCTTCTGTCTAGCATTTTATGCGAAGATGTACCCGTTTCGAACGAAGGCCACAGAGTGGTCCAAATATCCACTTGCAGATCCTACAAAAAGAGTGTTTCAAACCTGAACTATCAAAGGAAGGTTCAACTCTGGGATTGGAATGCAAACATCACCAAGAAGTTTCTGAGAATGCTTCTGTTTAGTTTTTATGTGAAGATATTCCCGTTTCCAAAGACATCTTCGGAGAGGTCCACATATCCACTTGCAGATTCCACAAAAAGAGAGTTTCAACACTGCTCTATCCATAGGAGGGTTCAACTCTGTGAGTTGAATGCAATCATCACAGAGAAGTTTCTGAGAAGGCTCTCTCCAGTTTTTATGTGACCATAATTCGTTTTCCACCACAGGCCTGAAAGCGCTCCAAATGTCCACTTGTAGACACTACGAAAAGCATGTTTCAGAACTACTCTATGAAAAGCAATGTGAAACTCTGGGAGTTGAACACAAACATCACAGAGAAGTTTCTGAGAATGCTTCTGTTTAGCTTTCCTGTGAAGATTCTCCCGTTTCCAACGAAATCTTCAAAATAGGTCCAAATATCCACTTGCAGATTCCACACAAAGAGTGATTGGAAACTGCTCTTTGAAAAGGAACCTTCAACTCTGTGAGTTGAATGCAATCATCACAAAGAAGTTTCTGACAATGCTTCTATCTAGCTTTTACGGGAAGATAATTCCTTTTCCACCACAGGCCTCAAAGCCCTCCAAATGTCCACTTGCAGATTCTGGAAAAAGAGTGTTTCAAAGCTTCTCTCTCGAAAGGAAAGTTCAACTCTGTGAGTTGAATGCAAGCATCACAAAGAAGTTTCTGAGAATGCTACTGTCTAGCTTTTATATGAAGCTATTTCCTTTACTACCATAGGCCTCAAAGCGGTCCATATCTCCACTTGCAGATTCTACACAAAGAGAGTTTCCAAACTGCTCTGTCAAAGGGAATGTTCAACTCTGTGACTTGAATGCAATCATCACAAAGTAGTTTCTGAGAATGCTTCTGTTTAGTTCTGTGCGGTTTATCCCGTTTCCAACGAAATCCTCAGAGAGGCCCAAATATCCACTTGCACATTCTACAAATAGTGTGTTTCGAAACTGCTCCATCCAAAGGAATGTTCAGCTCTGTGAGTTAAACTCAGTCGTCACCAAGAGTTTTCTGTGAATGCTTCTGTTTTAGTTCTGTGCGGGTTATCCCGTTTCCAACGAAATCCTCAGAGAGGTCCAAATATCTACTTGCAGTTTCTACAGAAAGACCGTTTCAAACCTGAACTATCAAAGAAAGGTTCAACACTGTGAGTTGAATGCAAACATCACGAAGAAGGTTCTGAGAATGCTTCTGTTTAGTTCTGTGCGGTTTATCCCGTTTCCAACGAAATCCTCAGAGAGGACCAAATATCCACTTGCAGTTTCTACAAGAAGAGTGTTTCAAAGCTGAACTATCAAAGAAAGGTTCAGCACTGTGAGTTGAATGCAAACATCACGAAGAGGGTTCTGAGAATGCTTCTGTCTTCTTTCTATAGGAAGTTATTTCCTTTACTACGGTAGGCCTCAAAGAAGTGCAATTATCCCCTTGCAGTTTCTACAAAAAGAGTGTTTCAAACCTGAACTATCAAAGAAAGGTTCCACACTGTGAGTTGAATGCAGACATCACGAAGAAGGTTCTGAGAATGCTTCTGTTTAGTCAGCTGAAATTATCCCGTTTCCAACGAATTCCTCAGAGAGGTCCAAATATGCACTTGCAGATTCTGCAGAAAGTGTGTTTCTAAACTGCTACATCGCAAGGAATGTTCAGCTCTGTGAGTTCCACTCAATCATCCCAAAGAATTTTCTGAGAAAGCTTCTGTCTAGATGTCATGTGAAGATATACCCGTTTCGAACGAAGGACACAGAGTGGTCCAAATATCCACTTGTAGATCCTGCAAAAAGAGTGTTTCAAACGTGAACTTTGAAAGGAAAGTTCAACTCTGGGATTTGAATGCAAACATCACAAAGAAGATTCTTGAGACTGCTTCTGTATAGTTTTTATGTGAAGATGATTCCGTTTCCAACGAAATCTTCAAAGAGGTCTACATGTCCCCTTGCAGATGCCACAGAAACAGAGTTTCAAAACTGCGCTCTCAAAAGGAGTGTTCAAATCCGTGAGTTGAATGCAGTCATCACAGAGAAGCTTCTGAGAATGCTTCCATCTAGTATTTAGGTGAAGATATTTCCTTTTCCACCACAAACCGCAAAGCCCTCCAAACGTCCACTTGCAGATTCTAGAAAAAGAGTGTTTCATAGCTGCTCTTTCCAAAGGAAAGTTCAACTCTGGGAGTTGAATACAAACGTCACCAAAAGTTCCTGAGAATGCATCTGTCTAGATTTTATGTGAAGATGTACCCGTTTCGAACGAAGGCCACAGAGTGGTCCAAATATCCACTTGCAGATCCTACAAAAAGAGTGTTTCAAACCTGAACTATCAAAGGAAGGTTCAACTCTGGGATTTGAATGCAAACATCACCAAGAAGTTTCTGAGAATGCTTCTGTTTAGTTTTTATGTGAAGATATTCCCGTTTCCAAAGACATCTTCGGAGAGGTCCACATATCCACTTGCAGATTCCACAAAAAGAGAGTTTCAACAATGCTCTATCCATAGGAGGGTTCAACTCTGTGAGTTGAATGCAATCACAACAGAGAAGTTTCTGAGAAGGCTTCTCTCCAGTTTTTATGGGACCATAATTCGTTTTCCACCACAGGCCTGAAAGCGCTCCAAATGTCCACTTGCAGACACTACGAAAAGCATGTTTCAGAACTACTCTATGAAAAGCAATGTGAAACTCTGGGAGTTGAACACAAACATCACAGAGAAGTTTCTGAGAATGCTTCTGTTTAGCTTTTCTGTGAAGATTCTCCCGTTTCCAACGAAATCTTCAAAGAGGTCCAAATATCCACTTGCAGATTCCACAGAAAGAGTGTTTGGAAACTGCTGTTTGTAAAGGAACCTTCATCTCTGTGAGTTGAATGCAATCATCACAAAGAAGTTTCTGACAATGCTTCTATCTAGCTTTTACGGGAAGTTAATTCCTTTTCCACCACAGGCCTCAAAGCCCTCCAAATGTCCACTTGCAGATTCTGGAAAAAGAGTGTTTCAAAGCTTCTCTCTCGAAAGGAAAGTTCAACTCTGTGAGTTGAATGCAAGCATCACAAAGAAGTTTCTGAGAATGCTACTGTCTAGCTTTTATATGAAGCTATTTCCTTTACTACCATAGGCCTCAAAGCGGTCCATATCTCCACTTGCAGATTCTACACAAAGAGAGTTTCCAAACTGCTCTGTCAAAGGGAATGTTCAACTCTGTGACTTGAATGCAATCATCACAAAGTAGTTTCTGAGAATGCTTCTGTTTTAGTTCTGTGCGTTTTATCCCGTTTCCAACGAAATCCTCAGAGAGGCCCAAATATCCACTTGCAGATTCTACTAATAGTGTGTTTCGAAACTGCTCCATCCAAAGGAATGTTCAGCTCTGTGAGTTAAACTCAGTCGTCACCAAGAGTTTTCTGTGAATGCTTCTGTTTTAGTTCTGTGCGGTTTATCCCGTTTCCAACGAAATCCTCAGAGAGGTCCAAATATCTACTTGCAGTTTCTACAGAAAGACCGTTTCAAACCTGAACTATCAAAGAAAGGTTCAACACTGTGAGTTGAATGCAAACATCACGAAGAAGGTTCTGAGAATGCTTCTGTTTAGTTCTGTGCGGTTTATCCCGTTTCCAACGAAATCCTCAGAGAGGACCAAATATCCACTTGCAGTTTCTACAAGAAGAGTGTTTCAAAGCTGAACTATCAAAGAAAGGTTCAGCACTGTGAGTTGAATGCAAACATCACGAAGAGGGTTCTGAGAATGCTTCTGTCTTCTTTCTATAGGAAGTTATTTCCTTTACTACGGTAGGCCTCAAAGAAGTGCAATTATCCCCTTGCAGTTTCTACAAAAAGAGTGTTTCAAACCTGAACTATCAAAGAAAGGTTCCACACTGTGAGTTGAATGCAGACATCACGAAGAAGGTTCTGAGAATGCTTCTGTTTAGTCAGCTGAAATTATCCCGTTTCCAACGAATTCCTCAGAGAGGTCCAAATATGCACTTGCAGATTCTGCAGAAAGTGTGTTTCTAAACTGCTACATCGCAAGGAATGTTCAGCTCTGTGAGTTCCACTCAATCATCCCAAAGAATTTTCTGAGAAAGCTTCTGTCTAGATGTCATGTGAAGATATACCCGTTTCGAACGAAGGACACAGAGTGGTCCAAATATCCACTTGTAGATCCTGCAAAAAGAGTGTTTCAAACGTGAACTTTGAAAGGAAAGTTCAACTCTGGGATTTGAATGCAAACACCACAAAGAAGATTCTGAGACTGCTTCTGTATAGTTTTTATGTGAAGATGATTCCGTTTCCAACGAAATCTTCAAAGAGGTCCACATGTCCCCTTGCGGATGCCACAGAAGGAGAGTTTCAAAACTGCGCTCTCAAAAGGAGTGTTCAACTCCGTGAGTTGAATGCAGTCATCACAGAGAAGCTTCTGAGAATGCTTCTATCTAGTATTTAGGTGAAGATATTTCCTTTTCCACCACAAACCACAAAGCCCTCCAAACGTCCACTTGCAGATTCTAGAAAAAGAGTGTTTCATAGCTGCTCTTTCCAAAGGAAAGTTCAACTCTGGGAGTTGAATACAAACATCACCAAAAAGTTCCTGAGAATGCATCTGTCTAGTTTTTCTATGAAGCTATTCCCTTTACTACCATAGGCCTCAAAGCGCTCCAAATCTCCACTTGCACATTCCACAACAAGAGTGTTTCCAAACTGCTCTATCAATAGGAATGTTCAACTCTGTGAGGTGAATGCAATCATCACAAAGCAGTTTCTGAGAATGCTTCCGTTTAGTTAGGTGCAGTTATCCCGTTTCCAACGAAATCCTCAGAGAGGTCCAAATATCCACTTGTAGATTCTACAAAAAGTGTGTCTCAAACCTGCTCCATCCAAAGGAATGTTCAGCTCTGTGAGTTCAACTCAATCATCACAAAGTATTTTCTGAGAATGCTTCTGTCTAGATTTTATGCGAAGATGTACCCGTTTCGAACGAAGGCCACAGAGTGGTCCAAATATCCACTTGCAGATCCTACAAAAAGAGTGTTTCAAACCTGAACTCTCAAAGGAAGTTCCAACTCTGGGATTTGAATGCAAACATCACCAAGAAGTTTCTCAGAATGCTTCTGTTTAGTTTTTATGTGAAGATATTCCCGTTTCCAAAGACATCTTCAAAGAGGTCCACATATCCACTTGCAGATTCCACAAAAAGAGAGTTTCAACACTGCTCTATCCATAGGAGGGTTCAACTCTGTGAGTTGAATGCAGTCATCACACAGAAGTTTCTGAGAAGGCTTCTCTCCAGTTTTTATGTGACCATAATTCGTTTTCCACCACAGGCCTGAAAGCGCTCCAAATGTCCACTTGCAGACACTACGAAAAGCATGTTTCAGAACTACTCTATGAGAAGCAATGTGAAACTCTGGGAGTTGAACACAAACATCACAGAGAAGTTTCTGAGAATGCTTCTGTTTAGCTTTTCTGTGAAGATTCTCCCGTTTCCAACGAAATCTTCAAAGAGGTCCAAATATCCACTTGCAGATTCCACAGAAAGAGTGATTGGAAACTGCTCTTTGAAAAGGAACCTTCAACTCTGTGACTTGAATGCAATCATCACAAAGAAGTTTCTGACAATGCTTCTATCTAGGCTTTTACGGGAAGATAATTCCTTTTCCACCACAGGCCTCAAAGCCCTCCAAATGTCCACTTGCAGATTCTGGAAAAAGAGTGTTTCAAAGCTTCTCTCTCGAAAGGAAAGTTCAACTCTGTGAGTTGAATGCAAGCATCACAAAGAAGTTTCTGAGAATGCTACTGTCTAGCTTTTATATGAAGCTATTTCCTTTACTACCATAGGCCTCAAAGCGGTCCATATCTCCACTTGCAGATTCTACACAAAGAGAGTTTCCAAACTGCTCTGTCAAAGGGAATGTTCAACTCTGTGACTTGAATGCAATCTTCACAAAGTAGTTTCTGAGAATGCTTCTGTTTAGTTCTGTGCGGTTTATCCCGTTTCCAACGAAATCCTCAGAGAGGCCCACATATCCACTTGCACATTCTACAAATAGTGTGTTTCGAAACTGCTCCATCCAAAGGAATGTTCAGTTCTGTGAGTTAAACTCAGTCGTCACCAAGAGTTTTCTGTGAATGCTTCTGTTTTAGTTCTGTGCGGTTTATCCCGTTTCCAACGAAATCCTCAGAGAGGGCCAAATATCTACTTGCAGTTTCTACAGAAAGACCGTTTCAAACCTGAACTATCAAAGAAAGGTTCAACACTGTGAGTTGAATGCAAACATCACGAAGAAGGTTCTGAGAATGCTTCTGTATAGTTCTGTGCGGTTTATCCCGTTTCCAACGAAATCCTCAGAGAGGACCAAATATCCACTTGCAGTTTCTACAAAAAGAGTGTTTCAAAGCTGAACTATCAAAGAAAGTTTCAGCACCGTGAATTGAATGCAAACATCACGAAGAGGGTTCTGAGAATGCTTCTGTCTTCTTTTTATAGGAAGTTATTTCCTTTACTACGGTAGGCCTCAAAGAAGTGCAATTATCCCCTTGCAGTTTCTACAAAAAGAGTGTTTCAAACCTGAACTATCAAAGAAAGGTTCCACACTGTGAGTTGAATGCAGACATCACGAAGAAGGTTCTGAGAATGCTTCTGTTTAGTCAGCTGAAATTATCCCGTTTCCAACGAATTCCTCAGAGAGGTCCACATATGCACTTGCAGATTCTGCAGAAAGGGTGTTTCTAAACTGCTACATCGCAAGGAGTGTTCAGCTCTGTTTGCTCCACTCAATCATCCCAAAGAATTTTCTGAGAAAGCTTCTGTCTAGATGTCATGTGAAGATATACCCGTTTCGAACGAAGGACACAGAGTGGTCCAAATATCCACTTGTAGATCCTGCAAAAAGAGTATTTCAAAAGTGAACTTTGAAAGGAAAGTTCAACTCTGGGATTTGAATGCAAACATCACAAAGAAGATTCTGAGACTGCTTCTGTATAGTTTTTATGTGAAGATGATTCCGTTTCCAACGAAATCTTCAAAGAGGTCCACATGTCCCCTTGCGGATGCCACAGAAAGAGAGTTTCAAAACTGCGCTCTCAAAAGGAGTGTTCAACTCCGTGAGTTGAATGCAGTCATCACAGAGAAGCTTCTGAGAATGCTTTCTCTCTAGTATTTCGGTGAAGATATTTCCTTTTCCACCACAAACCACAAAGCCCTCCAAACGTCCACTTGCAGATTCTAGAAAAAGAGTGTTTCATAGCTGCTCTTTCCAAAGGAAAGTTCAACTCTGGGAGTTGAATACAAACATCACCAAAAAGTTCCTGAGAATGCATCTGTCTAGTTTTTCTATGAAGCTATTCCCTTTACTATCATAGGCCTCAAAGCGCTCCAAATCTCCACTTGCACATTCCACAACAAGAGTGTTTCCAAACTGCTCTATCAATAGGAATGTTCAACTCTGTGAGGTGAATGCAATCATCACAAAGCAGTTTCTGAGAATGCTTCCGTTTAGTTAGGTGCAGTTATCCCGTTTCCAACGAAATCCTCAGAGAGGTCCAAATATCCACTTGTAGATTCTACAAAAAGTGTGTCTCAAACCTGCTCCATCCAAAGGAATGTTCAGCTCTGTGATTTAAACTCAATCATCACAAAGTATTTTCTGAGAATGCTTTCTGTCTAGATTTTATGCGAAGATATACCCGTTTCGAACGAAGGCCACAGAGTGGTCCAAATAGCCACTTGCAGATCCTACAGAAAGAGTGTTTCAAACCTGAACTATCAAAGGAAGGTTCAACTCTGGGATTTGAATGCAAACATCACCAAGAAGTTTCTGAGAATGCTTCTGTTTAGTTTTTATGTGAAGATATTCCCGTTTCCAAAGACATCTTCGGAGAGGTCCACATATCCACTTGCAGATTCCACAAAAAGAGAGTTTCAACACTGCTCTATCCATAGGAGGGTTCAACTCTGTGAGTTGAATGCAATCATCACAGAGAAGTTTCTGAGAAGGCTTCTCTCCAGTTTTTATGTGACCATAATTCGTTTTCCACCACAGGCCTGAAAGCGCTCCAAATGTCCACTTGCAGACACTACGAAAAGCATGTTTCAGAACTACTCTATGAAAAGCAACGTGAAACTCTGGGAGTTGAACACAAACATCACAGAGAAGTTTCTGAGAATGCTTCTGTTTTAGTTCTGTGCGTTTTATCCCGTTTCCAACGAAATCCTCAGAGAGGCCCAAATATCCACTTGCAGATTCCACAGAAAGAGTGATTGGAAACTGCTGTTTGAAAAGGAACCTTCAACTCTGTGAGTTGAATGCAATCATCACAAAGAAGTTTCTGACAATGCTTCTGTTTTAGTTCTGTGCGGTTTATCCCGTTTCCAACGAAATCCTCAGAGAGGACCAAACATCCACTTGCAGTTTCTACAAAAAGAGTGTTTCAAAGCTGCACTATCAAAGAAAGGTTCAGCACTGTGAGTTGAATGCAAACATCACGAAGAGGGCTCTGAGAATTCTTCTGTTTAGTTCTGTGCAGTTTATCCCGTTTCCAACGAAATCCTCAGAGAGGACCAAATATCCACTTGCAGTTTCTACAAGAAGAGTGTTTCAAAGCTGAACTATCAAAGAAAGGTTCAGCACTGTGAGTTGAATGCAAACATCACGAAGAGGGTTCTGAGAATGCTTCTGTCTTCTTTCTATAGGAAGTTATTTCCTTTACTACGGTAGGCCTCAAAGAAGTGCAATTATCCCCTTGCAGTTTCTACAAAAAGAGTGTTTCAAACCTGAACTATCAAAGAAAGGTTCCACACTGTGAGTTGAATGCAGACATCACGAAGAAGGTTCTGAGAATGCTTCTGTTTTGTCAGCTGAAATTATCCCGTTTCCAACGAATTCCTCAGAGAGGTCCAAATATGCACTTGCAGATTCTGCAGAAAGTGTGTTTCTAAACTGCTACATCGCAAGGAATGTTCAGCTCTGTGAGTTCCACTCAATCATCCCAAAGAATTTTCTGAGAAAGCTTCTGTCTAGATGTCATGTGAAGATATACCCGTTTCGAACGAAGGACACAGAGTGGTCCAAATATCCACTTGTAGATCCTGCAAAAAGAGTGTTTCAAACGTGAACTTTGAAAGGAAAGTTCAACTCTGGGATTTGAATGCAAACATCACAAAGAAGATTCTGAGACTGCTTCTGTATAGTTTTGATGTGAAGATGATTCCGTTTCCAACGAAATCTTCAAAGAGGTCTACATGTCCCCTTGCAGATGCCACAGAAACAGAGTTTCAAAACTGCGCTCTCAAAAGGAGTGTTCAACTCCGTGAGTTGAATGCAGTCATCACAGAGAAGCTTCTGAGAATGTTTCCATCTAGTATTTAGGTGAAGATATTTCCTTTTCCACCACAAACCACAAAGCCCTCCAAACGTCCACTTGCAGATTCTAGAAAAAGAGTGTTTCATAGCTGCTCTTTCCAAAGGAAAGTTCAACTCTGGGAGTTGAATACAAACGTCACCAAAAGTTCCTGAGAATGCATCTGTCTAGATTTTATGTGAAGATGTACCCGTTTCGAACGAAGGCCACAGAGTGGTCCAAATATCCACTTGCAGATCCTACAAAAAGAGTGTTTCAAACCTGAACTATCAAAGGAAGGTTCAACTCTGGGATTTGAATGCAAACATCACCAAGAAGTTTCTGAGAATGCTTCTGTTTAGTTTTTATGTGAAGATATGCCCGTTTCCAAAGACATCTTCGGAGAGGTCCACATATCCACTTGCAGATTCCACAAAAAGAGAGTTTCAACAATGCTCTATCCATAGGAGGGTTCAACTCTGTGAGTTGAATGCAATCATCACAGAGAAGTTTCTGAGAAGGCTTCTCTCCAGTTTTTATGGGACCATAATTCGTTTTCCACCACAGGCCTGAAAGCGCTCCAAATGTCCACTTGCAGACACTACGAAAAGCATGTTTCAGAACTACTCTATGAAAAGCAATGTGAAACTCTGGGAGTTGAACACAAACATCACAGAGAAGTTTCTGAGAATGCTTCTGTTTAGCTTTTCTGTGAAGATTCTCCCGTTTCCAACGAAATCTTCAAAGAGGTCCAAATATCCACTTGCAGATTCCACAGAAAGAGTGTTTGGAAACTGCTGTTTGTAAAGGAACCTTCATCTCTGTGAGTTGAATGCAATCATCACAAAGAAGTTTCTGACAATGCTTCTGTCTAGCTTTTACGGGAAGATAATTCCTTTTCCACCACAGGCCTCAAAGCCCTCCAAATGTCCACTTGCAGATTCTGGAAAAAGAGTGTTTCAAAGCTTCTCTCTCGAAAGGAAAGTTCAACTCTGTGAGTTGAATGCAAGCATCACAAAGAAGTTTCTGAGAATGCTACTGTCTAGCTTTTATATGAAGCTATTTCCTTTACTACCATAGGCCTCAAAGCGGTCCATATCTCCACTTGCAGATTCTACACAAAGAGAGTTTCCAAACTGCTCTGTCAAAGGGAATGTTCAACTCTGTGACTTGAATGCAATCATCACAAAGTAGTTTCTGAGAATGCTTCTGTTTAGTTCTGTGCGGTTTATCCCGTTTCCAACGAAATCCTCAGAGAGGCCCAAATATCCACTTGCACATTCTACAAATAGTGTGTTTCGAAACTGCTCCATCCAAAGGAATGTTCAGCTCTGTGAGTTAAACTCAGTCGTCACCAAGAGTTTTTTCTGAATGCTTCTGTTTTAGTTCTGTGCGGGTTATCCCGTTTCCAACGAAATCCTCAGAGAGGTCCAAATATCTACTTGCAGTTTCTACAGAAAGACCGTTTCCAACCTGAACTATCAAAGAAAGGTTCAACACTGTGAGTTGAATGCAAACATCACGAAGAAGGTTCTGAGAATGCTTCTGTTTAGTTCTGTGCAGTTTATCCCGTTTCCAACGAAATCCTCAGAGAGGACCAAATATCCACTTGCAGTTTCTACAAAAAGAGTGTTTCAAAGCTGAACTATCAAAGAAAGGTTCAGCACTGTGAGTTGAATGCAAACATCACGAAGAGGGTTCTGAGAATGCTTCTGTCTTCTTTTTATAGGAAGTTATTTCCTTTACTACGGTACTCCTCAAAGAGTGCAATTATCCCCTTGCAGTTTCTACAGAAAGAGTGTTTCAAACCTGAACTATCAAAGAAAGGTTCCACACTGTGAGTTGAATGCAGACATCACGAAGAAGGTTCTGAGAATGCTTCTGTTTAGTCAGCTGAAATTATCCCGTTTCCAACGAATTCCTCACAGAGGTCCAAATATGCACTTGCAGATTCTGCAGAAAGTGTGTTTCTAAACTGCTACATCGCAAGGAATGCTCAGCTCTGTGAGTTCTACTCAATCATCCCAAAGAATTTTCTGAGAAAGCTTCTGTCTAGATGTCATGTGAAGATATACCCGTTTCGAACGAAGGACACAGAGTGGTCCAAATATCCACTTGTAGATCCTGCAAAAAGAGTGTTTCAAACGTGAACTTTGAAAGGAAAGTTCAACTCGGGGATTTGAATGCAAACATCACAAAGAAGATTCTGAGACTGCTTCTGTATAGTTTTTATGTGAAGATGATTCCGTTTCCAACGAAATCTTCAAAGAGGTCTACATGTCCCCTTGCAGATGCCACAGAAAGAGAGTTTCAAAACTGCGCTCTCAAAAGGAGTGTTCAACTCCGTGAGTTGAATGCAGTCATCTCAGAGAAGCTTCTGAGAATGCTTCTATCTAGTATTTAGGTGAAGATATTTCCTTTTCCACCACAAACCACAAAGCCCTCCAAACGTCCACTTGCAGATTCTAGAAAAAGAGTGTTTCATAGCTGCTCTTTCCAAAGGAAAGTTCAACTCTGGGAGTTGAATACAAACATCACCAAAAAGTTCCTGAGAATGCATCTGTCTAGTTTTTCTATGAAGCTATTCCCTTTACTACCATAGGCCTCAAAGCGCTCCAAATCTCCACTTGCACATTCCACAACAAGAGTGTTTCCAAACTGCTCTATCAATAGGAATGTTCAACTCTGTGAGGTGAATGCAATCATCACAAAGCAGTTTCTGAGAATGCTTCCGTTTAGTTAGGTGCAGTTATCCCGTTTCCAACGAAATCCTCAGAGAGGTCCAAATATCCACTTGTAGATTCTACAAAAGGTGTGTCTCAAACCTGCTCCATCCAAAGGAATGTTCAGCTCTGTGAGTTAAACTCAATCATCACAAAGTATTTTCTGAGAATGCTTCTGTCTAGATTTTATGCGAAGATGTACCCGTTTGGAACGAAGGCCACAGAGTGGTCCAAATATCCACTTGCAGATCCTACAAAAAGAGTGTTTCAAACCTGAACTCTCAAAGGAAGGTTCAACTCTGGGATTTGAATGCAAACATCATCAAGAAGTTTCTGAGAATGCTTCTGTTTAGTTTTTATGTGAAGATATTCCCGTTGCCAAAGACATCTTCGGAGAGGTCCACATATCCGCTTGCAGATTCCACAAAAAGAGAGTTTCAACACTGCTCTATCCATAGGAGGGTTCAAATCTGTGAGTTGAATGCAATCATCACAGAGAAGTTTCTGAGAAGGCTTCTCTCCAGTTTTTATGTGACCATAATTCGTTTTCCACCACAGGCCTGAAAGCGCTCCAAATGTCCACTTGTAGACACTACGAAAAGCATGTTTCAGAACTACTCTATGAAAAGCAATGTGAAACTCTGGGAGTTGAACACAAACATCACAGAGAAGTTTCTGAGAATGCTTCTGTTTAGCTTTCCTGTGAAGATTCTCCCGTTTCCAACGAAATCTTCAAAATAGGTCCAAATATCCACTTGCAGATTCCACAGAAAGAGTGATTGGAAACTGCTCTTTGAAAAGGAACCTTCAACTACTGTGAGTTGAATGCAATCATCACAAAGAAGTTTCTGACAATGCTTCTATCTAGCTTATACGGGAAGATAATTCATTTTCCACCACAGGCCTCAAAGCCCTCCAAATGTCCACTTGCAGATTCTGGAAAAAGAGTGTTTCAAAGCTTCTCTCTCGAAAGGAAAGTTCAACTCTGTGAGTTGAATGCAAGCATCACAAAGAAGTTTCTGAGAATGCTACTGTCTAGCTTTTATATGAAGCTATTTACTTTACTACCATAGGCCTCAAAGCGGTCCATGTCTCCACTTGCAGATTCTACACAAAGAGAGTTTCCAAACTGCCCTGTCAAAGGGAATGTTCAACTCTGTGACTTGAATGCAATCATCACAAAGTAGTTTCTGAGAATGCTTCTGTTTAGTTCTGTGCGGTTTATCCCTTTTCCAACGAAATCCTCAGAGAGGCCCAAATATCCACTTGCACATTCTACAAATAGTGTGTTTTGAAACTGCTCCATCCAAAGGAATGTTCAGCTCTGTGAGTTAAACTCAGTCGTCACCAAGAGTTTTCTGTGAATGCTTCTGTTTTAGTTCTGTGCGGTTTATCCCGTTTCCAACGAAATCCTCAGAGAGGTCCAAATATCTACTTGCAGTTTCTACAGAAAGACCGTTTCCAACCTGAACTATCAAAGAAAGGTTCAACACTGTGAGTTGAATGCAAACATCACGAAGAAGGTTCTGAGAATGCTTCTGTTTAGTTCTGTGCGTTTTATCCCTTTTCCAACGAAATCCTCAGAGAGGACCAAATATCCATTTGCAGTTTCTACAAAAAGAGTGTTTCAAAGCTGAACTATCAAAGAAAGGTTCAGCACTATGAGTTGAATGCAAACATCACGAAGAGGGTTCTGAGAATGCTTCTGTCTTCTTTTTATAGGAAGTTATTTCCTTTACTACGGTACTCCTCAAAGAGTGCAATTATCCCCTTGCAGTTTCTACAAAAAGAGTGTTTCAAACCTGAACTATCAAAGAAAGGTTCCACACTGTGAGTTGAATGCAGACATCACGAAGAAGGTTCTGAGAATGCTTCTGTTTAGTCAGCTGAAATTATCCCGTTTCCAACGAATTCCTCAGAGAGGTCCAAATATGCACTTGCAGATTCTGCAGAAAGTGTGTTTCTAAACTGCTACATCACAAGGAATGCTCAGCTCTGTGAGTTCAAATCAATCATCCCAAACAATTTTCTGAGAAAGCTTCTGTCTAGATGTCATGTGAAGATATACCCGTTTCGAACGAAGGACACAGAGTGGTCCAAATATCCACTTGTAGATCCTGCAAAAAGAGTGTTTCAAACGTGAACTTTGAAAGGAAAGTTCAACTCTGGGATTTGAATGCAAACATCACAAAGAAGATTCTGAGACTGCTTCTGTATAGTTTTTATGTGAAGATGATTCCGTTTCCAACGAAATCTTCAAAGAGGTCTACATGTCCCCTTGCAGATGCCAGAGAAAGAGAGTTTCAAAACTGCGCTCTCAAAAGGAGTGTTCAACTCCGTGAGTTGAATGCAGTCATCACAGAGAAGCTTCTGAGAATGCTTCTATCTAGTATTTAGGTGAAGATATTTCCTTTTCCACCACAAACCACAAAGCCCTCCAAACGTCCACTTGCAGATTCTAGAAAAAGAGTGTTTCATAGCTGCTCTTTCCAAAGGAAAGTTCAACTCTTGGGAGTTGAATACAAACATCACCAAAAAGTTCCTGAGAATGCATCTGTCTAGTTTTTCTATGAAGCTATTCCCTTTACTACCATAGGCCTCAAAGCGCTCCAAATCTCCACTTGCACATTCCACAACAAGAGTGTTTCCAAACTGCTCTATCAATAGGAATGTTCAACTCTGTGAGGTGAATGCAATCATCACAAAGCAGTTTCTGAGAATGCTTCCGTTTAGTTAGGTGCAGTTATCCCGTTTCCAACGAAATCCTCAGAGAGGTCCAAATATCCACTTGTAGATTCTACAAAAAGTGTGTCTCAAACCTGCTCCATCCAAAGGAATGTTCAGCTCTGTGAGTTCAACTCAATCATCACAAAGTGTTTTCTGAGAATGCTTCTGTCTAGATTTTATGCGAAGATATACCCGTTTCGAAAGAAGGCCACAGAGTGGTCCAAATATCCACTTGCAGATCCTACAAAAAGAGTGTTTCAAACCTGAACTATCAAAGGAAGGTTCAACTCTGGTATTTGAATGCAAACATCACCAAGAAGTTTCTGAGAATGCTTCTGTTTAGTTTTTATGTGAAGATATTCCCGTTTCCAAAGACATCTTCGGAGAGGTCCACATATCCACTTGCAGATTCCACAAAAAGAGAGTTTCAACACTGCTCTATCCATAGGAGGGTTCAACTCTGTGAGTTGAATGCAATCATCACAGGGAAGTTTCTGAGGAGGCTTCTCTCCAGTTTTTATGTGACCATAAATCGTTTTCCACCACAGGCCTGAAAGCGCTCCAAATGTCCACTTGCAGACACTACGAAAAGCATGTTTCAGAACTACTCTATGAAAAGCAATGTGAAACTCTGGGAGTTGAACACAAACATCACAGAGAAGTTTCTCAGAATGCTTCTGTTTAGCTTTTCTGTGAAGATTCTCCCGTTTCCAACGAAATCTTCAAAGAGGTCCAAATATCCACTTGCACATTCCACAGAAAGAGTGATTGGAAACTGCTGTTTGAAAAGGAACCTTCAACTCTGTGAGTTGAATGCAATCATCACAAAGAAGTTTCTGACAATGCTTCTATCTAGCTTTTACGGGAAGATAATTCCTTTTCCACCACAGGCCTCAAAGCCCTCCAAATGTCCACTTGCAGATTCTGGAAAAAGAGTGTTTCAAAGCTTCTCTCTCGAAAGGAAAGTTCAACTCTGTGAGTTGAATGCAAGCATCACAAAGAAGTTTCTGAGAATGCTACTGTCTAGCTTTTATATGAAGCTATTTCCTTTACTACCATAGGCCTCAAAGCGGTCCATATCTCCACTTGCAGATTCTACACAAAGAGAGTTTCCAAACTGCTCTGTCAAAGGGAATGTTCAACTCTGTGACTTGAATGCAATCATCACAAAGTAGTTTCTGAGAATGCTTCTGTTTAGTTCTGTGCGGTTTATCCCGTTTCCAACGAAATCCTCAGAGAGGCCTAAATATCCACTTGCACATTCTACAAATAGTGTGTTTCGAAACTGCTCCATCCAAAGGAATGTTCAGCTCTGTGAGTTAAACTCAGTCGTCACCAAGAGTTTTCTGTGAATGCTTCTGTTTTAGTTCTGTGCGGGTTATCCCGTTTCCAACGAAATCCTCAGAGCGGTCCAAATATCTACTTGCAGTTTCTGCAGAAAGACCGTTTCAAACCTGAACTATCAAAGAAAGGTTCAACACTGTGAGTTGAATGCAAACATCACGAAGAAGGTTCTGAGAATGCTTCTGTTTAGTTCTGTGCAGTTTATCCCGTTTCCAACGAAATCCTCAGAGAGGACCAAATATCCACTTGCAGTTTCTACAAAAAGAGTGTTTCAAAGCTGAACTATCAAAGAAAGGTTCAGCACTGTGAGTTGAATGCAAACATCACGAAGAGGGTTCTGAGAATGCTTCTGTCTTCTTTCTATAGGAAGTTATTTCCTTTACTACGGTAGGCCTCAAAGAAGTGCAATTATCCTCTTGCAGTTTCTACAAAAAGAGTGTTTCAAACCTGAACTATCAAAGAAAGGTTCCACACTGTGAGTTGAATGCAGACATCACGAAGAAGGTTCTGAGAATGCTTCTGTTTAGTCAGCTGAAATTATCCCGTTTCCAACGAATTCCTCAGAGAGGTCCAAATATGCACTTGCAGATTCTGCAGAAAGTGTGTTTCTAAACTGCTCCATCGCAAGGAATGTTCAGCTACTGTGAGTTCCACTCAATCATCCCAAAGAATTTTCTGAGAAAGCTTCTGTCTAGATGTCGTGTGAAGTTATACCCGTTTCGAACGAAGGACACAGAGTGGTCCAAATATCCACTTGTAGATCCTGCAAAAAGAGTGTTTCAAACGTGAACTTTGAAAGGAAAGTTCAACTCTGGGATTTGAATGCAAACATCACAAAGAAGATTCTGAGACTGCTTCTGTATAGTTTTTATGTGAAGATGATTCCGTTTCCAACGAAATCTTCAAAGAGGTCTACATGTCCCCTTGCAGATGCCACAGAAAGAGAGTTTCAAAACTGCGCTCTCAAAAGGAGTGTTCAACTCCGTGAGTTGAATGCAGTCATCACAGAGAAGCTTCTGAGAATGCTTCTATCTAGTATTTAGGTGAAGATATTTCCTTTTCCACCACAAACCACAAAGCCCTCCAAACGTCCACTTGCAGATTCTAGAAAAAGAGTGTTTCATAGCTGCTCTTTCCAAAGGAAAGTTCAACTCTGGGAGTTGAATACAAACATCACCAAAAAGAAGTTCCTGAGAATGCATCTGTCTAGTTTTTCTATGAAGCTATTCCCTTTACTACCACAGGCCTCAAAGCGCTCCAAATCTCCACTTGCACATTCCACAACAAGAGTGTTTCCAAACTGCTCTATCAATAGGAATGTTCAACTCTGTGAGGTGAATGCAATCATCACAAAGCAGTTTCTGAGAATGCTTCCGTTTAGTTAGGTGCAGTTATCCCGTTTCCAACGAAATCCTCAGAGAGGTCCAAATATCCACTTGTAGATTCTACAAAAAGTGTGTCTCAAACCTGCTCCATCCAAAGGAATGGTCAGCTCTGTGATTTAAACTCAATCATCACAAAGTATTTTCTGAGAATGCTTCTGTCTAGATTTTATGCGAAGATATACCCGTTTCGAACGAAGGCCACAGAGTGGTCCAAATAGCCACTTGCAGATCCTACAGAAAGAGTGTTTCAAACCTGAACTATCAAAGGAAGGTTCAACTCTGGGATTTGAATGCAAACATCACCAAGAAGTTTCTGAGAATGCTTCTGTTTAGTTTTTATGTGAAGATATTCCCGTTTCCAAAGACATCTTCGGAGAGGTCCACATATCCACTTGCAGATTCCACAAAAAGAGAGTTTCAACACTGCTCTATCCATAGGAGGGTTCAACTCTGTGAGTTGAATGCAATCATCACAGAGAAGTTTCTGAGAAGGCTTCTCTCCAGTTTTTATGTGACCATAATTCGTTTTCCACCACAGGCCTGAAAGCGCTCCAAATGTCCACTTGCAGACACTATGAAAAGCATGTTTCAGAACTACTCTATGAAAAGCAACGTGAAACTCTGGGAGTTGAACACAAACATCACAGAGAAGTTTCTGAGAATGCTTCTGTTTTAGTTCTGTGCGTTTTATCCCGTTTCCAACGAAATCCTCAGAGAGGCCCAAATATCCACTTGCAGATTCCACAGAAAGAGTGATTGGAAACTGCTGTTTGAAAAGGAACCTTCAACTCTGTGAGTTGAATGCAATCATCACAAAGAAGTTTCTGACAATGCTTCTGTTTTAGTTCTGTGCGGTTTATCCCGTTTCCAACGAAATCCTCAGAGAGGACCAAACATCCACTTGCAGTTTCTACAAAAAGAGTGTTTCAAAGCTGCACTATCAAAGAAAGGTTCAGCACTGTGAGTTGAATGCAAACATCACGAAGAGGGCTCTGAGAATTCTTCTGTTTAGTTCTGTGCGGTTTATCCCGTTTCCAACGAAATCCTCAGAGAGGACCAAATATCCACTTGCAGTTTCTACAAGAAGAGTGTTTCAAAGCTGAACTATCAAAGAAAGGTTCAGCACTGTGAGTTGAATGCAAACATCACGAAGAGGGTTCTGAGAATGCTTCTGTCTTCTTTCTATAGGAAGTTATTTCCTTTACTGCGGTAGGCCTCAAAGAAGTGCAATTATCCCCTTGCAGTTTCTACAAAAAGAGTGTTTCAAACCTGAACTATCAAAGAAAGGTTCCACACTGTGAGTTGAATGCAGACACCACGAAGAAGGTTCTGAGAATGCTTCTGTTTAGTCAGCTGAAATTATCCCGTTTCCAACGAATTCCTCAGAGAGGTCCAAATATGCACTTGCAGATTCTGCAGAAAGTGTGTTTCTAAACTGCTACATCGCAAGGAATGTTCAGCTCTGTGAGTTCCACTCAATCATCCCAAAGAATTTTCTGAGAAAGCTTCTGTCTAGATGTCGTGTGAAGATATACCCGTTTCGAACGAAGGACACAGAGTGGTCCAAATATCCACTTGTAGATCCTGCAAAAAGAGTGTTTCAAACGTGAACTTTGAAAGGAAAGTTCAACTCTGGGATTTGAATGCAAACATCACAAAGAAGATTCTGAGACTGCTTCTGTATAGTTTTTATGTGAAGATGATTCCGTTTCCAACGAAATCTTCAAAGAGGTCTACATGTCCCCTTGCAGATGCCACAGAAAGAGAGTTTCAAAACTGCGCTCTCAAAAGGAGTGTTCAACTCCGTGAGTTGAATGCAGTCATCACAGAGAAGCTTCTGAGAATGCTTCTATCTAGTATTTAGGTGAAGATATTTCCTTTTCCACCACAAACCACAAAGCCCTCCAAACGTCCACTTGCAGATTCTAGAAAAAGAGTGTTTCATAGCTGCTCTTTCCAAAGGAAAGTTCAACTCTGGGAGTTGAATACAAACATCACCAAAAAGTTCCTGAGAATGCATCTGTCTAGTTTTTCTATGAAGCTATTCCCTTTACTACCATAGGCCTCAAAGCGCTCCAAATCTCCACTTGCACATTCCACAACAAGAGTGTTTCCAAACTGCTCTATCAATAGGAATGTTCAACTCTGTGAGGTGAATGCAATCATCACAAAGCAGTTTCTGAGAATGCTTCCGTTTAGTTAGGTGCAGTTATCCCGTTTCCAACGAAATCCTCAGAGAGGTCCAAATATCCACTTGTAGATTCTACAAAAAGTGTGTCTCAAACCTGCTCCATCCAAAGGAATGTTCAGCTCTGTGAGTTAAACTCAATCATCACAAAGTATTTTCTGAGAATGCTTCTGTCTAGATGTCATGTGAAGATATACCCGTTTCGAACGAAGGACACAGAGTGGTCCAAATATCCACTTGTAGATCCTGCAAAAAGAGTGTTTCAAACCTGAACTGTCAAAGGAAGGTTCAACTCTGGGATTTGAATGCAAACATCACCAAGAAGTTTCTGAGAATGCTTCTGTATAGTTTTTATGTGAAGATGATTCCGTTTCCAACGAAATCTTCAAAGAGGTCTACATGTCCCCTTGCGGATGCCACAGAAAGAGAGTTTCAAAACTGCGCTCTCAAAAGGAGTGTTCAACTCCGTGAGTTGAATGCAGTCATCACAGAGAAGCTTCTGAGAATGCTTCTCTCTAGTATTTAGGTGAAGATATTTCCTTTTCCACCACAAACCACAAAGCCCTCCAAACGTCCACTTGCAGATTCTAGAAAAAGAGTGTTTCATAGCTGCTCTTTCCAAAGGAAAGTTCAACTCTGGGAGTTGAATACAAACATCACCAAAAAGTTCCTGAGAATGCATCTGTCTAGTTTTTCTATGAAGCTATTCCCTTTACTACCATAGGCCTCAAAGCGCTCCAAATCTCCACTAGCACATTCCACAACAAGAGTGTTTCCAAACTGCTCTATCAATAGGAATGTTCAACTCTGTGAGGTGAATGCAATCATCACAAAGCAGTTTCTGAGAATGCTTCCGTTTAGTTAGGTGCAGTTATCCCGTTTCCAACGAAATCCTCAGAGAGGTCCAAATATCCACTTGTAGATTCTACAAAAAGTGTGTCTCAAACCTGCTCCATCCAAAGGAATGTTCAGCTCTGTGAGTTAAACTCAATCATCACAAAGTATTTTCTGAGAATGCTTCTGTCTAGATTTTATGCGAAGATGTACCCGTTTCGAACGAAGGCCACAGAGTGGTCCAAATATCCACTTGCAGATCCTACAAAAAGAGTGTTTCAAACCTGAACTGTCAAAGGAAGGTTCAACTCTGGGATTTGAATGCAAACATCACCAAGAAGTTTCTGAGAATGCTTCTGTTTAGTTTTTATGTGAAGATATTCCCGTTGCCAAAGACATCTTCGGAGAGGTCCACATATCCACTTGCAGATTCCACAAAAAGAGAGTTTCAACACTGCTCTATCCATAGGAGGGTTCAACTCTGTGAGTTGAATGCAATCATCACAGAGAAGTTTCTGAGAAAGCTTCTCTCCAGTTTTTATGTGACCATAATTCGTTTTCCACCACAGGACTGGAAGCGCTCCAAATGTCCACTTGTAGACACTACGAAAAGCATGTTTCAGAACTACTCTATGAAAAGCAATGTGAAACTCTGGGAGTTGAACACAAACATCACAGAGAAGTTTCTGAGAATGCTTCTGTTTAGCTTTCCTGTGAAGATTCTCCCGTTTCCAACGAAATCTTCAAAATAGGTCCAAATATCCACTTGCAGATTCCACAGAAAGAGTGATTGGAAACTGCTCTTTGAAAAGGAACCTTCAACTCTGTGAGTTGAATGCAATCATCACAAGGAAGTTTCTGACAATGCTTCTATCTAGCTTTTACGGGAAGATAATTCCTTTTCCACCACAGGCCTCAAAGCCCTCCAAATGTCCACTTGCAGATTCTGGAAAAAGAGTGTTTCAAAGCTTCTCTCTCGAAAGGAAAGTTCAACTCTGTGAGTTGAATGCAAGCATCACAAAGAAGTTTCTGAGAATGCTACTGTCTAGCTTTTATATGAAGCTATTTCCTTTACTACCATAGGCCTCAAAGCGGTCCATATCTCCACTTGCAGATTCTACACAAAGAGAGTTTCCAAACTGCTCTGTCAAAGGGAATGTTCAACTCTGTGACTTGAATGCAATCATCACAAAGTAGTTTCTGAGAATGCTTCTGTTTAGTTCTGTGCGGTTTATCCCGTTTCCAACGAAATCCTCAGAGAGGCCCAAATATCCACTTGCACATTCTACAAATAGTGTGTTTCGAAACTGCTCCATCCAAAGGAATGTTCAGCTCTGTGAGTTAAACTCAGTCGTCACCAAGAGTTTTCTGTGAATGCTTCTGTTTTAGTTCTGTGCGGGTTATCCCGTTTCCAACGAAATCCTCAGAGAGGTCCAAATATCTACTTGCAGTTTCTACAGAAAGACCGTTTCAAACCTGAACTATCAAAGAAAGGTTCAACACTGTGAGTTGAATGCAAACATCACGAAGAAGGTTCTGAGAATGCTTCTGTTTAGTTCTGTGCAGTTTATCCCGTTTCCAACGAAATGCTCAGAGAGGACCAAATATCCACTTGCAGTTTCTACAAAAAGAGTGTTTCAAAGCTGAACTATCAAAGAAAGGTTCAGCACTGTGAGTTGAATGCAAACATCACGAAGAGGGTTCTGAGAATGCTTCTGTCTTCTTTTTATAGGAAGTTATTTCCTTTACTACGGTACTCCTCAAAGAGTGCAATTATCCCCTTGCAGTTTCTACAAAAAGAGTGTTTCAAACCTGAACTATCAAAGAAAGGTTCCACACTGTGAGTTGAATGCAGACATCACGAAGAAGGTTCTGAGAATGCTTCTGTTTAGTCAGCTGAAATTATCCCGTTTCCAACGAATTCCTCACAGAGGTCCAAATATGCACTTGCAGATTCTGCAGAAAGTGTGTTTCTAAACTGCTACATCGCAAGGAATGCTCAGCTCTGTGAGTTCAACTCAATCATCCCAAAGAATTTTCTGAGAAAGCTTCTGTCTAGATGTCATGTGAAGATATACCCGTTTCGAACGAAGGACACAGAGTGGTCCAAATATCCACTTGTAGATCCTGCAAAAAGAGTGTTTCAAACGTGAACTTTGAAAGGAAAGTTCAACTCGGGGATTTGAATGCAAACATCACAAAGAAGATTCTGAGACTGCTTCTGTATAGTTTTTATGTGAAGATGATTCCGTTTCCAACGAAATCTTCAAAGAGGTCTACATGTCCCCTTGCAGATGCCACAGAAAGAGAGTTTCAAAACTGCGCTCTCAAAAGGAGTGTTCAACTCCGTGAGTTGAATGCAGTCATCACAGAGAAGCTTCTGAGGATGCTTCTATCTAGTATTTAGGTGAAGATATTTCCTTTTCCACCACAAACCACAAAGCCCTCCAAACGTCCACTTGCAGATTCTAGAAAAACAGTGTTTCATAGCTGCTCTTTCCAAAGGAAAGTTCAACTCTGGGAGTTGAATACAAACATCACCAAAAAGTTCCTGAGAATGCATCTGTCTAGTTTTTCTATGAAGCTATTCCCTTTACTACCATAGGCCTCAAAGCGCTCCAAATCTCCACTTGCACATTCCACAACAAGAGTGTTTCCAAACTGCTCTATCAATAGGAATGTTCAACTCTGTGAGGTGAATGCAATCATCACAAAGCAGTTTCTGAGAATGCTTCCGTTTAGTTAGGTGCAGTTATCCCGTTTCCAACGAAATCCTCAGAGAGGTCCAAATATCCACTTGTAGATTCTACAAAAAGTGTGTCTCAAACCTGCTCCATCCAAAGGAATGTTCAGCTCTGTGAGTTAAACTCAATCATCACAAAGTATTTTCTGAGAATGCTTCTGTCTAGATTTTATGCGAAGATATACCCGTTTCGAACGAAGGCCACAGAGTGGTCCAAATATCCACTTGCAGATCCTACAAAAAGAGTGTTTCAAACCTGAACTATCAAAGGAAGGTTCAACTCTGGGATTTGAATGCAAACATCACCAAGAAGTTTCTGAGAATGCTTCTGTTTAGTTTTTATGTGAAGATATTCCCGTTTCCAAAGACATCTTCGGAGAGGTCCACATATCCACTTGCAGATTCCACAAAAAGAGAGTTTCAACACTGCTCTATCCATAGGAGGGTTCAACTCTGTGAGTTGAATGCAATCATCACAGAGAAGTTTCTGAGAAGGCTTCTCTCCAGTTTTTATGTGACCATAATTCGTTTTCCACCACAGGCCTGAAAGCGCTCCAAATGTCCACTTGTAGACACTACGAAAAGCATGTTTCAGAACTACTCTATGAAAAGCAATGTGAAACTCTGGGAGTTGAACACAAACATCACAGAGAAGTTTCTGAGAATGCTTCTGTTTAGCTTTCCTGTGAAGATTCTCCCGTTTCCAACGAAATCTTCAAAATAGGTCCAAATATCCACTTGCAGATTCCACACAAAGAGTGATTGGAAACTGCTCTTTGAAAAGGAACCTTCAACTCTGTGAGTTGAATGCAATCATCACAAAGAAGTTTCTGACAATGCTTCTATCTAGCTTTTACGGGAAGATAATTCCTTTTCCACCACAGGCCTCAAAGCCCTCCAAATGTCCACTTGCAGATTCTGGAAAAAGAGTGTTTCAAAGCTTCTCTCTCGAAAGGAAAGTTCAACTCTGTGAGTTGAATGCAAGCATCACAAAGAAGTTTCTGAGAATGCTACTGTCTAGCTTTTATATGAAGCTATTTCCTTTACTACCATAGGCCTCAAAGCGGTCCATATCTCCACTTGCAGATTCTACACAAAGAGAGTTTCCAAACTGCTCTGTCAAAGGGAATGTTCAACTCTGTGACTTGAATGCAATCATCACAAAGTAGTTTCTGAGAATGCTTCTGTTTTAGTTCTGTACGTTTTATCCCGTTTCCAACGAAATCCTCAGAGTGGCCCAAATATCCACTTGCAGATTCTACAAATAGTGTGTTTCGAAACTGCTCCATCCAAAGGAATGTTCAGCTCTGTGAGTTAAACTCAGTCGTCACCAAGAGTTTTCTGTGAATGCTTCTGTTTTAGTTCTGTGCGGGTTATCCCGTTTCCAACGAAATCCTCAGAGAGGTCCAAATATCTACTTGCAGTTTCTACAGAAAGACCGTTTCAAACCTGAACTATCAAAGAAAGGTTCAACACTGTGAGTTGAATGCAAACATCACGAAGAAGGTTCTGAGAATGCTTCTGTCTTCTTTTTATAGGAAGTTATTTCCTTTACTACGGTACTCCTCAAAGAGTGCAATTATCCCCTTGCAGTTTCTACAGAAAGAGTGTTTCAAAGCTGAACTATCAAAGAAAGGTTCAGCACTGTGAGTTGAATGCAAACATCACGAAGAGGGTTCTGAGAATGCTTCTGTTTAGTCAGCTGAAATTATCCCGTTTCCAACGAATTCCTCACAGAGGTCCAAATATGCACTTGCAGATTCTGCAGAAAGTGTGTTTCTAAACTGCTACATCGCAAGGAATGCTCAGCTCTGTGAGTTCTACTCAATCATCCCAAAGAATTTTCTGAGAAAGCTTCTGTCTAGATGTCATGTGAAGATATACCCGTTTCGAACGAAGGACACAGAGTGGTCCAAATATCCACTTGTAGATCCTGCAAAAAGAGTGTTTCAAACGTGAACTTTGAAAGGAAAGTTCAACTCGGGGATTTGAATGCAAACATCACAAAGAAGATTCTGAGACTGCTTCTGTGTAGTTTTTATGTGAAGATGATTCCGTTTCCAACGAAATCTTCAAAGAGGTCTACATGTCCCCTTGCAGATGCCACAGAAAGAGAGTTTCAAAACTGTGCTCTCAAAAGGAGTGTTCAACTCCGTGAGTTGAATGCAGTCATCACAGAGAAGCTTCTGAGGATGCTTCTATCTAGTATTTAGGTGAAGATATTTCCTTTTCCACCACAAACCACAAAGCCCTCCAAACGTCCACTTGCAGATTCTAGAAAAACAGTGTTTCATAGCTGCTCTTTCCAAAGGAAAGTTCAACTCTGGGAGTTGAATACAAACATCACCAAAAAGTTCCTGAGAATGCATCTGTCTAGTTTTTCTATGAAGCTATTCCCTTTACTACCATAGGCCTCAAAGCGCTCCAAATCTCCACTTGCACATTCCACAACAAGAGTGTTTCCAAACTGCTCTATCAATAGGAATGTTCAACTCTGTGAGGTGAATGCAATCATCACAAAGCAGTTTCTGAGAATGCTTCCGTTTAGTTAGGTGCAGTTATCCCGTTTCCAACGAAATCCTCAGAGAGGTCCAAATATCCACTTGTAGATTCTACAAAAGGTGTGTCTCAAACCTGCTCCATCCAAAGGAATGTTCAGCTCTGTGAGTTAAACTCAATCATCACAAAGTATTTTCTGAGAATGCTTCTGTCTAGATTTTATGCGAAGATATAGCCGTTTCGAACGAAGGCCACAGAGTGGTCCAAATATCCACTTGCAGATCCTACAAAAAGAGTGTTTCAAACCTGAACTATCAAAGGAAGGTTCAACTTCTGGGATTTGAATGCAAACATCACCAAGAAGTTTCTGAGAATGCTTCTGTTTAGTTTTTATGTGAAGATATTCCCGTTTCCAAAGACATCTTCGGAGAGGTCCACATATCCACTTGCAGATTCCACAAAAAGAGAGTTTCAACACTGCTCTATCCATAGGAGGGTTCAACTGCTGTGAGTTGAATGCAATCATCACAGAGAAGTTTCTGAGAAGGCTTTCTCTCCAGTTTTTATGTGACCATAATTCTTTTCCACCACAGGCCTGAAAGCGCTCCAAATGCCCAATTGTAGAGACTACGAAAAGCGTCTTTCAGAACTACTCTATGAAAAGCAATGTGAAACTCTGGGAGTTGAACACAAACATCACAGAGAAGTTTCTGAGAATGCTTCTGTTTAGCTTTCCTGTGAAGATTCTCCCGTTTCCAACGAAATCTTCAAAATAGGTCCAAATATCCACTTGCAGATTCCACAGAAAGAGTGATTGGAAACTGCTCTTTGAAAAGGAACCTTCAACTCTGTGAGTTGAATGCAATCATCACAAAGAAGTTTCTGACAATGCTTCTATCTAGCTTTTACGGGAAGATAATTCCTTTTCCACCACAGGCCTCAAAGCCCTCCAAATGTCCACTTGCAGATTCTGGAAAAAGAGTGTTTCAAAGCTTCTCTCTCGAAAGGAAAGTTCAACTCTGTGAGTTGAATGCAAGCATCACAAAGAAGTTTCTGAGAATGCTACTGTCTAGCTTTTATATGAAGCTATTTCCTTTACTACCATAGGCCTCAAAGCGGTCCATATCTCCACTTGCAGATTCTACACAAAGAGAGTTTCCAAACTGCTCTGTCAAAGGGAATGTTCAACTCTGTGACTTGAATGCAATCATCACAAAGTAGTTTCTGAGAATGCTTCTGTTTAGTTCTGTGCGGTTTATCCCGTTTCCAACGAAATCCTCAGAGAGGCCCACATATCCACTTGCACATTCTACAAATAGGGTGTTTCGAAACTGCTCCATCCAAAGGAATGTTCAGCTCTGTGAGTTAAACTCAGTCGTCACCAAGAGTTTTCTGTGAATGCTTCTGTTTTAGTTCTGTGCGGTTTATCCCGTTTCCAACGAAATCCTCAGAGAGGTCCAAATATCTACTTGCAGTTTCTACAGAAAGACCGTTTCAAACCTGAACTATCAAAGAAAGGTTCAACACTGTGAGTTGAATGCAAACATCACGAAGAAGGTTCTGAGAATGCTTCTGTTTAGTTCTGTGCGGTTTATCCCGTTTCCAACGAAATCCTCAGTAGTAGGACCAAATATCCACTTGCAGTTTCTACAAGAAGAGTGTTTCAAAGCTGAACTATCAAAGAAAGGTTCAGCACTGTGAGTTGAATGCAAACATCACGAAGAGGGTTCTGAGAATGCTTCTGTCTTCTTTCTATAGGAAGTTATTTCCTTTACTACGGTAGGCCTCAAAGAAGTGCAATTATCCCCTTGCAGTTTCTACAAAAAGAGTGTTTCAAACCTGAACTATCAAAGAAAGGTTCCACACTGTGAGTTGAATGCAGACATCACGAAGAAGGTTCTGAGAATGCTTTCTGTTTAGTCAGCTGAAATTATCCCGTTTCCAACGAATTCCTCAGAGAGGTCCAAATATGCACTTGCAGATTCTGCAGAAAGTGTGTTTCTAAACTGCTACATCGCAAGGAATGTTCAGCTCTGTGAGTTCCACTCAATCATCCCAAAGAATTTTCTGAGAAAGCTTCTGTCTAGATGTCGTGTGAAGATATACCCGTTTCGAACGAAGGACACAGAGTGGTCCAAATATCCACTTGTAGATCCTGCAAAAAGAGTGTTTCAAACGTGAACTTTGAAAGGAAAGTTCAACTCTGGGATTTGAATGCAAACATCACAAAGAAGATTCTGAGACTGCTTCTGTATAGTTTTTATGTGAAGATGATTCCGTTTCCAACGAAATCTTCAAAGAGGTCTACATGTCCCCTTGCAGATGCCACAGAAAGAGAGTTTCAAAACTGCGCTCTCAAAAGGAGTGTTCAACTCCGTGAGTTGAATGCAGTCATCACAGAGAAGCTTCTGAGAATGCTTCTATCTAGTATTTAGGTGAAGATATTTCCTTTTCCACCACAAACCACAAAGCCCTCCAAACGTCCACTTGCAGATTCTAGAAAAAGAGTGTTTCATAGCTGCTCTTTCCAAAGGAAAGTTCAACTCTGGGAGTTGAATACAAACATCACCAAAAAGTTCCTGAGAATGCATCTGTCTAGTTTTTCTATGAAGCTATTCCCTTTACTACCACAGGCCTCAAAGCGCTCCAAATCTCCACTTGCACATTCCACAACAAGAGTGTTTCCAAACTGCTCTATCAATAGGAATGTTCAACTCTGTGAGGTGAATGCAATCATCACAAAGCAGTTTCTGAGAATGCTTCCGTTTAGTTAGGTGCAGTTATCCCGTTTCCAACGAAATCCTCAGAGAGGTCCAAATATCCACTTGTAGATTCTACAAAAAGTGTGTCTCAAGCCTGCTCCATCCAAAGGAATGGTCAGCTCTGTGATTTAAACTCAATCATCACAAAGTATTTTCTGAGAATGCTTCTGTCTAGATTTTATGCGAAGATATACCCGTTTCGAACGAAGGCCACAGAGTGGTCCAAATAGCCACTTGCAGATCCTACAGAAAGAGTGTTTCAAACCTGAACTATCAAAGGAAGGTTCAACTCTGGGATTTGAATGCAAACATCACCAAGAAGTTTCTGAGAATGCTTCTGTTTAGTTTTTATGTGAAGATATTCCCGTTTCCAAAGACATCTTCGGAGAGGTCCACATATCCACTTGCAGATTCCACAAAAAGAGAGTTTCAACACTGCTCTATGCATAGGACGGTTCAACTCTGTGAGTTGAATGCAATCATCACAGAGAAGTTTCTGAGAAGGCTTCTCTCCAGTTTTTATGTGACCATAATTCGTTTTCCACCACAGGCCTGAAAGCGCTCCAAATGTCCACTTGCAGACACTACGAAAAGCATGTTTCAGAACTACTCTATGAAAAGCAACGTGAAACTCTGGGAGTTGAACACAAACATCACAGAGAAGTTTCTGAGAATGCTTCTGTTTTAGTTCTGTGCGTTTTATCCCGTTTCCAACGAAATCCTCAGAGAGGCCCAAATATCCACTTGCAGATTCCACAGAAAGAGTGATTGGAAACTGCTGTTTGAAAAGGAACCTTCAACTCTGTGAGTTGAATGCAATCATCACAAAGAAGTTTCTGACAATGCTTCTGTTTTAGTTCTGTGCGGTTTATCCCGTTTCCAACGAAATCCTCAGAGAGGACCAAACATCCACTTGCAGTTTCTACAAAAAGAGTGTTTCAAAGCTGCACTATCAAAGAAAGGTTCAGCACTGTGAGTTGAATGCAAACATCACGAAGAGGGCTCTGAGAATTCTTCTGTTTAGTTCTGTGCGGTTTATCCCGTTTCCAACGAAATCCTCAGAGAGGACCAAATATCCACTTGCAGTTTCTACAAGAAGAGTGTTTCAAAGCTGAACTATCAAAGAAAGGTTCAGCACTGTGAGTTGAATGCAAACATCACGAAGAGGGTTCTGAGAATGCTTCTGTCTTCTTTCTATAGGAAGTTATTTCCTTTACTACGGTAGGCCTCAAAGAAGTGCAATTATCCCCTTGCAGTTTCTACAAAAAGAGTGTTTCAAACCTGAACTATCAAAGAAAGGTTCCACACTGTGAGTTGAATGCAGACATCACGAAGAAGGTTCTGAGAATGCTTCTGTTTAGTCAGCTGAAATTATCCCGTTTCCAACGAATTCCTCAGAGAGGTCCAAATATGCACTTGCAGATTCTGCAGAAAGTGTGTTTCTAAACTGCTACATCGCAAGGAATGTTCAGCTCTGTGAGTTCCACTCAATCATCCCAAAGAATTTTCTGAGAAAGCCTCTGTCTAGATGTCGTGTGAAGATATAGCCGTTTCGAACGAAGGACACAGAGTGGTCCAAATATCCACTTGTAGATCCTGCAAAAAGAGTGTTTCAAACGTGAACTTTGAAAGGAAAGTTCAACTCTGGGATTTGAATGCAAACATCACAAAGAAGATTCTGAGACTGTCTGTATAGTTTTTATGTGAAGATGATTCCGTTTCCAACGAAATCTTCAAAGAGGTCTACATGTCCCCTTGCAGATGCCACAGAAAGAGAGTTTCAAAACTACGCTCTCAAAAGGAGTGTTCAACTCCGTGAGTTGAATGCAGTCATCACAGAGAAGCTTCTGAGAATGCTTCTATCTAGTATTTAGGTGAAGATATTTCCTTTTCCACCACAAACCACAAAGCCCTCCAAACGTCCACTTGCAGATTCTAGAAAAAGAGTGTTTCATAGCTGCTCTTTCCAAAGGAAAGTTCAACTCTGGGAGTTGAATACAAACATCACCAAAAAGTTCCTGAGAATGCATCTGTCTAGTTTTTCTATGAAGCTATTCCCTTTACTACCATAGGCCTCAAAGCGCTCCAAATCTCCACTTGCACATTCCACAACAAGAGTGTTTCCAAACTGCTCTATCAATAGGAATGTTCAACTCTGTGAGGTGAATGCAATCATCACAAAGCAGTTTCTGAGAATGCTTCCGTTTAGTTAGGTGCAGTTATCCCGTTTCCAACGAAATCCTCAGAGAGGTCCAAATATCCACTTGTAGATTCTACAAAAAGTGTGTCTCAAACCTGCTCCATCCAAAGGAATGGTCAGCTCTGTGATTTAAACTCAATCATCACAAAGTATTTTCTGAGAATGCTTCTGTCTAGATTTTATGCGAAGATATACCCGTTTCGAACGAAGGCCACAGAGTGGTCCAAATAGCCACTTGCAGATCCTACAGAAAGAGTGTTTCAAACCTGAACTATCAAAGGAAGGTTCAACTCTGGGATTTGAATGCAAACATCACCAAGAAGTTTCTGAGAATGCTTCTGTTTAGTTTTTATGTGAAGATATTCCCGTTTCCAAAGACATCTTCGGAGAGGTCCACATATCCACTTGCAGATTCCACAAAAAGAGAGTTTCAACACTGCTCTATCCATAGGAGGGTTCAACTCTGTGAGTTGAATGCAATCATCACAGAGAAGTTTCTGAGAAGGCTTCTCTCCAGTTTTTATGTGACCATAATTCGTTTTCCACCACAGGCCTGAAAGCGCTCCAAATGTCCACTTGTAGACACTACGAAAAGCATGTTTCAGAACTACTCTATGAAAAGCAATGTGAAACTCTGGGAGTTGAACACAAACATCACAGAGAAGTTTCTGAGAATGCTTCTGTTTAGCTTTCCTGTGAAGATTCTCCCGTTTCCAACGAAATCTTCAAAATAGGTCCAAATATCCACTTGCAGACTCCACAGAAAGAGTGATTGGAAACTGTTCTTTGAAAAGGAACCTTCAACTCTGTGAGTTGAATGCAATCATCACAGAGAAGTTTCTGAGAAGGCTTCTATCTAGCTTTTACGGGAAGATAATTCCTTTTCCACCACAGGCCTCAAAGCCCTCCAAATGTCCACTTGCAGATTCTGGAAAAAGAGTGTTTCAAAGCTTCTCTCTCGAAAGGAAAGTTCAACTCTGTGAGTTGAATGCAAGCATCACAAAGAAGTTTCTGAGAATGCTACTGTCTAGCTTTTATATGAAGCTATTTCCTTTACTACCATAGGCCTCAAAGCGGTCCATATCTCCACTTGCAGATTCTACACAAAGAGAGTTTCCAAACTGCTCTGTCAAAGGGAATGTTCAACTCTGTGACTTGAATGCAATCATCACAAAGTAGTTTCTGAGAATGCTTCTGTTTTAGTTCTGTGCGTTTTATCCCGTTTCCAACGAAATCCTCAGAGAGGCCCAAATATCCACTTGCAGATTCTACAAATAGTGTGTTTCGAAACTGCTCCATCCAAAGGAATGTTCAGCTCTGGGAGTTAAACTCAGTCGTCACCAAGACTTTTCTGTGAATGCTTCTGTCTTCTTTTTATAGGAAGTTATTTCCTTTACTACGGTACTCCTCAAAGAGTGCAATTATCCCCTTGCAGTTTCTACAAAAAGAGTGTTTCAAACCTGAACTATCAAAGAAAGGTTCCACACTGTGAGTTGAATGCAGACATCACGAAGAAGGTTCTGAGAATGCTTCTGTTTAGTCAGCTGAAATTATCCCGTTTCCAACGAATTCCTCACAGAGGTCCAAATATGCACTTGCAGATTCTGCAGAAAGTGTGTTTCTAAACTGCTACATCGCAAGGAATGCTCAGCTCTGTGAGTTCAACTCAATCATCCCAAAGAATTTTCTGAGAAAGCTTCTGTCTAGATGTCATGTGAAGATATACCCGTTTCGAACGAAGGACACAGAGTGGTCCAAATATCCACTTGTAGATCCTGCAAAAAGAGTGTTTCAAACGTGAACTTTGAAAGGCAAGTTCAACTCTGGGATTTGAATGCAAACATCACAAAGAAGATTCTGAGACTGCTTCTGTATAGTTTTTATGTGAAGATGATTCCGTTTCCAACGAAATCTTCAAAGAGGTCTACATGTCCCCTTGCGGATGCCACAGAAAGAGAGTTTCAAAACTGCGCTCTCAAAAGGAGTGTTCAACTCCGTGAGTTGAATGCAGTCATCACAGAGAAGCTTCTGAGAATGCTTCTCTCTAGTATTTAGGTGAAGATATTTCCTTTTCCACCACAAACCACAAAGCCCTCCAAACGTCCACTTGCAGATTCTAGAAAAAGAGTGTTTCATAGCTGCTCTTTCCAAAGGAAAGTTCAACTCTGGGAGTTGAATACAAACATCACCAAAAAGTTCCTGAGAATGCATCTGTCTAGTTTTTCTATGAAGCTATTCCCTTTACTACCATAGGCCTCAAAGCGCTCCAAATCTCCACTTGCACATTCCACAACAAGAGTGTTTCCAAACTGCTCTATCAATAGGAATGTTCAACTCTGTGAGGTGAATGCAATCATCACAAAGCAGTTTCTGAGAATGCTTCCGTTTAGTTAGGTGCAGTTATCCCGTTTCCAACGAAATCCTCAGAGAGGTCCAAATATCCACTTGTAGATTCTACAAAAAGTGTGTCTCAAACCTGCTCCATCCAAAGGAATGGTCAGCTCTGTGATTTAAACTCAATCATCACAAAGTATTTTCTGAGAATGCTTCTGTCTAGATTTTATGCGAAGATATACCAGTTTCGAACGAAGGCCACAGAGTGGTCCAAATAGCCACTTGCAGATCCTACAAAAAGAGTGTTTCAAACCTGAACTATCAAAGGAAGGTTCAACTCTGGGATTTGAATGCAAACATCACCAAGAAGTTTCTGAGAATGCTTCTGTTTAGTTTTTATGTGAAGATATTCCCGTTTCCAAAGACATCTTCGGAGAGGTCCACATATCCACTTGCAGATTCCACAAAAAGAGAGTTTCAACACTGCTCTATCCATAGGAGGGTTCAACTCTGTGAGTTGAATGCAATCATCACAGAGAAGTTTCTGAGAAGGCTTCTCTCCAGTTTTTATGTGACCATAATTCGTTTTCCACCACAGGCCTGAAAGCGCTCCAAATGTCCACTTGCAGACACTACGAAAAGCATGTTTCAGAACTACTCTATGAAAAGCAACGTGAAACTCTGGGAGTTGAACACAAACATCACAGAGAAGTTTCTGAGAATGCTTCTGTTTTAGTTCTGTGCGTTTTATCCCGTTTCCAACGAAATCCTCAGAGAGGCCCAAATATCCACTTGCAGATTCCACAGAAAGAGTGATTGGAAACTGCTGTTTGAAAAGGAACCTTCAACTCTGTGAGTTGAATGCAATCATCACAAAGAAGTTTCTGACAATGCTTCTGTTTTAGTTCTGTGCGGTTTATCCCGTTTCCAACGAAATCCTCAGAGAGGACCAAACATCCACTTGCAGTTTCTACAAAAAGAGTGTTTCAAAGCTGCACTATCAAAGAAAAGTTCAGCACTGTGAGTTGAATGCAAACATCACGAAGAGGGCTCTGAGAATTCTTCTGTTTAGTTCTGTGCGGTTTATCCCGTTTCCAACGAAATCCTCAGAGAGGACCAAATATCCACTTGCAGTTTCTACAAGAAGAGTGTTTCAAAGCTGAACTATCAAAGAAAGGTTCAGCACTGTGAGTTGAATGCAAACATCACGAAGAGGGTTCTGAGAATGCTTCTGTCTTCTTTCTATAGGAAGTTATTTCCTTTACTACGGTAGGCCTCAAAGAAGTGCAATTATCCCCTTGCAGTTTCTACAAAAAGAGTGTTTCAAACCTGAACTATCAAAGAAAGGTTCCACACTGTGAGTTGAATGCAGACATCACGAAGAAGGTTCTGAGAATGCTTCTGTTTAGTCAGCTGAAATTATCCCGTTTCCAACGAATTCCTCAGAGAGGTCCAAATATGCACTTGCAGATTCTGCAGAAAGTGTGTTTCTAAACTGCTACATCGCAAGGAATGTTCAGCTCTGTGAGTTCCACTCAATCATCCCAAAGAATTTTCTGAGAAAGCTTCTGTCTAGATGTCGTGTGAAGATATACCCGTTTCGAACGAAGGACACAGAGTGGTCCAAATATCCACTTGTAGATCCTGCAAAAAGAGTGTTTCAAACGTGAACTTTGAAAGGAAAGTTCAACTCTGGGATTTGAATGCAAACATCACAAAGAAGATTCTGAGACTGCTTCTGTATAGTTTTTATGTGTTAGATGATTCCGTTTCCAACGAAATCTTCAAAGAGGTCTACATGTCCCCTTGCAGATGCCACAGAAAGAGAGTTTCAAAACTGCGCTCTCAAAAGGAGTGTTCAACTCCGTGAGTTGAATGCAGTCATCACAGAGAAGCTTCTGAGAATGCTTCTATCTAGTATTTAGGTGAAGATATTTCCTTTTCCACCACAAACCACAAAGCCCTCCAAACGTCCACTTGCAGATTCTAGAAAAAGAGTGTTTCATAGCTGCTCTTTCCAAAGGAAAGTTCAACTCTGGGAGTTGAATACAAACATCACCAAAAAGTTACCTGAGAATGCATCTGTCTAGTTTTTCTATGAAGCTATTCCCTTTACTACCACAGGCCTCAAAGCGCTCCAAATCTCCACTTGCACATTCCACAACAAGAGTGTTTCCAAACTGCTCTATCAATAGGAATGTTCAACTCTGTGAGGTGAATGCAATCATCACAAAGCAGTTTCTGAGAATGCTTCCGTTTAGTTAGGTGCAGTTATCCCGTTTCCAACGAAATCCTCAGAGAGGTCCAAATATCCACTTGTAGATTCTACAAAAAGTGTGTCTCAAACCTGCTCCATCCAAAGGAATGGTCAGCTCTGTGATTTAAACTCAATCATCACAAAGTATTTTCTGAGAATGCTTCTGTCTAGATTTTATGCGAAGATATACCCGTTTCGAACGAAGGCCACAGAGTGGTCCAAATAGCCACTTGCAGATCCTACAGAAAGAGTGTTTCAAACCTGAACTATCAAAGGAAGGTTCAACTCTGGGATTTGAATGCAAACATCACCAAGAAGTTTCTGAGAATGCTTCTGTTTAGTTTTTATGTGAAGATATTCCCGTTTCCAAAGACATCTTCGGAGAGGTCCACATATCCACTTGCAGATTCCACAAAAAGAGAGTTTCAACACTGCTCTATCCATAGGAGGGTTCAACTCTGTGAGTTGAATGCAATCATCACAGAGAAGTTTCTGAGAAGGCTTCTCTCCAGTTTTTATGTGACCATAATTCGTTTTCCACCACAGGCCTGAAAGCGCTCCAAATGTCCACTTGCAGACACTACGAAAAGCATGTTTCAGAACTACTCTATGAAAAGCAACGTGAAACTCTGGGAGTTGAACACAAACATCACAGAGAAGTTTCTGAGAATGCTTCTGTTTTAGTTCTGTGCGTTTTATCCCGTTTCCAACGAAATCCTCAGAGAGGCCCAAATATCCACTTGCAGATTCCACAGAAAGAGTGATTGGAAACTGCTGTTTGAAAAGGAACCTTCAACTCTGTGAGTTGAATGCAATCATCACAAAGAAGTTTCTGACAATGCTTCTGTTTTAGTTCTGTGCGGTTTATCCCGTTTCCAACGAAATCCTCAGAGAGGACCAAACATCCACTTGCAGTTTCTACAAAAAGAGTGTTTCAAAGCTGCACTATCAAAGAAAGGTTCAGCACTGTGAGTTGAATGCAAACATCACGAAGAGGGCTCTGAGAATTCTTCTGTTTAGTTCTGTGCGGTTTATCCCGTTTCCAACGAAATCCTCAGAGAGGACCAAATATCCACTTGCAGTTTCTACAAGAAGAGTGTTTCAAAGCTGAACTATCAAAGAAAGGTTCAGCACTGTGAGTTGAATGCAAACATCACGAAGAGGGTTCTGAGAATGCTTCTGTCTTCTTTCTATAGGAAGTTATTTCCTTTACTACGGTAGGCCTCAAAGAAGTGCAATTATCCCCTTGCAGTTTCTACAAAAAGAGTGTTTCAAACCTGAACTATCAAAGAAAGGTTCCACACTGTGAGTTGAATGCAGACATCACGAAGAAGGTTCTGAGAATGCTTCTGTTTAGTCAGCTGAAATTATCCCGTTTCCAACGAATTCCTCAGAGAGGTCCAAATATGCACTTGCAGATTCTGCAGAAAGTGTGTTTCTAAACTGCTCCATCGCAAGGAATGTTCAGCTCTGTGAGTTCCACTCAATCATCCCAAAGAATTTTCTGAGAAAGCTTCTGTCTAGATGTCGTGTGAAGATATACCCGTTTCGAACGAAGGACACAGAGTGGTCCAAATATCCACTTGTAGATCCTGCAAAAAGAGTGTTTCAAACGTGAACTTTGAAAGGAAAGTTCAACTCTGGGATTTGAATGCAAACATCACAAAGAAGATTCTGAGACTGCTTCTGTATAGTTTTTATGTGAAGATGATTCCGTTTCCAACGAAATCTTCAAAGAGGTCTACATGTCCCCTTGCAGATGCCACAGAAAGAGAGTTTCAAAACTGCGCTCTCAAAAGGAGTGTTCAACTCCGTGAGTTGAATGCAGTCATCACAGAGAAGCTTCTGAGAATGCTTCTATCTAGTATTTAGGTGAAGATATTTCCTTTTCCACCACAAACCACAAAGCCCTCCAAACGTCCACTTGCAGATTCTAGAAAAAGAGTGTTTCATAGCTGCTCTTTCCAAAGGAAAGTTCAACTCTGGGAGTTGAATACAAACATCACCAAAAAGTTCCTGAGAATGCATCTGTCTAGTTTTTCTATGAAGCTCTTCCCTTTACTACCATAGGCCTCAAAGCGCTCCAAATCTCCACTTGCACATTCCACAACAAGAGTGTTTCCAAACTGCTCTATCAATAGGAATGTTCAACTCTGTGAGGTGAATGCAATCATCACAAAGCAGTTTCTGAGAAGGCTTCCGTTTAGTTAGGTGCAGTTATCCCGTTTCCAACGAAATCCTCAGAGAGGTCCAAATATCCACTTGTAGATTCTACAAAAAGTGTGTCTCAAACCTGCTCCATCCAAAGGAATGTTCAGCTCTGTGAGTTCAACTCAATCATCACAAAGTATTTTCTGAGAATGCTTCTGTCTAGATTTTATGCGAAGATATACCCGTTTCGAACGAAGGCCACAGAGTGGTCCAAGTAGCCACTTGCAGATCCTACAAAAAGAGTGTTTCAAACCTGAACTATCAAAGGAAGGTTCAACTCTGGGATTTGAATGCAAACATCACCAAGAAGTTTCTGAGAATGCTTCTGTTTAGTTTTGATGTGAAGATATTCCCGTTTCCAAAGACATCTTCGGAGAGGTCCACATATCCACTTGCAGATTCCACAAAAAGAGAGTTTCAACACTGCTCTATCCATAGGAGGGTTCAACTCTGTGAGTTGAATGCAATCATCACAGACAAGTTTCTGAGAAGGCTTCTCTCCAGTTTCTATGTGACCATAATTCGTTTTCCACCACAGGCCTGAAAGCGCTCCAAATGTCCACTTGCAGACACTACGAAAAGCATGTTTCAGAACTACTCTATGAAAAGCAATGTGAAACTCTGGGAGTTGAACACAAACATCACAGAGAAGTTTCTGAGAATGCTTCTGTTTAGCTTTTCTGTGAAGGTTATCCCGTTTCCAACGAAATCTTCAAACTAGGTCCAAATATCCACTTGCAGATTCCACAGAAAGAGTGATTGGAAACTGCTGTTTGAAAAGGAACCTTCAACTCTGTGAGTTGAATGCAATCATCACAAAGAAGTTTCTGACAATGCTTCTATCTAGCTTTTACGGGAAGATAATTCCTTTTCCACCACAGGCCTCAAAGCCCTCCAAATGTCCACTTGCAGATTCTGGAAAAAGAGTGTTTCAAAGCTTCTCTCTCGAAAGGAAAGTTCAACTCTGTGAGTTGAATGCAAGCATCACAAAGAAGTTTCTGAGAATGCTACTGTCTAGCTTTTATATGAAGCTATTTCCTTTACTACCATAGGCCTCAAAGCGGTCCATATCTCCACTTGCAGATTCTACACAAAGAGAGTTTCCAAACTGCTCTGTCAAAGGGAATGTTCAACTCTGTGACTTGAATGCAATCATCACAAAGTAGTTTCTGAGAATGCTTCTGTTTAGTTCTGTGCGGTTTATCCCGTTTCCAACGAAATCCTCAGAGAGGCCTAAATATCCACTTGCACATTCTACAAATAGTGTGTTTCGAAACTGCTCCATCCAAAGGAATGTTCAGCTCTGTGAGTTAAACTCAGTCGTCACCAAGAGTTTTCTGTGAATGCTTCTGTTTTAGTTCTGTGCGGGTTATCCCGTTTCCAACGAAATCCTCAGAGAGGTCCAAATATCTACTTGCAGTTTCTACAGAAAGACCGTTTCAAACCTGAACTATCAAAGAAAGGTTCAACACTGTGAGTTGAATGCAAACATCACGAAGAAGGTTCTGAGAATGCTTCTGTTTAGTTCTGTGCAGTTTATCCCGTTTCCAACGAAATGCTCAGAGAGGACCAAATATCCACTTGCAGTTTCTACAAAAAGAGTGTTTCAAAGCTGAACTATCAAAGAAAGGTTCAGCACTGTGAGTTGAATGCAAACATCACGAAGAGGGTTCTGAGAATGCTTCTGTCTTCTTTTTATAGGAAGTTATTTCCTTTACTACGGTACTCCTCAAAGAGTGCAATTATCCCCTTGCAGTTTCTACAGAAAGAGTGTTTCAAACCTGAACTATCAAAGAAAGGTTCCACACTGTGAGTTGAATGCAGACATCACGAAGAAGGTTCTGAGAATGCTTCTGTTTAGTCAGCTGAAATTATCCCGTTTCCAACGAATTCCTCACAGAGGTCCAAATATGCACTTGCAGATTCTGCAGAAAGTGTGTTTCTAAACTGCTACATCGCAAGGAATGCTCAGCTCTGTGAGTTCAACTCAATCATCCCAAAGAATTTTCTGAGAAAGCTTCTGTCTAGATGTCATGTGAAGATATACCCGTTTCGAACGAAGGACACAGAGTGGTCCAAATATCCACTTGTAGATCCTGCAAAAAGAGTGTTTCAAACGTGAACTTTGAAAGGAAAGTTCAACTCGGGGATTTGAATGCAAACATCACAAAGAAGATTCTGAGACTGCTTCTGTATAGTTTTTATGTGAAGATGATTCCGTTTCCAACGAAATCTTCAAAGAGGTCTACATGTCCCCTTGCAGATGCCACAGAAAGAGAGTTTCAAAACTGCGCTCTCAAAAGGAGTGTTCAACTCCGTGAGTTGAATGCAGTCATCACAGAGAAGCTTCTGAGGATGCTTCTATCTAGTATTTAGGTGAAGATATTTCCTTTTCCACCACAAACCACAAAGCCCTCCAAACGTCCACTTGCAGATTCTAGAAAAAGAGTGTTTCATAGCTGCTCTTTCCAAAGGAAAGTTCAACTCTGGGAGTTGAATACAAACATCACCAAAAAGTTTCTGAGAATGCATCTGTCTAGTTTTTCTATGAAGCTATTCCCTTTACTACCATAGGCCTCAAAGCGCTCCAAATCTCCACTTGCACATTCCACAACAAGAGTGTTTCCAAACTGCTCTATCAATAGGAATGCTCAACTCTGTGAGGTGAATGCAATCATCACAAAGCAGTTTCTGAGAATGCTTCCGTTTAGTTAGGTGCAGTTATCCCGTTTCCAACGAAATCCTCAGAGAGGTCCAAATATCCACTTGTAGATTCTACAAAAAGTGTGTCTCAAACCTGCTCCATCCAAAGGAATGGTCAGCTCTGTGATTTAGAACTCAATCATCACAAAGTATTTTCTGAGAATGCTTCTGTCTAGATTTTATGCGAAGATATACCCGTTTCGAACGAAGGCCACAGAGTGGTCCAAATAGCCACTTGCAGATCCTACAGAAAGAGTGTTTCAAACCTGAACTATCAAAGGAAGGTTCAACTCTGGGATTTGAATGCAAACATCACCAAGAAGTTTCTGAGAATGCTTCTGTTTAGTTTTTATGTGAAGATATTCCCGTTTCCAAAGACATCTTCGGAGAGGTCCACATATCCACTTGCAGATTCCACAAAAAGAGAGTTTCAACACTGCTCTATCCATAGGAGGGTTCAACTCTGTGAGTTGAATGCAATCATCACAGAGAAGTTTCTGAGAAGGCTTCTCTCCAGTTTTTATGTGACCATAATTCGTTTTCCACCACAGGCCTGAAAGCGCTCCAAATGTCCACTTGCAGACACTACGAAAAGCATGTTTCAGAACTACTCTATGAAAAGCAACGTGAAACTCTGGGAGTTGAACACAAACATCACAGAGAAGTTTCTGAGAATGCTTCTGTTTTAGTTCTGTGCGTTTTATCCCGTTTCCAACGAAATCCTCAGAGAGGCCCAAATATCCACTTGCAGATTCCACAGAAAGAGTGATTGGAAACTGCTGTTTGAAAAGGAACCTTCAACTCTGTGAGTTGAATGCAATCATCACAAAGAAGTTTCTGACAATGCTTCTGTTTTAGTTCTGTGCGGTTTATCCCGTTTCCAACGAAATCCTCAGAGAGGACCAAACATCCACTTGCAGTTTCTACAAAAAGAGTGTTTCAAAGCTGCACTATCAAAGAAAGGTTCAGCACTGTGAGTTGAATGCAAACATCACGAAGAGGGCTCTGAGAATTCTTCTGTTTAGTTCTGTGCGGTTTATCCCGTTTCCAACGAAATCCTCAGAGAGGACCAAATATCCACTTGCAGTTTCTACAAGAAGAGTGTTTCAAAGCTGAACTATCAAAGAAAGGTTCAGCACTGTGAGTTGAATGCAAACATCACGAAGAGGGTTCTGAGAATGCTTCTGTCTTCTTTCTATAGGAAGTTATTTCCTTTACTACGGTAGGCCTCAAAGAAGTGCAATTATCCCCTTGCAGTTTCTACAAAAAGAGTGTTTCAAACCTGAACTATCAAAGAAAGGTTCCACACTGTGAGTTGAATGCAGACATCACGAAGAAGGTTCTGAGAATGCTTCTGTTTAGTCAGCTGAAATTATCCCGTTTCCAACGAATTCCTCAGAGAGGTCCAAATATGCACTTGCAGATTCTGCAGAAAGTGTGTTTCTAAACTGCTACATCACAAGGAATGTTCAGCTCTGTGAGTTCCACTCAATCATCCCAAAGAATTTTCTGAGAAAGCTTCTGTCTAGATGTCGTGTGAAGATATACCCGTTTCGAACGAAGGACACAGAGTGGTCCAAATATCCACTTGTAGATCCTGCAAAAAGAGTGTTTCAAACGTGAACTTTGAAAGGAAAGTTCAACTCTGGGATTTGAATGCAAACATCACAAAGAAGATTCTGAGACTGCTTCTGTATAGTTTTGATGTGAAGATGATTCCGTTTCCAACGAAATCTTCAAAGAGGTCTACATGTCCCCTTGCAGATGCCACAGAAAGAGAGTTTCAAAACTGCGCTCTCAAAAGGAGTGTTCAACTCCGTGAGTTGAATGCAGTCATCACAGAGAAGCTTCTGAGAATGCTTCTATCTAGTATTTAGGTGAAGATATTTCCTTTTCCACCACAAACCACAAAGCCCTCCAAACGTCCACTTGCAGATTCTAGAAAAAGAGTGTTTCATAGCTGCTCTTTCCAAAGGAAAGTTCAACTCTGGGAGTTGAATACAAACATCACCAAAAAGTTCCTGAGAATGCATCTGTCTAGTTTTTCTATGAAGCTATTCCCTTTACTACCATAGGCCTCAAAGCGCTCCAAATCTCCACTTGCACATTCCACAACAAGAGTGTTTCCAAACTGCTCTATCAATAGGAATGTTCAACTCTGTGAGGTGAATGCAATCATCACAAAGCAGTTTCTGAGAATGCTTCCGTTTAGTTAGGTGCAGTTATCCCGTTTCCAACGAAATCCTCAGAGAGGTCCAAATATCCACTTGTAGATTCTACAAAAAGTGTGTCTCAAACCTGCTCCATCCAAAGGAATGTTCAGCTCTGTGAGTTAAACTCAATCATCACAAAGTATTTTCTGAGAATGCTTCTGTCTAGATTTTATGCGAAGATATACCCGTTTCGAACGAAGGCCACAGAGTGGTCCAAATATCCACTTGCAGATCCTACAAAAAGAGTGTTTCAAACCTGAACTATCAAAGGAAGGTTCAACTCTGGGATTTGAATGCAAACATCACCAAGAAGTTTCTGAGAATGCTTCTGTTTAGTTTTTATGTGAAGATATTCCCGTTTCCAAAGACATCTTCGGAGAGGTCCACATATCCACTTGCAGATTCCACAAAAAGAGAGTTTCAACACTGCTCTATCCATAGGAGGGTTCAACTCTGTGAGTTGAATGCAATCATCACAGAGAAGTTTCTGAGAAGGCTTCTCTCCAGTTTTTATGTGACCATAATTCGTTTTCCACCACAGGCCTGAAGGCGCTCCAAATGTCCACTTGTAGACACTACGAAAAGCATGTTTCAGAACTACTCTATGAAAAGCAATGTGAAACTCTGGGAGTTGAACACAAACATCACAGAGAAGTTTCTGAGAATGCTTCTGTTTAGCTTTCCTGTGAAGATTCTCCCGTTTCCAACGAAATCTTCAAAATAGGTCCAAATATCCACTTGCAGATTCCACAGAAAGAGTGATTGGAAACTGCTCTTTGAAAAGGAACCTTCAACTCTGTGAGTTGAATGCAATCATCACAAAGAAGTTTCTGACAATGCTTCTATCTAGCTTTTACGGGAAGATAATTCCTTTTCCACCACAGGCCTCAAAGCCCTCCAAATGTCCACTTGCAGATTCTGGAAAAAGAGTGTTTCAAAGCTTCTCTCTCGAAAGGAAAGTTCAACTCTGTGAGTTGAATGCAAGCATCACAAAGAAGTTTCTGAGAATGCTACTGTCTAGCTTTTATATGAAGCTATTTCCTTTACTACCATAGGCCTCAAAGCGGTCCATATCTCCACTTGCAGATTCTACACAAAGAGAGTTTCCAAACTGCTCTGTCAAAGGGAATGTTCAACTCTGTGACTTGAATGCAATCATCACAAAGTAGTTTCTGAGAATGCTTCTGTTTAGTTCTGTGCGGTTTATCCCGTTTCCAGCGAAATCCTCAGAGAGGCCCAAATATCCACTTGCACATTCTACAAATAGTGTGTTTCGAAACTGCTCCATCCAAAGGAATGTTCAGCTCTGTGAGTTAAACTCAGTCGTCACCAAGAGTTTTCTGTGAATGCTTCTGTTTTAGTTCTGTGCGGTTTATCCCGTTTCCAACGAAATCCTCAGAGAGGTCCAAATATCTACTTGCAGTTTCTACAGAAAGACCGTTTCCAACCTGAACTATCAAAGAAAGGTTCAACACTGTGAGTTGAATGCAAACATCACGAAGAAGGTTCAGAGAATGCTTCTGTTTAGTTCTGTGCGGTTTATCCCGTTTCCAACGAAATCCTCAGAGAGGTCCAAATATCCACTTGCAGTTTCTACAAGAAGAGTGTTTCAAAGCTGAACTATCAAAGAAAGGTTCAGCACTGTGAGTTGAATGCAAACATCACGAAGAGGGTTCTGAGAATGCTTCTGTCTTCTTTCTATAGGAAGTTATTTCCTTTACTACGGTAGGCCTCAAAGAAGTGCAATTATCCCCTTGCAGTTTCTACAAAAAGAGTGTTTCAAACCTGAACTATCAAAGAAAGGTTCCACACTGTGAGTTGAATGCAGACATCACGAAGAAGGTTCTGAGAATGCTTCTGTTTAGTCAGCTGAAATTATCCCGTTTCCAACGAATTCCTCAGAGAGGTCCAAATATGCACTTGCAGATTCTGCAGAAAGTGTGTTTCTAAACTGCTACATCGCAAGGAATGTTCAGCTCTGTGAGTTCCACTCAATCATCCCAAAGAATTTTCTGAGAAAGCTTCTGTCTAGATGTCGTGTGAAGATATACCCGTTTCGAACGAAGGACACAGAGTGGTCCAAATATCCACTTGTAGATCCTGCAAAAAGAGTGTTTCAAACGTGAACTTTGAAAGGAAAGTTCAACTCTGGGATTTGAATGCAAACATCACAAAGAAGATTCTGAGACTGCTTCTGTATAGTTTTTATGTGAAGATGATTCCGTTTCCAACGAAATCTTCAAAGAGGTCTACATGTCCCCTTGCAGATGCCACAGAAAGAGAGTTTCAAAACTGCGCTCTCAAAAGGAGTGTTCAACTCCGTGAGTTGAATGCAGTCATCACAGAGAAGCTTCTGAGAATGCTTCTATCTAGTATTTAGGTGAAGATATTTCCTTTTCCACCACAAACCACAAAGCCCTCCAAACGTCCACTTGCAGATTCTAGAAAAAGAGTGTTTCATAGCTGCTCTTTCCAAAGGAAAGTTCAACTCTGGGAGTTGAATACAAACATCACCAAAAAGTTCCTGAGAATGCATCTGTCTAGTTTTTCTATGAAGCTATTCCCTTTACTACCATAGGCCTCAAAGCGCTCCAAATCTCCACTTGCACATTCCACAACAAGAGTGTTTCCAAACTGCTCTATCAATAGGAATGTTCAACTCTGTGAGGTGAATGCAATCATCACAAAGCAGTTTCTGAGAATGCTTCCGTTTAGTTAGGTGCAGTTATCCCGTTTCCAACGAAATCCTCAGAGAGGTCCAAATATCCACTTGTAGATTCTACAAAAAGTGTGTCTCAAACCTGCTCCATCCAAAGGAATGGTCAGCTCTGTGATTTAAACTCAATCATCACAAAGTATTTTCTGAGAATGCTTCTGTCTAGATTTTATGCGAAGATATACCCGTTTCGAACGAAGGCCACAGAGTGGTCCAAATAGCCACTTGCAGATCCTACAGAAAGAGTGTTTCAAACCTGAACTATCAAAGGAAGGTTCAACTCTGGGATTTGAATGCAAACATCACCAAGAAGTTTCTGAGAATGCTTCTGTTTAGTTTTTATGTGAAGATATTCCCGTTTCCAAAGACATCTTCGGAGAGGTCCACATATCCACTTGCAGGTTCCACAAAAAGAGAGTTTCAACACTGCTCTATCCATAGGAGGGTTCAACTCTGTGAGTTGAATGCAATCATCACAGAGAAGTTTCTGAGAAGGCTTCTCTCCAGTTTTTATGTGACCATAATTCGTTTTCCACCACAGGCCTGAAAGCGCTCCAAATGTCCACTTGTAGACACTACGAAAAGCATGTTTCAGAACTACTCTATGAAAAGCAATGTGAAACTCTGGGAGTTGAACACAAACATCACAGAGAAGTTTCTGAGAATGCTTCTGTTTTAGTTCTGTGCGTTTTATCCCGTTTCCAACGAAATCCTCAGAGAGGCCCAAATATCCACTTGCAGATTCCACAGAAAGAGTGATTGGAAACTGCTGTTTGAAAAGGAACCTTCAACTCTGTGAGTTGAATGCAATCATCACAAAGAAGTTTCTGACAATGCTTCTGTTTTAGTTCTGTGCGGTTTATCCCGTTTCCAACGAAATCCTCAGAGAGGACCAAACATCCACTTGCAGTTTCTACAAAAAGAGTGTTTCAAAGCTGCACTATCAAAGAAAGGTTCAGCACTGTGAGTTGAATGCAAACATCACGAAGAGGGCTCTGAGAATTCTTCTGTTTAGTTCTGTGCGGTTTATCCCGTTTCCAACGAAATCCTCAGAGAGGACCAAATATCCACTTGCAGTTTCTACAAGAAGAGTGTTTCAAAGCTGAACTATCAAAGAAAGGTTCAGCACTGTGAGTTGAATGCAAACATCACGAAGAGGGTTCTGAGAATGCTTCTGTCTTCTTTCTATAGGAAGTTATTTCCTTTACTACGGTAGGCCTCAAAGAAGTGCAATTATCCCCTTGCAGTTTCTACAAAAAGAGTGTTTCAAACCTGAACTATCAAAGAAAGGTTCCACACTGTGAGTTGAATGCAGACATCACGAAGAAGGTTCTGAGAATGCTTCTGTTTAGTCAGCTGAAATTATCCCGTTTCCAACGAATTCCTCAGAGAGGTCCAAATATGCACTTGCAGATTCTGCAGAAAGTGTGTTTCTAAACTGCTACATCGCAAGGAATGTTCAGCTCTGTGAGTTCCACTCAATCATCCCAAAGAATTTTCTGAGAAAGCTTCTGTCTAGATGTCGTGTGAAGATATACCCGTTTCGAACGAAGGACACAGAGTGGTCCAAATATCCACTTGTAGATCCTGCAAAAAGAGTGTTTCAAACGTGAACTTTGAAAGGAAAGTTCAACTCTGGGATTTGAATGCAAACATCACAAAGAAGATTCTGAGACTGCTTCTGTATAGTTTTTATGTGAAGATGATTCCGTTTCCAACGAAATCTTCAAAGAGGTCTACATGTCCCCTTGCAGATGCCACAGAAAGAGAGTTTCAAAACTGCGCTCTCAAAAGGAGTGTTCAACTCCGTGAGTTGAATGCAGTCATCACAGAGAAGCTTCTGAGAATGCTTCTCTCTAGTATGTAGCTGAAGATATTTCCTTTTCCACCACAAACCACAAAGCCCTCCAAACGTCCACTTGCAGATTCTAGAAAAAGAGTGTTTCATAGCTGCTCTTTCCAAAGGAAAGTTCAACTCTGGGAGTTGAATACAAACATCACCAAAAAGTTCCTGAGAATGCATCTGTCTAGTTTTTCTATGAAGCTATTCCCTTTACTACCATAGGCCTCAAAGCGCTCCAAATCTCCACTTGCACATTCCACAACAAGAGTGTTTCCAAACTGCTCTATCAATAGGAATGTTCAACTCTGTGAGGTGAATGCAATCATCACAAAGCAGTTTCTGAGAATGCTTCCGTTTAGTTAGGTGCAGTTATCCCGTTTCCAACGAAATCCTCAGAGAGGTCCAAATATCCACTTGTAGATTCTACAAAAAGTGTGTCTCAAACCTGCTCCATCCAAAGGAATGGTCAGCTCTGTGATTTAAACTCAATCATCACAAAGTATTTTCTGAGAATGCTTCTGTCTAGATTTTATGCGAAGATATACCCGTTTCGAACGAAGGCCACAGAGTGGTCCAAATAGCCACTTGCAGATCCTACAGAAAGAGTGTTTCAAACCTGAACTATCAAAGGAAGGTTCAACTCTGGGATTTGAATGCAAACATCACCAAGAAGTTTCTGAGAATGCTTCTGTTTAGTTTTTATGTGAAGATATTCCCGTTTCCAAAGACATCTTCGGAGAGGTCCACATATCCACTTGCAGATTCCACAAAAAGAGAGTTTCAACACTGCTCTATCCATAGGAGGGTTCAACTCTGTGAGTTGAATGCAATCATCACAGAGAAGTTTCTGAGAAGGCTTCTCTCCAGTTTTTATGTGACCATAATTCGTTTTCCACCACAGGCCTGAAAGCGCTCCAAATGTCCACTTGCAGACACTACGAAAAGCATGTTTCAGAACTACTCTATGAAAAGCAACGTGAAACTCTGGGAGTTGAACACAAACATCACAGAGAAGTTTTCTGAGAATGCTTCTGTTTTAGTTCTGTGCGTTTTATCCCGTTTCCAACGAAATCCTCAGAGAGGCCCAAATATCCACTTGCAGATTCCACAGAAAGAGTGATTGGAAACTGCTGTTTGAAAAGGAACCTTCAACTCTGTGAGTTGAATGCAATCATCACAAAGAAGTTTCTGACAATGCTTCTGTTTTAGTTCTGTGCGGTTTATCCCGTTTCCAACGAAATCCTCAGAGAGGACCAAACATCCACTTGCAGTTTCTACAAAAAGAGTGTTTCAAAGCTGCACTATCAAAGAAAGGTTCAGCACTGTGAGTTGAATGCAAACATCACGAAGAGGGCTCTGAGAATTCTTCTGTTTAGTTCTGTGCGGTTTATCCCGTTTCCAACGAAATCCTCAGAGAGGACCAAATATCCACTTGCAGTTTCTACAAGAAGAGTGTTTCAAAGCTGAACTATCAAAGAAAGGTTCAGCACTGTGAGTTGAATGCAAACATCACGAAGAGGGTTCTGAGAATGCTTCTGTCTTCTTTCTATAGGAAGTTATTTCCTTTACTACGGTAGGCCTCAAAGAAGTGCAATTATCCCCTTGCAGTTTCTACAAAAAGAGTGTTTCAAACCTGAACTATCAAAGAAAGGTTCCACACTGTGAGTTGAATGCAGACATCACGAAGAAGGTTCTGAGAATGCTTCTGTTTAGTCAGCTGAAATTATCCCGTTTCCAACGAATTCCTCAGAGAGGTCCAAATATGCACTTGCAGATTCTGCAGAAAGTGTGTTTCTAAACTGCTACATCGCAAGGAATGTTCAGCTCTGTGAGTTCCACTCAATCATCCCAAAGAATTTTCTGAGAAAGCTTCTGTCTAGATGTCGTGTGAAGATATACCCGTTTCGAACGAAGGACACAGAGTGGTCCAAATATCCACTTGTAGATCCTGCAAAAAGAGTGTTTCAAACGTGAACTTTGAAAGGAAAGTTCAACTCTGGGATTTGAATGCAAACATCACAAAGAAGATTCTGAGACTGCTTCTGTATAGTTTTTATGTGAAGATGATTCCGTTTCCAACGAAATCTTCAAAGAGGTCTACATGTCCCCTTGCAGATGCCACAGAAAGAGAGTTTCAAAACTGCGCTCTCAAAAGGAGTGTTCAACTCCGTGAGTTGAATGCAGTCATCACAGAGAAGCTTCTGAGAATGCTTCTATCTAGTATTTAGGTGAAGATATTTCCTTTTCCACCACAAACCACAAAGCCCTCCAAACGTCCACTTGCAGATTCTAGAAAAAGGGTGTTTCATAGCTGCTCTTTCCAAAGGAAAGTTCAACTCTGGGAGTTGAATACAAACATCACCAAAAAGTTCCTGAGAATGCATCTGTCTAGTTTTTCTATGAAGCTATTCCCTTTACTACCATAGGCCTCAAAGCGCTCCAAATCTCCACTTGCACATTCCACAACAAGAGTGTTTCCAAACTGCTCTATCAATAGGAATGGTCAACTCTGTGAGGTGAATGCAATCATCACAAAGCAGTTTCTGAGAATGCTTCCGTTTAGTTAGGTGCAGTTATCCCGTTTCCAACGAAATCCTCAGAGAGGTCCAAATATCCACTTGTAGATTCTACAAAAAGTGTGTCTCAAACCTGCTCCATCCAAAGGAATGTTCAGCTCTATGAGTTCAACTCAATCATCACAAAGTATTTTCTGAGAATGCTTCTGTCTAGATTTTATGCGAAGATGTACCCGTTTCGAACGAAGGCCACAGAGTGGTCCAAATATCCACTTGCAGATCCTACAAAAAGAGTGTTTCAAACCTGAACTATCAAAGGAAGGTTCAACTCTGGGATTTGAATGCAAACATCACCAAGAAGTTTCTGAGAATGCTTCTGTTTAGTTTTTATGTGAAGATATTCCCGTTTCCAAAGACATCTTCGGAGAGGTCCACATATCCACTTGCAGATTCCACAAAAAGAGAGTTTCAACACTGCTCTATCCATAGGAGGGTTCAACTCTGTGAGTTGAATGCAATCATCACAGAGAAGTTTCTGAGAAGGCTTCTCTCCAGTTTTTATGTGACCATAATTCGTTTTCCACCACAGGCCTGAAAGCGCTCCAAATGTCCACTTGCAGACACTACGAAAAGCATGTTTCAGAACTACTCTATGAGAAGCAATATGAAACTCTGGGAGTTGAACACAAACATCACAGAGAAGTTTCTGAGAATGCTTCCGTTTAGCTTTTCTGTGAAGATTCTCCCGTTTCCAACGAAATCTTCAAAGAGGTCCAAATATCCAGTTGTAGATTCCACAGAAAGAGTGTTTGGAAACTGCTGTTTGAAAAGGAACCTTCAACTCTGTGAGTTGAATGCAATCATCACAAAGAAGTTTCTGACAATGTTTCTATCTAGCTTTTACGGGAAGATAATTCCTTTTCCACCACAGGCCTCAAAGCCCTCCAAATGTCCACTTGCAGATTCTGGAAAAAGAGTGTTTCAAAGCTTCTCTCTCGAAAGGAAAGTTCAACTCTGTGAGTTGAATGCAAGCATCACAAAGAAGTTTCTGAGAATGCTACTGTCTAGCTTTTATATGAAGCTATTTCCTTTACTACCATAGTCCTCAAAGCATTCCATATCTCCACTTGCAGATTCTACACAAAGAGAGTTTCCAAACTGCTCTGTCAAAGGGAATGTTCATCTCTGTGACTTGAATGCAATCATCACAAAGTAGTTTCTGAGAATGCTTCTGTTTTAGTTCTGTGCGGTTTACCCTGTTTCCAACGAAATCCTCAGAGAGGCCCCCATATCCACTTGCAGATTCTACAAATAGTGTGTTTCGAAACTGCTCCATCCAAAGGAATGTTCAGCTCTGTGACTTAAACTCAGTCGTCACCAAGAGTTTTCTGTGAATGCTTCTGTTTAGTTCTGTGCGGTTTATCCCGTTTCCAACGAAATCCTCAGAGTGGACCAAATATCCACTTGCAGTTTCTACAAAAAGAGTGTTTCAAAGCTGAACTATCAAAGAAAGGTTCAGCACTGTGAGTTGAATGCAAACATCACGAAGAGGGTTCTGAGAATGCTTCTGTCTTCTTTTTATAGGAAGTTATTTCCTTTACTACGGTAGGCCTCAAAGAAGTGCAATTATACCCTTGCAGTTTCTACAAAAAGAGTGTTTCAAACCTGAACTATCAAAGAAAGGTTCCACACTGTGAGTTGAATGCAGACATCACGAAGAAGGTTCTGAGAATGCTTCTGTTTAGTCAGCTGAAATTATCCCGTTTCCAACGAATTCCTCAGAGAGGTCTCAATATGCACTTGCAGATTCTGCAGAAAGTGTGTTTCTAAACTGCTACATCGCAAGGAATGTTCAGCTCTGTGAGTTCAACTCAATCATCCCAAAGAATTTTCTGAGAAAGCTTCTGTCTAGATGTCGTGTGAAGATATACCCGTTTCGAACGAAGGACACAGAGTGGTCCAAATATCCACTTGTAGATCCTGCAAAAAGAGTGTTTCAAACGTGAACTTTGAAAGGAAAGTTCAACTCTGGGATTTGAATGCAAACATCGCAAAGAAGATTCTGAGACTGCTTCTGTATAGTTTTTATGTGAAGATGATTCCGTTTCCAACGAAATCTTCAAAGAGGTCCACATGTCCCCTTGCAGATGCCACAGAAAGAGAGTTTCAAAACTGCGCTCTCAAAAGGAGTGTTCAACTCCGTGAGTTGAATGCAGTCATCACAGAGAAGCTTCTGAGAATGCTTCTATCTAGTATTTAGGTGAAGATATTTCCTTTTGCACCACAAACCACAAAGCCCTCCAAACGTCCACTTGCAGATTCTAGAAAAAGAGTGTTTCATAGCTGCTCTTTCCAAAGGAAAGTTCAACTCTGGGAGTTGAATACAAACATCACCAAAAAGTTCCTGAGAATGCATCTGTCTAGTTTTTCTATGAAGCTATTCCCTTTACTACCACAGGCCTCAAAGCGCTCCAAATCTCCACTTGCACATTCCACAACAAGAGTGTTTCCAAACTGCTCTATCAATAGGAATGTTCAACTCTGTGAGGTGAATGCAATCATCACAAAGCAGTTTCTGAGAATGCTTCCGTTTAGTTAGGTGCAGTTATCCCGTTTCCAACGAAATCCTCAGAGAGGTCCAAATATCCACTTGTAGATTCTACAAAAAGTGTGTCTCAAACCTGCTCCATCCAAAGGAATGGTCAGCTCTGTGATTTAAACTCAATCATCACAAAGTATTTTCTGAGAATGCTTCTGTCTAGATTTTATGCGAAGATATACCCGTTTCGAACGAAGGCCACAGAGTGGTCCAAATAGCCACTTGCAGATCCTACAGAAAGAGTGTTTCAAACCTGAACTATCAAAGGAAGGTTCAACTCTGGGATTTGAATGCAAACATCACCAAGAAGTTTCTGAGAATGCTTCTGTTTAGTTTTTATGTGAAGATATTCCCGTTTCCAAAGACATCTTCGGAGAGGTCCACATATCCACTTGCAGATTCCACAAAAAGAGAGTTTCAACACTGCTCTATCCATAGGAGGGTTCAACTCTGTGAGTTGAATGCAATCATCACAGAGAAGTTTCTGAGAAGGCTTCTCTCCAGTTTTTATGTGACCATAATTCGTTTTCCACCACAGGCCTGAAAGCGCTCCAAATGTCCACTTGCAGACACTACGAAAAGCATGTTTCAGAACTACTCTATGAAAAGCAACGTGAAACTCTGGGAGTTGAACACAAACATCACAGAGAAGTTTCTGAGAATGCTTCTGTTTTAGTTCTGTGCGTTTTATCCCGTTTCCAACGAAATCCTCAGAGAGGCCCAAATATCCACTTGCAGATTCCACAGAAAGAGTGATTGGAAACTGCTGTTTGAAAAGGAACCTTCAACTCTGTGAGTTGAATGCAATCATCACAAAGAAGTTTCTGACAATGCTTCTGTTTTAGTTCTGTGCGGTTTATCCCGTTTCCAACGAAATCCTCAGAGAGGACCAAACATCCACTTGCAGTTTCTACAAAAAGAGTGTTTCAAAGCTGCACTATCAAAGAAAGGTTCAGCACTGTGAGTTGAATGCAAACATCACGAAGAGGGCTCTGAGAATTCTTCTGTCTTCTTTTTATAGGAAGTTATTTCCTTTACTACGGTAGGCCTCAAAGCAGTGCAATTATCCCCTTGCAGTTTCTACAAAAAGAGTGTTTCAAACCTGAACTATCAAAGAAAGGTTCCACACTGTGAGTTGAATGCAGACATCACGAAGAAGGTTCTGAGAATGCTTCTGTTTAGTCAGCTGAAATTATCCCGTTTCCAACGAATTCCTCAGAGAGGTCCAAATATGCACTTGCAGATTCTGCAGAAAGTGTGTTTCTAAACTGCTACATCGCAAGGAATGTTCAGCTCTGTGAGTTCAACTCAATCATCCCAAAGAATTTTCTGAGAAAGCTTCTGCCTAGATGTCGTGTGAAGATATACCCGTTTCGAACGAAGGACACAGAGTGGTCCAAATATCCACTTGTAGATCCTGCAAAAAGAGTGTTTCAAACGTGAACTTTGAAAGGAAAGTTCAACTCTGGGATTTGAATGCAAACATCACAAAGAAGATTCTGAGACTACTTCTGTATAGTTTTTATGTGAAGATGATTCCGTTTCCAACGAAATCTTCAAAGAGGTCTACATGTCCCCTTGCAGATGCCACAGAAAGGGAGTTTCAAAACTGCGCTCTCAAAAGGAGTGTTCAACTCCGTGAGTTGAATGCAGTCATCACAGAGAAGCTTCTGAGAAAGCTTCTATCTAGTATTTAGGTGAAGATATTTCCTTTTCCACCACAAACCACAAAGCCCTCCAAACGTCCACTTGCAGATTCTAGAAAAAGAGTGTTTCATAGCTGCTCTTTCCAAAGGAAAGTTCAACTCTGGGAGTTGAATACAAACATCACCAAAAAGTTCCTGAGAATGCATCTGTCTAGTTTTTCTATGAAGCTATTCCCTTTACTACCACAGGCCTCAAAGCGCTCCAAATCTCCACTTGCACATTCCACAACAAGAGTGTTTCCAAACTGCTCTATCAATAGGAATGTTCAACTCTGTGAGGTGAATGCAATCATCACAAAGCAGTTTCTGAGAATGCTTCCGTTTAGTTAGGTGCAGTTATCCCGTTTCCAACGAAATCCTCAGAGAGGTCCAAATATCCACTTGTAGATTCTACAAAAAGTGTGTCTCAAACCTGCTCCATCCAAAGGAATGTTCAGCTCTGTGATTTAAACTCAATCATCACAAAGTATTTTCTGAGAATGCTTCTGTCTAGATTTTATGCGAAGATATACCCGTTTCGAACGAAGGCCACAGAGTGGTCCAAATAGCCACTTGCAGATCCTACAGAAAGAGTGTTTCAAACCTGAACTATCAAAGGAAGGTTCAACTCTGGGATTTGAATGCAAACATCACCAAGAAGTTTCTGAGAATGCTTCTGTTTAGTTTTTATGTGAAGATATTCCCGTTTCCAAAGACATCTTCGGAGAGGTCCACATATCCACTTGCAGATTCCACAAAAAGAGAGTTTCAACACTGCTCTATCCATAGGAGGGTTCAACTCTGTGAGTTGAATGCAATCATCACAGAGAAGTTTCTGAGAAGGCTTCTCTCCAGTTTTTATGTGACCATAATTCGTTTTCCACCACAGGCCTGAAAGCGCTCCAAATGTCCACTTGCAGACACTACGAAAAGCATGTTTCAGAACTACTCTATGAAAAGCAACGTGAAACTCTGGGAGTTGAACACAAACATCACAGAGAAGTTTCTGAGAATGCTTCTGTTTTAGTTCTGTGCGTTTTATCCCGTTTCCAACGAAATCCTCAGAGAGGCCCAAATATCCACTTGCAGATTCCACAGAAAGAGTGATTGGAAACTGCTGTTTGAAAAGGAACCTTCAACTACTGTGAGTTGAATGCAATCATCACAAAGAAGTTTCTGACAATGCTTCTGTTTTAGTTCTGTGCGGTTTATCCCGTTTCCAACGAAATCCTCAGAGAGGACCAAACATCCACTTGCAGTTTCTACAAAAAGAGTGTTTCAAAGCTGCACTATCAAAGAAAGGTTCAGCACTGTGAGTTGAATGCAAACATCACGAAGAGGGCTCTGAGAATTCTTCTGTTTAGTTCTGTGCGGTTTATCCCGTTTCCAACGAAATCCTCAGAGAGGACCAAATATCCACTTGCAGTTTCTACAAGAAGAGTGTTTCAAAGCTGAACTATCAAAGAAAGGTTCAGCACTGTGAGTTGAATGCAAACATCACGAAGAGGGTTCTGAGAATGCTTCTGTCTTCTTTCTATAGGAAGTTATTTCCTTTACTACGGGTAGGCCTCAAAGAAGTGCAATTATCCCCTTGCAGTTTCTACAAAAAGAGTGTTTCAAACCTGAACTATCAAAGAAAGGTTCCACACTGTGAGTTGAATGCAGACATCACGAAGAAGGTTCTGAGAATGCTTCTGTTTAGTCAGCTGAAATTATCCCGTTTCCAACGAATTCCTCACAGAGGTCCAAATATGCACTTGCAGATTCTGCAGAAAGTGTGTTTCTAAACTGCTACATCGCAAGGAATGCTCAGCTCTGTGAGTTCAACTCAATCATCCCAAAAAATTTTCTGAGAAAGCTCTGTCTAGATGTCGTGTGAAGATATACCCGTTTCGAACGAAGGACACAGAGTGGTCCAAATATCCACTTGTAGATCCTGCAAAAAGAGTGTTTCAAACGTGAACTTTGAAAGGAAAGTTCAACTCTGGGATTTGAATGCAAACATCACAAAGAAGATTCTGAGACTGCTTTCTGTATAGTTTTTATGTGAAGATGATTCCGTTTCCAACGAAATCTTCAAAGAGGTCTACATGTACCCTTGCAGATGCCACAGAAAGAGAGTTTCAAAACTGCGCTCTCAAAAGGAGTGTTCAACTCCGTGAGTTGAATGCAGTCATCACAGAGAAGCTTCTGAGAATGCTTCTATCTAGTATTTAGGTGAAGATATTTCCTTTTCCACCACAAACCACAAAGCCCTCCAAACGTCCACTTGCAGATTCTAGAAAAAGAGTGTTTCATAGCTGCTCTTTCCAAAGGAAAGTTCAACTCTGGGAGTTGAATACAAACATCACCAAAAAGTTCCTGAGAATGCATCTGTCTAGTTTTTCTATGAAGCTATTCCCTTTACTACCATAGGCCTCAAAGCGCTCCAAATCTCCACTTGCACATTCCACAACAAGAGTGTTTCCAAACTGCTCTATCAATAGGAATGTTCAACTCTGTGAGGTGAATGCAATCATCACAAAGCAGTTTCTGAGAATGCTTCCGTTTAGTTAGGTGCAGTTATCCCGTTTCCAACGAAATCCTCAGAGAGGTCCAAATATCCACTTGTAGATTCTACAAAAAGTGTGTCTCAAACCTGCTCCATCCAAAGGAATGTTCAGCTCTGTGATTTTAACTCAATCATCACAAAGTATTTTCTGAGAATGCTTCTGTCTAGATTTTATGCGAAGATATACCCGTTTCGAACGAAGGCCACAGAGTGGTCCAAATAGCCACTTGCAGATCCTACAAAAAGAGTGTTTCAAACCTGAACTATCAAAGGAAGGTTCAACTCTGGGATTTGAATGCAAACATCACCAAGAAGTTTCTGAGAATGCTTCTGTTTAGTTTTTATGTGAAGATATTCCCGTTTCCAAAGACATCTTCGGAGAGGTCCACATATCCACTTGCAGATTCCACAAAAAGAGAGTTTCAACACTGCTCTATCCATAGGAGGGTTCAACTCTGTGAGTTGAATGCAATCATCACAGAGAAGTTTCTGAGAAGGCTTCTATCTAGTATTTAGGTGAAGATATTTCCTTTTCCACCACAAACCACAAAGCCCTCCAAATGTCCACTTGCAGACACTACGAAAAGCATGTTTCAGAACTACTCTATGAAAAGCAACGTGAAACTCTGGGAGTTGAACACAAACATCACAGAGAAGTTTCTGAGAATGCTTCTGTCTAGTTTTTCTATGAAGCTATTCCCTTTACTACCATAGGCCTCAAAGCGCTCCAAATCTCCACTTGCACATTCCACAACAAGAGTGTTTCCAAACTGCTCTATCAATAGGAATGTTCAACTCTGTGAGGTGAATGCAATCATCACAAAGCAGTTTCTGAGAATGCTTCCGTTTAGTTAGGTGCAGTTATCCCGTTTCCAACGAAATCCTCAGAGAGGTCCAAATATCCACTTGTAGATTCTACAAAAAGTGTGTCTCAAACCTGCTCCATCCAAAGGAATGGTCAGCTCTGTGATTTAAACTCAATCATCACAAAGTATTTTCTGAGAATGCTTCTGTCTAGATTTTATGCGAAGATATACCCGTTTCGAACGAAGGCCACAGAGTGGTCCAAATAGCCACTTGCAGATCCTACAGAAAGAGTGTTTCAAACCTGAACTATCAAAGGAAGGTTCAACTCTGGGATTTGAATGCAAACATCACCAAGAAGTTTCTGAGAATGCTTCTGTTTAGTTTTTATGTGAAGATATTCCCGTTTCCAAAGACATCTTCGGAGAGGTCCACATATCCACTTGCAGATTCCACAAAAAGAGAGTTTCAACACTGCTCTATCCATAGGAGGGTTCAACTCTGTGAGTTGAATGCAATCATCACAGAGAAGTTTCTGAGAAGGCTTCTCTCCAGTTTTTATGTGACCATAATTCGTTTTCCACCACAGGCCTGAAAGCGCTCCAAATGTCCACTTGCAGACACTACGAAAAGCATGTTTCAGAACTACTCTATGAAAAGCAACGTGAAACTCTGGGAGTTGAACACAAACATCACAGAGAAGTTTCTGAGAATGCTCTGTTTTAGTTCTGTGCGTTTTATCCCGTTTCCAACGAAATCCTCAGAGAGGCCCAAATATCCACTTGCAGATTCCACAGAAAGAGTGATTGGAAACTGCTGTTTGAAAAGGAACCTTCAACTCTGTGAGTTGAATGCAATCATCACAAAGAAGTTTCTGACAATGCTCTCTGTTTTAGTTCTGTGCGGTTTATCCCGTTTCCAACGAAATCCTCAGAGAGGACCAAATATCCACTTGCAGTTTCTACAAAAAGAGTGTTTCAAAGCTGCACTATCAAAGAAAGGTTCAGCACTGTGAGTTGAATGCAAGCATCACGAAGAGGGCTCTGAGAATTCTTCTGTTTAGTTCTGTGCGGTTTATCCCGTTTCCAACGAAATCCTCAGAGAGGACCAAATATCCACTTGCAGTTTCTACAAGAAGAGTGTTTCAAAGCTGAACTATCAAAGAAAGGTTCAGCACTGTGAGTTGAATGCAAACATCACGAAGAGGGTTCTGAGAATGCTTCTGTCTTCTTTCTATAGGAAGTTATTTCCTTTACTACGGTAGGCCTCAAAGAAGTGCAATTATCCCCTTGCAGTTTCTACAAAAAGAGTGTTTCAAACCTGAACTATCAAAGAAAGGTTCCACACTGTGAGTTGAATGCAGACATCACGAAGAAGGTTCTGAGAATGCTTCTGTTTAGTCAGCTGAAATTATCCCGTTTCCAACGAATTCCTCAGAGAGGTCCACATATGCACTTGCAGATTCTGCAGAAAGTGTGTTTCTAAACTGCTACATCTCAAGGAATGTTCAGCTCTGTGAGTTCCACTCAATCATCCCAAAGAATTTTCTGAGAAAGCTTCTGTCTAGATGTCGTGTGAAGATATACCCGTTTCGAACGAAGGACACAGAGTGGTCCAAATATCCACTTGTAGATCCTGCAAAAAGAGTGTTTCAAACGTGAACTTTGAAAAGAAAGTTCAACTCTGGGATTTGAATGCAAACATCACAAAGAAGATTCTGAGACTACTTCTGTATAGTTTTTATGTGAAGATGATTCCGTTTCCAACGAAATCTTCAAAGAGGTCTACATGTCCCCTTGCAGATGCCACAGAAAGGGAGTTTCAAAACTGCGCTCTCAAAAGGAGTGTTCAACTCCGTGAGTTGAATGCAGTCATCACAGAGAAGCTTCTGAGAAAGCTTCTCTCTAGTATTTAGGTGAAGATATTTCCTTTTCCACCACAAACCACAAAGCCCTCCAAACGTCCACTTGCAGATTCTAGAAAAAGAGTGTTTCATAGCTGCTCTTTCCAAAGGGAAGTTCAACTCTGGGAGTTGAATACAAACATCACCAAAAAGTTCCTGAGAATGCATCTGTCTAGTTTTTCTATGAAGCTATTCCCTTTACTACCACAGGCCTCAAAGCGCTCCAAATCTCCACTTGCACATTCCACAACAAGAGTGTTTCCAAACTGCTCTATCAATAGGAATGTTCAACTCTGTGAGGTGAATGCAATCATCACAAAGCAGTTTCTGAGAATGCTTCCGTTTAGTTAGGTGCAGTTATCCCGTTTCCAACGAAATCCTCAGAGAGGTCCAAATATCCACTTGTAGATTCTACAAAAAGTGTGTCTCAAACCTGCTCCATCCAAAGGAATGGTCAGCTCTGTGATTTAAACTCAATCATCACAAAGTATTTTCTGAGAATGCTTCTGTCTAGATTTTATGCGAAGATATACCCGTTTCGAACGAAGGCCACAGAGTGGTCCAAATAGCCACTTGCAGATCCTACAGAAAGAGTGTTTCAAACCTGAACTATCAAAGGAAGGTTCAACTCTGGGATTTGAATGCAAACATCACCAAGAAGTTTCTGAGAATGCTTCTGTTTAGTTTTTATGTGAAGATATTCCCGTTTCCAAAGACATCTTCGGAGAGGTCCACATATCCACTTGCAGATTCCACAAAAAGAGAGTTTCAACACTGCTCTATCCATAGGAGGGTTCAACTCTGTGAGTTGAATGCAATCATCACAGAGAAGTTTCTGAGAAGGCTTCTCTCCAGTTTTTATGTGACCATAATTCGTTTTCCACCACAGGCCTGAAAGCGCTCCAAATGTCCACTTGCAGACACTACGAAAAGCATGTTTCAGAACTACTCTATGAAAAGCAACGTGAAACTCTGGGAGTTGAACACAAACATCACAGAGAAGTTTCTGAGAATGCTTCTGTTTTAGTTCTGTGCGTTTTATCCCGTTTCCAACGAAATCCTCAGAGAGGCCCAAATATCCACTTGCAGATTCCACAGAAAGAGTGATTGGAAACTGCTGTTTGAAAAGGAACCTTCAACTCTGTGAGTTGAATGCAATCATCACAAAGAAGTTTCTGACAATGCTTCTGTTTTAGTTCTGTGCGGTTTATCCCGTTTCCAACGAAATCCTCAGAGAGGACCAAACATCCACTTGCAGTTTCTACAAAAAGAGTGTTTCAAAGCTGCACTATCAAAGAAAGGTTCAGCACTGTGAGTTGAATGCAAACATCACGAAGAGGGCTCTGAGAATTCTTCTGTTTAGTTCTGTGCGGTTTATCCCGTTTCCAACGAAATCCTCAGAGAGGACCAAATATCCACTTGCAGTTTCTACAAGAAGAGTGTTTCAAAGCTGAACTATCAAAGAAAGGTTCAGCACTGTGAGTTGAATGCAAACATCACGAAGAGGGTTCTGAGAATGCTTCTGTCTTCTTTCTATAGGAAGTTATTTCCTTTACTACGGTAGGCCTCAAAGAAGTGCAATTATCCCCTTGCAGTTTCTACAAAAAGAGTGTTTCAAACCTGAACTATCAAAGAAAGGTTCCACACTGTGAGTTGAATGCAGACATCACGAAGAAGGTTCTGAGAATGCTTCTGTTTAGTCAGCTGAAATTATCCCGTTTCCAACGAATTCCTCAGAGAGGTCCAAATATGCACTTGCAGATTCTGCAGAAAGTGTGTTTCTAAACTGCTACATCGCAAGGAATGTTCAGCTCTGTGAGTTCCACTCAATCATCCCAAAGAATTTTCTGAGAAAGCTTCTGTCTAGATGTCGTGTGAAGATATACCCGTTTCGAACGAAGGACACAGAGTGGTCCAAATATCCACTTGTAGATCCTGCAAAAAGAGTGTTTCAAACGTGAACTTTGAAAGGAAAGTTCAACTCTGGGATTTGAATGCAAACATCACAAAGAAGATTCTGAGACTGCTTCTGTATAGTTTTTATGTGAAGATGATTCCGTTTCCAACGAAATCTTCAAAGAGGTCTACATGTCCCCTTGCAGATGCCACAGAAAGAGAGTTTCAAAACTGCGCTCTCAAAAGGAGTGTTCAACTCCGTGAGTTGAATGCAGTCATCACAGAGAAGCTTCTGAGAATGCTTCTATCTAGTATTTAGGTGAAGATATTTCCTTTTCCACCACAAACCACAAAGCCCTCCAAACGTCCACTTGCAGATTCTAGAAAAAGAGTGTTTCATAGCTGCTCTTTCCAAAGGAAAGTTCAACTCTGGGAGTTGAATACAAACATCACCAAAAAGTTCCTGAGAATGCATCTGTCTAGTTTTTCTATGAAGCTATTCCCTTTACTACCATAGGCCTCAAAACGCTCCAAGTCTCCACTTGCACATTCCACAACAAGAGTGTTTCCAAACTGCTCTATCAATAGGAATGTTCAACTCTGTGAGGTGAATGCAATCATCACAAAGCAGTTTCTGAGAATGCTTCCGTTTAATTAGGTGCAGTTATCGCGTTTCCAACGAAATCCTCAGAGAGGTCCAAATATCCACTTGTAGATTCTACAAAAAGTGTGTCTCAAACCTGCTCCATCCAAAGGAATGTTCAGCTCTGTGAGTTAAACTCAATCATCACAAAGTATTTTCTGAGAATGCTTCTGTCTAGATTTTATGCGAAGATGTACCCGTTTCGAACGAAGGCCACAGAGTGGTCCAAATATCCACTTGCAGATCCTACAAAAAGTGTGTTTCAAACCTGAACTATCAAAGGAAGGTTCAACTCTGGGATTTGAATGCAAACATCACCAAGAAGTTTCTGAGAATGCTTCTGTTTAGTTTTTATGTGAAGATATTCCCGTTTCCAAAGACATCTTCGGAGAGGTCCACATATCCACTTGCAGATTCCACAAAAAGAGAGTTTCAACAATGCTCTATCCATAGGAGGGTTCAACTCTGTGAGTTGAATGCAATCATCACAGAGAAGTTTCTGAGAAGGCTTCTCTCCAGTTTTTATGGGACCATAATTCGTTTTCCACCACAGGCCTGAAAGCGCTCCAAATGTCCACTTGCAGACACTACGAAAAGCATGTTTCAGAACTACTCTATGAAAAGCAATGTGAAACTCTGGGAGTTGAACACAAACATCACAGAGAAGTTTCTGAGAATGCTTCTGTTTAGCTTTTCTGTGAAGATTCTCCCGTTTCCAACGAAATCTTCAAAGAGGTCCAAATATCCACTTGCAGATTCCACAGAAAGAGTGTTTGGAAACTGCTGTTTGTAAAGGAACCTTCATCTCCGTGAGTTGAATGCAATCATCACAAAGAAGTTTCTGACAATGCTTCTATCTAGCTTTTACGGGAAGTTAATTCCTTTTCCACCACAGGCCTCAAAGCCCTCCAAATGTCCACTTGCAGATTCTGGAAAAAGTGTGTTTCAAAGCTTCTCTCTCGAAAGGAAAGTTCAACTCTGTGAGTTGAATGCAAGCATCACAAAGAAGTTTCTGAGAATGCTACTGTCTAGCTTTTATATGAAGCTATTTCCTTTACTACCATAGGCCTCAAAGCGGTCCATATCTCCACTTGCAGATTCTACACAAAGAGAGTTTCCAAACTGCTCTGTCAAAGGGAATGTTCAACTCTGTGACTTGAATGCAATCATCACAAAGTAGTTTCTGAGAATGCTTCTGTTTAGTTCTGTGCGGTTTATCCCGTTTCCAACGAAATCCTCAGAGAGGCCTAAATATCCACTTGCACATTCTACAAATAGTGTGTTTCGAAACTACTCCATCCAAAGGAATGTTCAGCTCTGTGAGTTAAACTCAGTCGTCACCAAGAGTTTTCTGTGAATGCTTCTGTTTTAGTTCTGTGCGGGTTATCCCGTTTCCAACGAAATCCTCAGAGAGGTCCAAATATCTACTTGCAGTTTCTACAGAAAGACCGTTTCAAACCTGAACTATCAAAGAAAGGTTCAACACTGTGAGTTGAATGCAAACATCACGAAGAAGGTTCTGAGAATGCTTCTGTTTAGTTCTGTGCGGTTTATCCCTTTTCCAACGAAATCCTCAGAGAGGACCAAATATCCACTTGCAGTTTCTACAAGAAGAGTGTTTCAAAGCTGAACTATCAAAGAAAGTTTCAGCACTGTGAGTTGAATGCAAACATCACGAAGAGGGTTCTGAGAATGCTTCTGTCTTCTTTCTATAGGAAGTTATTTCCTTTACTACGGTAGGCCTCAAAGAAGTGCAATTATCCCCTTGCAGTTTCTACAAAAAGAGTGTTTCAAACCTGAGCTATCAAAGAAAGGTTCCACACTGTGAGTTGAATGCAGACATCACGAAGAAGGTTCTGAGAATGCTTCTGTTTAGTCAGCTGAAATTATCCCGTTTCCAACGAATTCCTCAGAGAGGTCCAAATATGCACTTGCAGATTCTGCAGAAAGTGTGTTTCTAAACTGCTACATTGCAAGGAATGTTCAGCTCTGTGAGTTCCACTCAATCATCCCAAAGAATTTTCTGAGAAAGCTTCTGTCTAGATGTCGTGTGAAGATATACCCGTTTCGAACGAAGGACACAGAGTGGTCCAAATATCCACTTGTAGATCCTGCAAAAAGAGTGTTTCAAACGTGAACTTTGAAAGGAAAGTTCAACTCTGGGATTTGAATGCAAACATCACAAAGAAGATTCTGAGACTGCTTCTGTATAGTTTTTATGTGAAGATGATTCCGTTTCCAACGAAATCTTCAAAGAGGTCTACATGTCCCCTTGCAGATGCCACAGAAAGAGAGTTTCAAAACTGCGCTCTCAAAAGGAGTGTTCAACTCCGTGAGTTGAATGCAGTCATCACAGAGAAGCGTCTGAGAATGCTTCTATCTAGTATTTAGGTGAAGATATTTCCTTTTCCACCACAAACCACAAAGCCCTCCAAACGTCCACTTGCAGATTCTAGAAAAAGAGTGTTTCATAGCTGCTCTTTCCAAAGGAAAGTTCAACTCTGGGAGTTGAATACAAACATCACCAAAAAGTTCCTGAGAATGCATCTGTCTAGTTTTTCTATGAAGCTATTCCCTTTACTACCACAGGCCTCAAAGCGCTCCAAATCTCCACTTGCACATTCCACAACAAGAGTGTTTCCAAACTGCTCTATCAATAGGAATGTTCAACTCTGTGAGGTGAATGCAATCATCACAAAGCAGTTTCTGAGAATGCTTCCGTTTAGTTAGGTGCAGTTATCCCGTTTCCAACGAAATCCTCAGAGAGGTCCAAATATCCACTTGTAGATTCTACAAAAAGTGTGTCTCAAACCTGCTCCATCCAAAGGAATGGTCAGCTCTGTGATTTAAACTCAATCATCACAAAGTATTTTCTGAGAATGCTTCTGTCTAGATTTTATGCGAAGATATACCCGTTTCGAACGAAGGCCACAGAGTGGTCCAAATAGCCACTTGCAGATCCTACAGAAAGAGTGTTTCAAACCTGAACTATCAAAGGAAGGTTCAACTCTGGGATTTGAATGCAAACATCACCAAGAAGTTTCTGAGAATGCTTCTGTTTAGTTTTTATGTGAAGATATTCCCGTTTCCAAAGACATCTTCGGAGAGGTCCACATATCCACTTGCAGATTCCACAAAAAGAGAGTTTCAACACTGCTCTATCCATAGGAGGGTTCAACTCTGTGAGTTGAATGCAATCATCACAGAGAAGTTTCTGAGAAGGCTTCTCTCCAGTTTTTATGTGACCATAATTCGTTTTCCACCACAGGCCTGAAAGCGCTCCAAATGTCCACTTGCAGACACTACGAAAAGCATGTTTCAGAACTACTCTATGAAAAGCAACGTGAAACTCTGGGAGTTGAACACAAACATCACAGAGAAGTTTCTGAGAATGCTTCTGTTTTAGTTCTGTGCGTTTTATCCCGTTTCCAACGAAATCCTCAGAGAGGCCCAAATATCCACTTGCAGATTCCACAGAAAGAGTGATTGGAAACTGCTGTTTGAAAAGGAACCTTCAACTCTGTGAGTTGAATGCAATCATCACAAAGAAGTTTCTGACAATGCTTCTGTTTTAGTTCTGTGCGGTTTATCCCGTTTCCAACGAAATCCTCAGAGAGGACCAAACATCCACTTGCAGTTTCTACAAAAAGAGTGTTTCAAAGCTGCACTATCAAAGAAAGGTTCAGCACTGTGAGTTGAATGCAAACATCACGAAGAGGGCTCTGAGAATTCTTCTGTTTAGTTCTGTGCGGTTTATCCCGTTTCCAACGAAATCCTCAGAGAGGACCAAATATCCACTTGCAGTTTCTACAAGAAGAGTGTTTCAAAGCTGAACTATCAAAGAAAGGTTCAGCACTGTGAGTTGAATGCAAACATCACGAAGAGGGTTCTGAGAATGCTTCTGTCTTCTTTCTATAGGAAGTTATTTCCTTTACTACGGTAGGCCTCAAAGAAGTGCAATTATCCCCTTGCAGTTTCTACAAAAAGAGTGTTTCAAACCTGAACTATCAAAGAAAGGTTCCACACTGTGAGTTGAATGCAGACATCACGAAGAAGGTTCTGAGAATGCTTCTGTTTAGTCAGCTGAAATTATCCCGTTTCCAACGAATTCCTCAGAGAGGTCCAAATATGCACTTGCAGATTCTGCAGAAAGTGTGTTTCTAAACTGCTACATCGCAAGGAATGTTCAGCTCTGTGAGTTCCACTCAATCATCCCAAAGAATTTTCTGAGAAAGCTTCTGTCTAGATGTCGTGTGAAGATATACCCGTTTCGAACGAAGGACACAGAGTGGTCCAAATATCCACTTGTAGATCCTGCAAAAAGAGTGTTTCAAACGTGAACTTTGAAAGGAAAGTTCAACTCTGGGATTTGAATGCAAACATCACAAAGAAGATTCTGAGACTGCTTCTATATAGTTTTTATGTGAAGATGATTCCGTTTCCAACGAAATCTTCAAAGAGGTCTACATGTCCCCTTGCAGATGCCACAGAAAGAGAGTTTCAAAACTGCGCTCTCAAAAGGAGTGTTCAACTCCGTGAGTTGAATGCAGTCATCACAGAGAAGCGTCTGAGAATGCTTCTATCTAGTATTTAGGTGAAGATATTTCCTTTTCCACCACAAACCACAAAGCCCTCCAAACGTCCACTTGCAGATTCTAGAAAAAGAGTGTTTCATAGCTGCTCTTTCCAAAGGAAAGTTCAACTCTGGGAGTTGAATACAAACATCACCAAAAAGTTCCTGAGAATGCATCTGTCTAGTTTTTCTATGAAGCTATTCCCTTTACTACCATAGGCCTCAAAGCGCTCCAAATCTCCACTTGCACATTCCACAACAAGAGTGTTTCCAAACTGCTCTATCAATAGGAATGTTCAACTCTGTGAGGTGAATGCAATCATCACAAAGCAGTTTCTGAGAATGCTTCCGTTTAGTTAGGTGCAGTTATCCCGTTTCCAACGAAATCCTCAGAGAGGTCCAAATATCCACTTGTAGATTCTACAAAAAGTGTGTCTCAAACCTGCTCCATCCAAAGGAATGTTCAGCTCTGTGAGTTAAACTCAATCATCACAAAGTATTTTCTGAGAATGCTTCTGTCTAGATTTTATGCGAAGATATACCCGTTTCGAACGAAGGCCACAGAGTGGTCCAAATATCCACTTGCAGATCCTACAAAAAGAGTGTTTCAAACCTGAACTATCAAAGGAAGGTTCGACTCTGGGATTTGAATGCAAACATCACCAAGAAGTTTCTGAGAATGCTTCTGTTTAGTTTTTATGTGAAGATATTCCCGTTTCCAAAGACATCTTCGGAGAGGTCCACATATCCACTTGCAGATTCCACAAAAAGAGAGTTTCAACACTGCTCTATCCATAGGAGGGTTCAACTCTGTGAGTTGAATGCAATCATCACAGAGAAGTTTCTGAGAAGGCTTCTCTCCAGTTTTTATGTGACCATAATTCGTTTTCCACCACAGGCCTGAAAGCGCTCCAAATGTCCACTTGTAGACACTACGAAAAGCATGTTTCAGAACTACTCTATGAAAAGCAATGTGAAACTCTGGGAGTTGAACACAAACATCACAGAGAAGTTTCTGAGAATGCTTCTGTTTAGCTTTCCTGTGAAGATTCTCCCGTTTCCAACGAAATCTTCAAAATAGGTCCAAATATCCACTTGCAGATTCCACAGAAAGAGTGATTGGAAACTGCTCTTTGAAAAGGAACCTTCAACTCTGTGAGTTGAATGCAATCATCCCAAAGAAGTTTCTGACAATGCTTCTATCTAGCTTTTACGGGAAGATAATTCCTTTTCCACCACAGGCCTCAAAGCCCTCCAAATGTCCACTTGCAGATTCTGGAAAAAGAGTGTTTCAAAGCTTCTCTCTCGAAAGGAAAGTTCAACTCTGTGAGTTGAATGCAAGCATCACAAAGAAGTTTCTGAGAATGCTACTGTCTAGCTTTTATATGAAGCTATTTCCTTTACTACCATAGGCCTCAAAGCGGTCCATATCTCCACTTGCAGATTCTACACAAAGAGAGTTTCCAAACTGCTCTGTCAAAGGGAATGTTCAACTCTGTGACTTGAATGCAATCATCACAAAGTAGTTTCTGAGAATGCTTCTGTTTAGTTCTGTGCGGTTTATCCCGTTTCCAACGAAATCCTCAGAGAGGCCTAAATATCCACTTGCACATTCTACAAATAGTGTGTTTCGAAACTGCTCCATCCAAAGGAATGTTCAGCTCTGTGAGTTAAACTCAGTCGTCACCAAGAGTTTTCTGTGAATGCTTCTGTTTTAGTTCTGTGCGGGTTATCCCGTTTCCAACGAAATCCTCAGAGAGGTCCAAATATCTACTTGCAGTTTCTACAGAAAGACCGTTTCAAACCTGAACTATCAAAGAAAGGTTCAACACTGTGAGTTGAATGCAAACATCACGAAGAAGGTTCTGAGAATGCTTCTGTTTAGTTCTGTGCAGTTTATCCCGTTTCCAACGAAATCCTCAGAGAGGACCAAATATCCACTTGCACTTTCTACAAAAAGAGTGTTTCAAAGCTGAACTATCAAAGAAAGGTTCAGCACTGTGAGTTGAATTCAAACATCACCAAGAGGGTTCTGAGAATGCTTCTGTCTTCTTTTTATAGGAAGTTATTTCCTTTACTACGGTACTCCTCAAAGAGTGCAATTATCCCCTTGCAGTTTCTACAAAAAGAGTGTTTCAAACCTGAACTATCAAAGAAAGGTTCCACACTGTGAGTTGAATGCAGACATCACGAAGAAGGTTCTGAGAATGCTTCTGTTTAGTCAGCTGAAATTATCCCGTTTCCAACGAATTCCTCACAGAGGTCCAAATATGCACTTGCAGATTCTGCAGAAAGTGTGTTTCTAAACTGCTACATCGCAAGGAATGCTCAGCTCTGTGAGTTCAACTCAATCATCCCAAAGAATTTTCTGAGAAAGCTTCTGTCTAGATGTCATGTGAAGATATACCCGTTTCGATCGAAGGACACAGAGTGGTCCAAATATCCACTTGTAGATCCTGCAAAAAGAGTGTTTCAAACGTGAACTTTGAAAGGAAAGTTCAACTCGGGGATTTGAATGCAAACATCACAAAGAAGATTCTGAGACTGCTTCTGTATAGTTTTTATGTGAAGATGATTCCGTTTCCAACGAAATCTTCAAAGAGGTCTACATGTCCCCTTGCAGATGCCACAGAAAGAGAGTTTCAAAACTGCGCTCTCAAAAGGAGTGTTCAACTCCGTGAGTTGAATGCAGTCATCACAGAGAAGCTTCTGAGGATGCTTCTATCTAGTATTTAGGTGAAGATATTTCCTTTTCCACCACAAACCACAAAGCCCTCCAAACGTCCACTTGCAGATTCTAGAAAAAGAGTGTTTCATAGCTGCTCTTTCCAAAGGAAAGTTCAACTCTGGGAGTTGAATACAAACATCACCAAAAAGTTCCTGAGAATGCATCTGTCTAGTTTTTCTATGAAGCTATTCCCTTTACTACCATAGGCCTCAAAGCGCTCCAAATCTCCACTTGCACATTCCACAACAAGAGTGTTTCCAAACTGCTCTATCAATAGGAATGTTCAACTCTGTGAGGTGAATGCAATCATCACAAAGCAGTTTCTGAGAATGCTTCCGTTTAGTTAGGTGCAGTTATCCCGTTTCCAACGAAATCCTCAGAGAGGTCCAAATATCCACTTGTAGATTCTACAAAAAGTGTGTCTCAAACCTGCTCCATCCAAAGGAATGTTCAGCTCTGTGAGTTCAACTCAATCATCACAAAGTATTTTCTGAGAATGCTTCTGTCTAGATTTTATGCGAAGATATACCCGTTTCGAACGAAGGCCACAGTAGTGGTCCAAATAGCCACTTGCAGATCCTACAGAAAGAGTGTTTCAAACCTGAACTATCAAAGGAAGGTTCAACTCTGGGATTTGAATGCAAACATCACCAAGAAGTTTCTGAGAATGCTTCTGTTTAGTTTTTATGTGAAGATATTCCCGTTTCCAAAGACATCTTCGGAGAGGTCCACATATCCACTTGCAGATTCCACAAAAAGAGAGTTTCAACACTGCTCTATCCATAGGAGGGTTCAACTCCTGTGAGTTGAATGCAATCATCACAGAGAAGTTTCTGAGAAGGCTTCTCTCCAGTTTTTATGTGACCATAATTCGTTTTCCACCACAGGCCTGAAAGCGCTCCAAATGTCCACTTGCAGACACTACGAAAAGCATGTTTCAGAACTACTCTATGAAAAGCAACGTGAAACTCTGGGAGTTGAACACAAACATCACAGAGAAGTTTCTGAGAATGCTTCTGTTTTAGTTCTGTGCGTTTTATCCCGTTTCCAACGAAATCCTCAGAGAGGCCCAAATATCCACTTGCAGATTCCACAGAAAGAGTGATTGGAAACTGCTGTTTGAAAAGGAACCTTCAACTCTGTGAGTTGAATGCAATCATCACAAAGAAGTTCTGACAATGCTTCTGTTTTAGTTCTGTGCGGTTTATCCCGTTTCCAACGAAATCCTCAGAGAGGACCAAACATCCACTTGCAGTTTCTACAAAAAGAGTGTTTCAAAGCTGCACTATCAAAGAAAGGTTCAGCACTGTGAGTTGAATGCAAACATCACGAAGAGGGCTCTGAGAATTCTTCTGTTTAGTTCTGTGCGGTTTATCCCGTTTCCAACGAAATCCTCAGAGAGGACCAAATATCCACTTGCAGTTTCTACAAGAAGAGTGTTTCAAAGCTGAACTATCAAAGAAAGGTTCAGCACTGTGAGTTGAATGCAAACATCACGAAGAGGGTTCTGAGAATGCTTCTGTCTTCTTTCTATAGGAAGTTATTTCCTTTACTACGGTAGGCCTCAAAGAAGTGCAATTATCCCCTTGCAGTTTCTACAAAAAGAGTGTTTCAAACCTGAACTATCAAAGAAAGGTTCCACACTGTGAGTTGAATGCAGACATCACGAAGAAGGTTCTGAGAATGCTTCTGTTTAGTCAGCTGAAATTATCCCGTTTCCAACGAATTCCTCAGAGAGGTCCAAATATGCACTTGCAGATTCTGCAGAAAGTGTGTTTCTAAACTGCTACATCGCAAGGAATGTTCAGCTCTGTGAGTTCCACTCAATCATCCCAAAGAATTTTCTGAGAAAGCTTCTGTCTAGATGTCATGTGAAGATATACCCGTTTCGAACGAAGGACACAGAGTGGTCCAAATATCCACTTGTAGATCCTGCAAAAAGAGTGTTTCAAACGTGAACTTTGAAAGGAAAGTTCAACTCTGGGATTTGAATGCAAACATCACAAAGAAGATTCTGAGACTGCTTCTGTATAGTTTTGATGTGAAGATGATTCCGTTTCCAACGAAATCTTCAAAGAGGTCTACATGTCCCCTTGCAGATGCCACAGAAAGAGAGTTTCAAAACTGCGCTCCCAAAAGGAGTGTTCAACCCCGTGAGTTGAATGCAGTCATCACAGAGAAGCTTCTGAGAATGCTTCTCTCTAGTATTTAGGTGAAGATATTTCCTTTTCCACCACAAACCACAAAGCCCTCCAAACGTCCACTTGCAGATTCTAGAAAAAGAGTGCTTCATAGCTGCTCTTTCCAAAGGAAAGTTCAACTCTGGGAGTTGAATACAAACATCACCAAAAAGTTCCTGAGAATGCATCTGTCTAGTTTTTCTATGAAGCTATTCCCTTTACTACCATAGGCCTCAAAGCGCTCCAAATCTCCACTTGCACATTCCACAACAAGAGTGTTTCCAAACTGCTCTATCAATAGGAATGTTCAACTCTGTGAGGTGAATGCAATCATCACAAAGCAGTTTCTGAGAATGCTTCCGTTTAGTTAGGTGCAGTTATCGCGTTTCCAACGAAATCCTCAGAGAGGTCCAAATATCCACTTGTAGATTCTACAAAAAGTGTGTCTCAAACCTGCTCCATCCAAAGGAATGTTCAGCTCTGTGAGTTAAACTCAATCATCACAAAGTATTTTCTGAGAATGCTTCTGTCTAGATTTTATGTGAAGATGTACCCGTTTCGAACGAAGGCCACAGAGTGGTCCAAATATCCACTTGCAGATCCTACAAAAAGAGTGTTTCAAACCTGAACTATCACAGGAAGGTTCAACTCTGGGATTTGAATGCAAACATCACCAAGAAGTTTCTGAGAATGCTTCTGTTTAGTTTTTATGTGAAGATATGCCCGTTTCCAAAGACATCTTCGGAGAGGTCCACATATCCACTTGCAGATTCCACAAAAAGAGAGTTTCAACAATGCTCTATCCATAGGAGGGTTCAAATCTGTGAGTTGAATGCAATCATCACAGAGAAGTTTCTGAGAAGGCTTCTCTCCAGTTTTTATGGGACCATAATTCGTTTTCCACCACAGGCCTGAAAGCACTCCAAATGTCCACTTGCAGACACTACGAAAAGCATGTTTCAGAACTACTCTATGAAAAGCAATGTGAAACTCTGGGAGTTGAACACAAACATCACAGAGAAGTTTCTGAGAATGCTTCTGTTTAGCTTTTCTGTGAAGATTCTCCCGTTTCCAACGAAATCTTCAAAGAGGTCCAAATATCCACTTGCAGATTCCACAGAAAGAGTGTTTGGAAACTGCTGTTTGTAAAGGAACCTTCATCTCTGTGAGTTGAATGCAATCATCACAAAGAAGTTTCTGACAATGCTTCTATCTAGCTTTTACGGGAAGTTAATTCCTTTTCCACCACAGGCCTCAAAGCCCTCCAAATGTCCACTTGCAGATTCTGGAAAAAGAGTGTTTCAAAGCTTCTCTCTCGAAAGGAAAGTTCAACTCTGTGAGTTGAATGCAAGCATCACAAAGAAGTTTCTGAGAATGCTACTGTCTAGCTTTTATATGAAGCTATTTCCTTTACTACCATAGGCCTCAAAGCGGTCCATATCTCCACTTGCAGATTCTACACAAAGAGAGTTTCCAAACTGCTCTGTCAAAGGGAATGTTCAACTCTGTGACTTGAATGCAATCATCACAAAGTAGTTTCTGAAAAAGCTTCTGTTTAGTTCTGTGCGGTTTATCCCGTTTCCAACGAAATCCTCAGAGAGGCCCAAATATCCACTTGCACATTCTACAAATAGTGTGTTTCGAAACTGCTCCATCCAAAGGAAAGTTCAGCTCTGTGAGTTAAACTCAGTCGTCACCAAGAGTTTTCTGTGAATGCTTCTGTTTTAGTTCTGTGCGGGTTATCCCGTTTCCAACGAAATCCTCAGAGAGGTCCAAATATCTACTTGCAGTTTCTACAGAAAGACCGTTTCAAACCTGAACTATCAAAGAAAGGTTCAACACTGTGAGTTGAATGCAAACATCACGAAGAAGGTTCTGAGAATGCTTCTGTTTTAGTTCTGTGCGGTTTATCCCGTTTCCAACGAAATCCTCAGCAGAGGACCAAACATCCACTTGCAGTTTCTACAAAAAGAGTGTTTCAAAGCTGCACTATCAAAGAAAGGTTCAGCACTGTGAGTTGAATGCAAACATCACGAAGAGGGCTCTGAGAATTCTTCTGTCTTCTTTCTATAGGAAGTTATTTCCTTTACTACGGTAGGCCTCAAAGAAGTGCAATTATCCCCTTGCAGTTTCTACAAAAAGAGTGTTTCAAACCTGAACTATCAAAGAAAGGTTCCACACTGTGAGTTGAATGCAGACATCACGAAGAAGTTCTGAGAATGCTTCTGTTTAGTCAGCTGAAATTATCCCGTTTCCAACGAATTCCTCAGAGAGGTCCAAATATGCACTTGCAGATTCTGCAGAAAGTGTGTTTCTAAACTGCTACATCGCAAGGAATGTTCAGCTCTGTGAGTTCCACTCAATCATCCCAAAGAATTTTCTGAGAAAGCTTCTGTCTAGATGTCGTGTGAAGATATACCCGTTTCGAACGAAGGACACAGAGTGGTCCAAATATCCACTTGTAGATCCTGCAAAAAGAGTGTTTCAAACGTGAACTTTGAAAGGAAAGTTCAACTCTGGGATTTGAATGCAAACATCACAAAGAAGATTCTGAGACTGCTTCTGTATAGTTTTTATGTGAAGATGATTCCGTTTCCAACGAAATCTTCAAAGAGGTCTACATGTCCCCTTGCAGATGCCACAGAAAGAGAGTTTCAAAACTGCGCTCTCAAAAGGAGTGTTCAACTCCGTGAGTTGAATGCAGTCATCACAGAGAAGCTTCTGAGAATGCTTCTATCTAGTATTTAGGTGAAGATATTTCCTTTTCCACCACAAACCACAAAGCCCTCCAAACGTCCACTTGCAGATTCTAGAAAAAGAGTGTTTCATAGCTGCTCTTTCCAAAGGAAAGTTCAACTCTGGGAGTTGAATACAAACATCACCAAAAAGTTCCTGAGAATGCATCTGTCTAGTTTTTCTATGAAGCTATTCCCTTTACTACCATAGGCCTCAAAGCACTCCAAATCACCACTTGCACATTCCACAAGAAGAGTGTTTCCAAACTGCTCTATCAATAGGAATGTTCAACTCTGTGAGGTGAATGCAATCATCACAAAGCAGTTTCTGAGAATTCTTCCGTTTAGTTAGGTGCAGTTATCCCGTTTCCAACGAAATCCTCAGAGAGGTCCAAATATCCACTTGTAGGTTCTACAAAAAGTGTGTCTCAAACCTGCTCCATCCAAAGGAATGTTCAGCTCTGTGAGTTCAACTCAATCATCACAAAGTATTTTCTGAGAATGCTTCTGTCTAGATTTTATGCGAAGATGTAACCGTTTCGAACGAAGGCCACAGAGTGGTCCAAATATCCACTTGCAGATCCTACAAAAAGAGTGTTTCAAACCTGAACTCTCAAAGGAAGGTTCAACTCTGGGATTTGAATGCAAACATCACCAAGAAGTTTCTGAGAATGCTTCTGTTTAGTTTTTATGTGAAGATATTCCCGCTTCCAAAGACATCTTCGGAGAGGTCCACATATCCGCTTGCAGATTCCACAAAAAGAGAGTTTCAACACTGCTCTATCCATAGGAGGGTTCAACACTGTGAGTTGAATGCAATCATCACAGAGAAGTTTCTGAGAAGGCTTCTCTCCAGTTTTTATGTGACCATAATTCGTTTTCCACCACAGGCCTGAAAGCGCTCCAAATGTCCACTTGCAGACACTACGAAAAGCATGTTTCAGAACTACTCTATGAGAAGCAATGTGAAACTCTGGGAGTTGAACACAAACATCACAGAGAAGTTTCTGAGAATGCTTCTGTTTAGCTTTTCTGTGAAGATTCTCCCGTTTCCAACGAAATCTTCAAAGAGGTCCAAATATCCACTTGCAGATTCCACAGAAAGAGTGATTGGAAACTGCTCTTTGAAAAGGAACCTTCAACTCTGTGACTTGAATGCAATCATCACAAAGAAGTTTCTGACAATGCTTCTATCTAGCTTTTAAGGGAAGATAATTCCTTTTCCACCACAGGCCTCAAAGCCCTCCAAATGTCCACTTGCAGATTCTGGAAAAAGAGTGTTTCAAAGCTTCTCTCTCGAAAGGAAAGTTCAACTCTGTGAGTTGAATGCAAGCATCACAAAGAAGTTTCTGAGAATGCTGCTGTCTAGCTTTTATATGAAGCTATTTCCTTTACTACCATAGGCCTCAAAGCGGTCCATATCTTCACTTGCAGATTCTACGCAAAGAGAGTTTCCAAACTGCTCTGTCAAAGGGTATGTTCAACTCTGTGACTTGAATGCAATCATCACAAAGTAGTTTCTGAGAATGCTTCTGTTTAGTTCTGTGCGGTTTATCCCGTTTCCAACGAAATCCTCAGAGAGGCCCACATATCCACTTGCACATTCTACAAATAGTGTGTTTTGAAACTGCTCCATCCAAAGGAATGTTCAGCTCTGTGAGTTAAACTCAGTCGTCACCAAGAGTTTTCTGTGAATGCTTCTGTTTTAGTTCTGTGCGGTTCATCCCGTTTCCAACGAAATCCTCAGAGAGGTCCAAATATCTACTTGCAGTTTCTACAGAAAGACCGTTTCAAACCTGAACTATCAAAGAAAGGTTCAACACTGTGAGTTGAATGCAAACATCACGAAGAAGGTTCTGAGAATGCTTCTGTTTAGTTCTGTGCGGTTTATCCCGTTTCCAACGAAATCCTCAGAGAGGACCAAATATCCACTTGCAGTTTCTACAAGAAGAGTGTTTCAAAGCTGAACTATCAAAGAAAGGTTCAGCACTGTGAGTTGAATGCAAACATCACGAAGAGGGTTCTGAGAATGCTTCTGTCTTCTTTCTATAGGAAGTTATTTCCTTTACTACGGTAGGCCTCAAAGAAGTGCAATTATCCCCTTGCAGTTTCTACAAAAAGAGTGTTTCAAACCTGAACTATCAAAGAAAGGTTCCACACTGTGAGTTGAATGCAGACATCACGAAGAAGGTTCTGAGAATGCTTCTGTTTAGTCAGCTGAAATTATCCCGTTTCCAACGAATTCCTCAGAGAGGTCCAAATATGCACTTGCAGATTCTGCAGAAAGTGTGTTTCTAAACTGCTACATCGCAAGGAATGTTCAGCTCTGTGAGTTCCACTCAATCATCCCAAAGAATTTTCTGAGAAAGCTTCTGTCTAGATGTCATGTGAAGATATACCCGTTTCGAACGAAGGACACAGAGAGGTCCAAATATCCACTTGTAGATCCTGCAAAAAGAGTGTTTCAAACGTGAACTTGGAAAGGAAAGTTCAACTCAGGGATTTGAATGCAAACATCACAAAGAAGATTCTGAGACTGCTTCTGTATAGTTTTTATGTGAAGATGATTCCGTTTCCAACGAAATCTTCAAAGAGGTCTACATGTCCCCTTGCAGATGCCACAGAAAGAGAGTTTCAAAACTGCGCTCTCAAAAGGAGTGTTCAACTCCGTGAGTTGAATGCAGTCATCACAGAGAAGCTTCTGAGAATGCTTCTATCTAGTATTTAGGTGAAGATATTTCCTTTTCCACCACAAACCACAAAGCCCTCCAAACGTCCACTTGCAGATTCTAGAAAAAGAGTGTTTCATAGCTGCTCTTTCCAAAGGAAAGTTCAACTCTGGGAGTTGAATACAAACATCACCAAAAGGTTCCTGAGAATGCATCTGTCTAGTTTTTCTATGAAGCTATTCCCTTTACTACCATAGGCCTCAAAGCGCTCCAAATCTCCACTTGCACATTCCACAACAAGAGTGTTTCCAAACTGCTCTATCAATAGGAATGTTCAACTCTGTGAGGTGAATGCAACCATCACAAAGCAGTTTCTGAGAATGCTTCCGTTTAGTTAGGTGCAGTTATCCCGTTTCCAACGAAATCCTCAGAGAGGTCCAAATATCCACTTGTAGATTCTACAAAAAGTGTGTCTCAAACCTGCTCCATCCAAAGGAATGGTCAGCTCTGTGATTTAAACTCAATCATCACAAAGTATTTTCTGAGAATGCTTCTGTCTAGATTTTATGCGAAGATATACCCGTTTCGAACGAAGGCCACAGAGTGGTCCAAATAGCCACTTGCAGATCCTACAGAAAGAGTGTTTCAAACCTGAACTATCAAAGGAAGGTTCAACTCTGGGATTTGAATGCAAACATCACCAAGAAGTTTCTGAGAATGCTTCTGTTTAGTTTTTATGTGAAGATATTCCCGTTTCCAAAGACATCTTCGGAGAGGTCCACATATCCACTTGCAGATTCCACAAAAAGAGAGTTTCAACACTGCTCTATCCATAGGAGGGTTCAACTCTGTGAGTTGAATGCAATCATCACAGAGAAGTTTCTGAGAAGGCTTCTCTCCAGTTTTTATGTGACCATAATTCGTTTTCCACCACAGGCCTGAAAGCGCTCCAAATGTCCACTTGCAGACACTACGAAAAGCATGTTTCAGAACTACTCTATGAAAAGCAACGTGAAACTCTGGGAGTTGAACACAAACATCACAGAGAAGTTTCTGAGAATGCTTCTGTTTTAGTTCTGTGCGTTTTATCCCGTTTCCAACGAAATCCTCAGAGAGGCCCAAATATCCACTTGCAGATTCCACAGAAAGAGTGATTGGAAACTGCTGTTTGAAAAGGAACCTTCAACTCTGTGAGTTGAATGCAATCATCACAAAGAAGTTTCTGACAATGCTTCTGTTTTAGTTCTGTGCGGTTTATCCCGTTTCCAACGAAATCCTCAGAGAGGACCAAACATCCACTTGCAGTTTCTACAAAAAGAGTGTTTCAAAGCTGCACTATCAAAGAAAGGTTCAGCACTGTGAGTTGAATGCAAACATCACGAAGAGGGCTCTGAGAATTCTTCTGTTTAGTTCTGTGCGGTTTATCCCGTTTCCAACGAAATCCTCAGTAGTAGGACCAAATATCCACTTGCAGTTTCTACAAGAAGAGTGTTTCAAAGCTGAACTATCAAAGAAAGGTTCAGCACTGTGAGTTGAATGCAAACATCACGAAGAGGGTTCTGAGAATGCTTCTGTCTTCTTTCTATAGGAAGTTATTTCCTTTACTACGGTAGGCCTCAAAGAAGTGCAATTATCCCCTTGCAGTTTCTACAAAAAGAGTGTTTCAAACCTGAACTATCAAAGAAAGGTTCCACACTGTGAGTTGAATGCAGACATCACGAAGAAGGTTCTGAGAATGCTTTCTGTTTAGTCAGCTGAAATTATCCCGTTTCCAACGAATTCCTCAGAGAGGTCCAAATATGCACTTGCAGATTCTGCAGAAAGTGTGTTTCTAAACTGCTACATCGCAAGGAATGTTCAGCTCTGTGAGTTCCACTCAATCATCCCAAAGAATTTTCTGAGAAAGCTTCTGTCTAGATGTCCTGTGAAGATATACCCGTTTCGAACGAAGGACACAGAGTGGTCCAAATATCCACTTGTAGATCCTGCAAAAAGAGTGTTTCAAACGTGAACTTTGAAAGGAAAGTTCAACTCTGGGATTTGAATGCAAACATCACAAAGAAGATTCTGAGACTGCTTCTGTATAGTTTTTATGTGAAGATGATTCCGTTTCCAACGAAATCTTCAAAGAGGTCTACATGTCCACTTGCAGATGCCACAGAAAGGGAGTTTCAAAACTGCGCTCTCAAAAGGAGTGTTCAACTCCGTGAGTTGAATGCAGTCATCACAGAGAAGCTTCTGAGAATGCTTCTATCTAGTATTTAGGTGAAGATATTTCCTTTTCCACCACAAACCACAAAGCCCTCCAAACGTCCACTTGCAGATTCTAGAAAAAGAGTGTTTCATAGCTGCTCTTTCCAAAGGAAAGTTCAACTCTGGGAGTTGAATACAAACATCACCAAAAAGTTCCTGAGAATGCATCTGTCTAGTTTTTCTATGAAGCTATTCCCTTTACTACCATAGGCCTCAAAGCGCTCCAAATCTCCACTTGCACATTCCACAACAAGAGTGTTTCCAAACTGCTCTATCAATAGGAATGTTCAACTCTGTGAGGTGAATGCAATCATCACAAAGCAGTTTCTGAGAATGCTTCCGTTTAGTTAGGTGCAGTTATCCCGTTTCCAACGAAATCCTCAGAGAGGTCCAAATATCCACTTGTAGATTCTACAAAAAGTGTGTCTCAAACCTGCTCCATCCAAAGGAATGGTCAGCTCTGTGATTTAAACTCAATCATCACAAAGTATTTTCTGAGAATGCTTCTGTCTAGATTTTATGCGAAGATATACCCGTTTCGAACGAAGGCCACAGAGTGGTCCAAATAGCCACTTGCAGATCCTACAGAAAGAGTGTTTCAAACCT